>NC_000018.10:10310049-10610099 GCF_000001405.40 Homo sapiens
TTGCTAAGGGTGATCAACAGTTTCTCAGTGAGGAGTTGGAGATTAACACATGAATCTACTATGTAGCCTTTATACTTTGTTGTATGTAAGTAGATATAGAAATGGTATCTACTTCTCCTTGTAGAAGATGGGTACAATCAGTGTCAATAAGCTCTGTCCTTGCATTCAGTCCTGGGGCCATAAGACTGATTAGTGACAAACACTGATAAGGAGCTCATCAATTTCACCTCATTTAATCCCCGACCCCATGAGGTACTATAGTTATCGTTATCTCAATTTTTTAACAGTTGCATGAGACTGAGGCCCAGAGGGGTTCGTTAGGATGCAAGTGTCTAAAGAGGGTGAGGACGCATGCTGTGCTCGCTGCCTTCTCCTAGACTGCACTGTTTTGTATGGAATTGTGTCCCCTAATAGACTTGCAAAGGCAAGATTCTCATCTATGGGGAATCAACCCAGGGAGGGGGGAACCTCTAGAGGATGTAGCCCCAAGGCTCATTCCTGCCTGAAAGTGCTACAGGGGTTGGAATGGACAGTTCCCACACCAAATCCTAGGAACAGAATGCTGCCTGCGTGCACTGCTGTGTTTCTAAAGAACTCTTCAATTTATAACCTCGTAGAACTATTTAAATAAAGAGTTGGGAGGATGAATGCAATGTACATTTTGGAAGTTGGAGACAAAAGGGAACTGACTAAGATGGGCTGAGGACTCAGGGAAGTTCCTGCGGACTTTCCTCCTTCAGGACCTGGGGGCCTGTGGATTCTCCCATCATGAGTGGACAGGGAAAGCTCCCTTCTCTACCCACAGAACTGGGTGATTCTCAAGAGTGACTGATGAGGGGCCAGCTCCACACTTGCGGCTGTACCAGGCCTCACCAGGGTGATACCTGTTCCAGGCTATCTAAGGAGAAGCCTCACGCTCCCTGCCAGAGACCTTTTCACCAAACTTCATTTTGGTGTTCACAGCAAGGTCATATCATGAAAAGCCGCGTTAATGAATTTCTTCATGGAAATATCAAATCATGTTTGTTCGGTCTCACTTCAGTTGGGCAATGGTTTCCTTGCAAATTGGATTTCCTTTAAGAAGTTTGCCAGGTCTCAGGCAGTCTCAACACATGTACTTAGAAAGGCTTCCTCAAGTCCATAGCCCTAGAATCGAGACTAGAGAATTAGGATGGGGATGATTTTATGTCCAGCCTGAAAGGATACAATGTTACACTTCAAAAACTATAAAGACAATCAATTAGACCACTGTCCTTAGAACACGGAAAATATTGAAAATTAGGTGAATGATCAGTTTAGTGGACTGTGTCAGACTTTGAGTAAGAGATGTTGACTACTTTCTTTCTCATCACTGCCATCCTCTACATGTGCACAAACAGGCCAACACACACACACACACACACACACACACACACACACGGTGATGACAGCTCTTGTGCCTTGGGGTTCAATGCAGCTACATGTACTGAACACTCACCATGTCCTTGGGTTTTTGCTAAGGATGTTGTGTTCATGATTTCACTTAATCCTCATAACAACCACTTGATCTAGGTACCATCCTGCATACTATAAAGGGACCCACTAAACAGGGATTTTACTATGGATAAATACCATGCTCAGTTTATGCTCCAAACCAGATCCGCTGACCATAACCAGACCTTCCCCAGTGGCCAACCATATGGAGGTGTTGGATTTCCTGGATGCTGCCAGGGTCCAAAATAACACCAGGAGCGAGGGGGAGTTCCACAGATAATCTGCTCACCCTTCCTTTCCTAAATGATGCTCTGAGATGCCATGTTTCCTGTAGCCTCTCTGAGCCATGCCACAGGATGGATCTATCAGTTCTTTTTGTAATGAAGTAGTGGCCATCTTGGTAATGCACCCCTGTCCATTGGTTGTTCCTCCTTTATCTCTTTCTTTACCTCTCACTCTTGCTTCCCTGGGCTTGCATCCTCTAACAAGGCATTAGTACTTCAGCTTCTGCATAACGCTCTGTTTCATAGGCAACTCGGGCTAAAACAGATGGTCATCAGTGCTTGAAGCTGCAATGAAAGATGAGGAACACATATTTGTCAAGAACTTTCTATACATCAGATTATTTACTCCTAAGGAAGCAGCTGGAGTTTTGCTGTGGACCCTGAGTGTGCCTGATGGCTAAGAAAGTCAAGCCTGCAGAAGGAGTTCCCAGAAGTATTTGATCAGTTTTTTGTTTCCTGTTCAAATAATAAGACTAGATTAACACACATTCCCCAGGGTGGTGAGGATTCTTGACCTGCTGCCTTCGTCTGTCTACTTTATCCCCAAGCTCTGTTTGTGGGCTCAGGGGCTTGGTCCCAGACCGTGGGAAGCCATGCTGACCATCAATTGTTCATCATAGATTTCCCCTGGAGCCCTCCCTGTCTCTCCAGCTCTTCCCAAGGTCTGCTTCTTCTAGGATCCGGTCCAGTGTGGGCTACCAATATCCTCTGGCATCCAGAACTCAGCCCCGTGATGATGCTCTTCCCAAGAATGTGACCTGAGCCACAACATTTTACTGACATGTCCCCTAGAGTCCTCTCTCTCATTCCAAGAAGAGCTCTGTGGCTTCCCTCCAGTGCTGGGACTGTCTCTAAGATGAAGGTGGGCAAACTCATTCACTCATTTAACAAGCTTTTAGTGAACGCATGGTATGTACTGTTCCTAGGCTCAGCTCTTGAAGAGTCTGTGGTAGATGGAGCTTCACATTTCAGGTTTCCAATGGCTCTGAGAGGCTGAACTATAGGAATTTCAGAGGGCCATCTCCTTTAAACAAGAGCCATTCTGTAACACACCATTGAGTTCATTGACCCATATTAAGCCATACCATATACAATAGAGTCTCTGTTCACTGGTCTTTACTTAGCCTATGTTGTAGAGTATATCTTTGCTCCAGATAGTCACTACCTCCTTTGGGAGAGGATTGCATGACCTCTCCCTTTGAGATCAAGCTTGTCCAAGAGTTGCAGTGCCCCACCACACACCCCACCACCCCGTCCAGCCCCAGGAGATTATATTGTCCCCTCCCTGAAGAAAGACTCAACCATGTGACTTGCTCTGGCTAGTACAAGGTGAAGTTAAGGCATGTGCCAGGTCCACATGGAAGTGGTAAGGGCCATTGCATGGTTCCACATCCCTTTTCCTGTACCATGATACTGGCATGCCCCAGATAGGGACAGATCCTTTCACCTGGATTCTGAAACAACGAGCGGGAGACATGGAGCTCCAGCCAAATGGGAAGGGTGCCTGATGTGGAGGAGAAGCAAATCTTTGTTCTTGTAAGCCAATGAAGCTTTGGAGCTATATGTCACTGCAGCATAAACTGATGAAAGCCGACAGTGCGACAGAAATGCATGTGTTGTGTTTACGAGCAACACTACTTGCATGGAAGACAGTCACGAATGCTCACAAGCTGAACATCATCAGCTCTGCAGCAGCTCTCTGGGGTGCACACATTCTTCTGTGTCCCCCAGGGGAGAGATGTATGCTTGCCACAAATCGGACATATTTTTTCCCAACCTGTTTATTCCAGTTGCACATGTCACTGCAATTACATAATCTAATTAAATAGTGTGAAACCAATGAAGTATGAGTACAAAAAGAAGGATATTTATTGTTTCTCTTAAAACTAAGTCCAGGCCAGTCGTGGTGGCTCATGCCTGTAATCCTACCACTTTGGGAGGTCAAAGCGGGTGGATCACCTGAGGGCAGGAGTTCAAGACCAGCCTGGTCAACATGGTGAAACCTGGTCTCTACTGAGAATATAAAATTAGCCAGGCATGGTGGCACACGCCTGTAATCCCAGCTACTTTGGCGGCTGAGGCAGGAGAATCATTTGAACCTGGTAGGTAGAGGTCGCAGTGAGCCGAGATCACACCCCTGTACTCCAGCCTGGGCAACAAGAGTGAAACTCCATTAAATAAATAAATAAATAAATAAATAAATAAATAAATAAAACCCAAACAAACAAACAAAACAAACAAACGTAAGTTGAATGCTTTGAAAAGACTGCAAACAGGCAAGTCTTTCAGCATATTGCTGTTGAATTAAGTGTAGGTGAGACAACCGTATCATAAAACTCCAGAAGTTTTGGAATTTTGATTATTTCTCAAATGGCTTTATTTTCACACTTCACTTTAAAGAAATCAAAATGGAAATCCCAAATGATTCATAGGAGCGGTTTATGCAAGGAGACACAGAACTTCAGTGAGCAACTCATAGCCAAAAGAAGGCCTCAGTACTCCATCAAAATCCTGGCGAGTGAACGCACAAACATGTGTTTTTGGTAAAATAAATATTTACAGTACACATGTATCCTTTTTTATGATATCCTCCTTTTACTGACTTTCAATGAACAGAATTGGTTGCAATTAGGATGGGTGTGTAGTTTTTACGAGACACCCCTCTCCTGTGAAACAAGCCTGCGGGTGGATCTTTCTGGGCCCCCATAGGCACACCCCTTGCGGACCCCGCTTTGCATATCCCAGCGCTAAGGGCCAAGATGCACCTCCGTGTGGCTGTGGAGGCCTTTAGGCCCTGTGCCTCCTCCTGGCTGTGTTGTGGGTGAGCTGGGGTTGATTCTGCTGAGGAGCTGGGAGGGGCACTTGTGTTCCTGCAAATGCCAACCATGGGGACAGCCAAGAGGGGCTCTGGAAATGCAGACTCAAAGCAGCACTTGCTGTTGGCAACAGCTGTCGCCAGGACTGGAGGAAGGCTTTCTAGAGGCCCTGGTTCTGAAAAGCTTATGGCTCCCCTCCCCTACTGCCCCAGGTCAAAATAAAAACAAGACCAAGCCATGAGGAAAGAAAGTGGACTTCTGATGTGTCCCAGGACATGATTTTTCAGTGTTGTTCGGTAATAAACATCAGTCTTTCAAATGAAATGTTTTCCTTTTTTTTTTTTCTGGTGTCCTGCTCTCAGAGTCCTAAAGGTGGCCCTCCCTGACTGTTGCCACCCAAGCTCCAGTGCAGGTGGCCTCTGTGAGGGTCAGACATCCTCCGTGTGCACTGAGGGGTCAGTTCTCCCGCCTCCTTGAAACATATGGCCGCGCATCTTCCCTCACCTCCTCCTCGTTTTTTTTCCCTCCTTGGCTCTGGTGAAGTAGAGTGACAGGAAAATACATTCTGTTCCCCACTCCTGGGCCCTGCCTGCACTCATGACTTCTTTTCAGCTGTGTGCAGTCTGCTCCCTACACACCAGGAGTGAACTCCCAGTCTGTGACTTCAGCCCCCTCCTCTCCCATGCAGTCACCTGGGGAGGAGTTTGAGCCTGGAACCTCAGTACACGCTAAGGTATGCATGCAGGTGGACGAGTCCAGTCTGACACTCTGCTCTTTTTGTCAGAAGAACAGGAGCCCAGAGAGGGCAGGGAGTGCAGTCAGGAGTCAGAGAACCGGGGCCTCTCCTGCTGCCTTTGAAGCCAGCCTGTGCCTATCAACCCCTTCATCCATCTCTGCTCTGAGGGAGATGGGAGAGCAGTCATTCTCACAACCCTGTGAAATTCACAGCAATGGGTTTCCTCATTCCCATAGAGACAAGTCATGGAGAAGACACTTGTTCCCTATGATTGAAATTTCAGGTAATAATGGTCAAATGCACTTAGCACATCTTAGTTCCTGTGGGCTTCACAAAAAAATATGAGCAAACAAAAAGGAGAACTATGACCGGAACCATAACAGGAAACCTGCTGGTGGCCAAAGACAAAATCTTAGAAGTTTGCAGAGAGAAAAAAAGAGGGCTTTCAAAGGAGCAACAGTATCACTGGGACCTCCATAAAGAGAGAGAGAAGCAGCAGAGAAAATGCCAGTAGGGAGAACAAATGATCAAGTAGAGTACAGCATCACTCAAGAGTGGAAAAGGAAATTGTCATTCTGCAGAAGAAATCACTAGACAACACCATTTAAAGGTCAAGAGTAACCAAGAGGTCAGGCACAGTGGCTCACGCCTGTAAACCCAGCACTTTGGGAGGCCGAGGTGGGCGGATCACAAGGTCAGGAGTTCGAGACCAGCCTGGCCAACATGGCAAAACCCCCTCTCTACTAAAAATACAAAAATTAGCTAGGCATGGTGGTAGTTGCCTGTAATCATCCCAGCTACTTGGGAGGCTGAGGCAGGAGAATTGCTTGAACCTGGGAGGCAGAGGTTGCAGTGAGCCAAGATCACGCCATTGCACTCCAGCCTGGGGAACAGTGAGGAAAAAAAAAAAAAAGAGTAACCCAGAACTAGAACGGGTATCTCTCTTTTGTAAATTGAGCATTGAAACAAAATGTGACTCCTCCACAGGAGGCAGGGAAACAGAGAAGTGTATGGCAACAGTATCTGCCCACTGAGAAAGAAATGTATATCCAGAAGCAGAAAATAATTTAAATGGTAACAGAGAATTCTGTCCTAGTTCATTGGGAGAGAATTTATTTCTAAGGGTTAAATTGCTAAGAGAGAAGTTATCTCTTTTTTTTTTTTTTTTTGAGACGAGTCTCACTCTGTCGCCCAGGCTGGAGTGCAGTGGCACGATCTCGGCTCACTGCAAGCTCCGCCTCCCGGGTTCAAGCAATTCTCCTGCCTCAGCCTCCCCAGCAGCTGGGACTACAGGCACCCGCCACCACGCCCGGCTAATTTTTGTATTTTTAGTAGAGATAGGGTTTCACCGTGTTAGCCAGGATGGTCTCCATCTCCTGACCTTGTGATTCACCTGCCTCGGCCTCCCAAAGTGCTGGGATTACAGGCGTGAGCCACCACGCCCAGCCATGTTATCTCTTATCTAAAAGATAACAATCCTTCAAGATCAAAAAAGACAGGAAGAGACTGAAATATTGAAGGCTGGAGAGAACTAAGGAGAAAACAGCTAAAGGCAGAGTGGGTTCTGGGACAGAGGACACCCATGGGGACGGCTGAATTCCCATGGGGTCTGTGGTTGAGGCAACGTTGTGTCACAGCAAAGATCCTGTTGTCAATAATTCTGCTATGGTTAGGTAGGATGTTACCAGCACACTGTTTGGCTGGCTTTTGCACCTTTTCTGTAACTCTAAACTACGTTCATAGCAAGTTTGTTTTAAAGGTGTGTGTTAAGGATGTCTGGGGTTGAGGGCCTCACTTGAGGCGTTTCCTCACTGACTCGGTCCTGCTTACTACCCCCTTCTGGATGCTCCCAACACACACAGTCTCAAGCAACACCCAAGCACACACACTTTAACGCAACAAGACAAAGCATCACCCACAGAGCAGCATGGCAGAAACAAAGCCATGTGCAAGGTCCCAGGAAACCAGGTGGATACAAGGCCCATGCCTGTGCCCTCTCCTTCTGCCTGCAGACTGCAGACCCTGCTCCAGCATGAAAGCCCCTCAGGAGCAGAGCAGGCAAACCACAAACGCAGTCCTGCTGTCGGGGTCCCAGTGCTTACTCCATGAAGGGCCACTCCAGACTCCTACCCCACCATGACCCCAGTGGGGACTCTAAGCCAGAGCCCCTGCCCACCAATCCATCTCCTTTACTTGCTATCTGGCCAAGGGACACACACGCTGACTTCTCTCCCCCCGAGGTGCACTTAAGCAGCAATGCCTGGGTGCATCTCAAAAAATTCCTCCAGATCTTTGTCTTCTTGTCAAAGATTGTCCTTGTAAGAAGACTGAGGTGTCAATTTCATAGTCCCTCCATCTGCATTTTTTGTCATGAGTCGCATAAGCTGCATACACCACCTCAACTGGCTTGGGTGCTGGAACCTGGGCTGAAAGGATGGGGGAGGACAGAGGTTCAAGCCACAGCAAATATCAAAATAGAAGTGAGTTGTCCCCTAAAGAATTCCAGGTGTAAGATTCTGCCACCTTCTCTCACGCACATAATGATTCCAGCCCACCCTCAGAATTTCAGCTTTGTCTTGCAGGTGTCAGCATTTCCGCCATTCCTCAGTTATTCAGTGAAGGGACTACTGAAAATTCCATGACTTCTTCTGCTCACATAGTCTCACCCTTCCTCCTAGCACCTTGTAAACCAAAAATAAAATTCTGAGTTCCTCCGCCAAATCCTCTGAATGGATCCCTCCTCTTGGCCAGGGCATTCCAACATTAACCTGAGATACTGGCTCAGGTCATGACAGGAAGAAGGTGTTAGACAAGCCTCATTATGACCTCCTCCCTTTTTGATTTCAAGACAAGCTGACCAGCGTTAAGATCAACATAGATCTTAACTCTGATAAGAAGCATTTACAGTCTATTCTCTCTGAAGCCTGCTACCTGGAGGCTTCATCTGCATGATAAAACTTTGGTTTCTGAAACCTCTTATGGCAGCTCAGACATTCCTTTCTATTGATAATAACTCTTTCAGCCAGTTGCCAATCAGAACAATTTTAAATCTACCTATAACCTGGAAGCACCCCTGCTAATGTATATAAAAATATCCAGCTCCAATCTGCACTTGAAAACATTATTAATAATACTATCTATAAAACAAGGATTTGACTGAGATGGTCCTTTTTGGGTATCTCCCAGCTCAGCCACTCTGATGTTAGAGCTCTGATTCCCTGGAGTGGCTGAGCCTCACCAGCTTTTGAAAGTCAGCGTTCTGTACTAGTGGGTTATGCTGGAAGGGACAGAGCTCTCGGAGTTCAACACCCAATTTTTAATCCTGGCATAACCTTCTTCTTTGGGGCCATTGAGCAAGGAGTGACATCACCTCCTCAGAGTCACGGTGCAGCTTGAATTGTTCACAGCATGTGAGTGCTCCTTATCCCTTATCCCTCCCACAGAGCCTGGAGCATTCTAACACAGTTCCCCCTGCCCTCGCCCATTTCCTACATAAGTGGGGACGATTCTTGAAGCTGGCATTTTACAGAAGCAGAAGAACACTCAGTAAAGCTAAATAGATGATGAAGAACAAAAACATCTTAAAATATTCTAAGTTTGGTTTATAGTGACCACAAAGGAATACATGAAAAATACCATTTTAGACTCAATAAGGATATTGGAGTTTTGTCCATTATAATTTTTAATCTTTGCTCAATTTCTTTTTAATATTTTTTTCCCATAATATTTGACTTTGGGGCCATGAATGGATCAGACAGTGTTTTTTTCTTCTGAATTCTAGCTGCAGCACTAAACAATTTCTACACTTGAAGAATGCTGGGTAATACTAGGGCTCAGCAGTGTTGCTTCTCCTTTTCTTTTTCTGGGCATGTGGGAAACTGCACTTTACAAGGTCCTTGCACGGGGGTTTACTTTCTTCCTCAGCCTAGAAGTGACACAGGTCTCTTGGGCTGCCGTTTAATTGGTCAAATCTGGACACCTTTGCTCCACCTGAGTCTGCACTCTCTTTCCTTTCTTCAGTCAAAGATGTTCTTGATGGAGTCCCTGTCAGCCTGGATCCCAGAGTGCTGATGTGGAGCAGAAAACTCCTTGCCCCAAGTTGGACATGTAGCATGGGTGAGAAATAAATCTAAGTGTATGTTTTGGGAATTTCAAAGTGCATTTGTTATTGCAGGATAACCTAGTAACTGCTGAATAATATAGAAGGTCTAATGGCAACAGGTTAAAAAAAGTAAGAAAGGCCACATCAAATCACTTTGTAGCAATTGCACCTACCTGGCTCTGCTAATAAACGAGGAAAGAATAAGAAAGTAGTGATAGTCCTAACATACCTAAAACATAACAACTTACAATAATCACTTCTCCAAAATCCTTCTACTTAAAGGATTCCACAGATGTTTGCTGATGAGTTAGCCAACTTGAAGTTGAATTGATCATTATAGTTTATTTGTTCCTTCAATAAATATGTGCCAGGTTTGTCATCATGTGGTAGGTAACAGGCAACTAACAAGATGGACATGTCATATTTACAGTATGATAGATGGTGATAACTGCTATGTTCAAAAGAAAAATGCAGGAAAGAGGGTATGGAGTAAAGGGTGGTGTACGATTTTAAATAGGGTGGCAGGAAATTGCTTACTGAGAAGGTGAGAGAATAAGCTATGCTGATATCAGAAAGAAAAAGTGACATAGGCAGAAGGGACAGGAAGTGCAAATGGGCTGAGCTAGAACTTTGTCTGGTCCCTTCCAAGGTTAGCAGAGAGGCCAGGGAGCTGAGAGAAGCAAGCAAGAGGGGAAGTGGGAGGAGAGGAGGGTAGTTGTCTATGGGTGAGGATGTAGGCAGATCAAACTTGCAAGACCTTATAGCTCTGTAGGTAAGGCAGATTCTACCAAGTCCGAGGGCAGAAGCAAGGCAGAGTAGAGCAACAGCAGAGGAGCGCCATGCTCTGACTGGATGGGGAAGAATCTGGATTGAAGTGCCAGGGGAGGAGCTTTGAGACCAGTTTGGAAGCCATTGCAACAGCCCAGGTGGGAAGTGATAGCCTCTGGCCAGGGTGGCAGTGGGGCAAGGGTGAGGAATGGTGAGACGCAAGAAGGCAAGTAGAGCTGCAGGTATTGCGATGGATCAGATGTGCAGTGTAAGCGTCCACGACGATGCTGAGAGTTTTGGCCTCAATAACCATTTTTTGATCATCTTATGATCATCACGCCCACATGTCAGTAGAGGCACCATTAATCATACATGGAGAAATACAAACCTGGAGAGATGGAATCATGTTTCCGAGATCACAAACGTGGCAGGTCCAGGGATCTGGACACACCCCTGTGATCCACATTCCCCTGACCCCAGATCTCCTGCGTCCCATTTCTCCCCATAACTGCATCCTCTTGGAGGCCATCGGAAGCAGAATGAGAAGCAAGTCATTATGACCAAGAAAAGTCCTTGCCAGATGTCTGTCTTCATTCTCTCTGAAAGCCCACACGCCACCCAATCGGCTTCTGAATTACACGGGATCTAAAGGAGTGTTTCCTTTTGTTATTTGCAAAATAAGAAGGGGTCACTTCTAAGCTTTTTCTATGCACATCCTCTTACCATGAATCACTATTTCATGTTCAGTGTGTGGGCGCGAAATATTGGAAGCCTTCTGGGGGTTGCTGCTGGGGAAGAATGTTTCATTGTGTAACCACAGACATGGGCTACTCCAGAGTTCTTGACAAATGTCCATGTGTTTTCTGACCACCCTGCAAGGAGGCGGCACTGGTTTGAACTTGGCCTATGCACCTCACTTCAGCTCTGAGACACATGGACATTCCCGGGTCTGCCACAGGCTCTGTGGAGGGCGGCTGAGTACAAGACACAGCCATCCGCTCTCCTTTCATGCCTTGGAAGGAATGCCCATCGAATCCTTCCTTGCATCCCTTTAGGATGTTTTCTTGGGACTTAGAAAAACACCATTTTCTTTCACACAGGATAGAAGAATTTTTTCCCAAAGGTTGAGCTCAATAGCATGAACTTGAGGCTTTTTTTTCCTCAAATTGTGGTTGATGGCCATCTGTCTGTCACTGGAGGTATTTTTCTTAAATGAAGATTCCTGAACCCCACCCAAATTACCTGAAATTAAAATAGTTGGGGTGAGGCCAGGAATACCTGCATTGTGAGCAAGCTCCCCAGATTATTTTTATATCCACTATGTCTAAGCTTCAGAACTGGATGAAGAACCAGAAATGCAAAGCTCTAGTCCTGTGGGAGCCCCTGCATTCACTACTTGAGACCATTTTGAGGCCAGCAGACCCCAGCTGGATCCCATCTTCTCTACCGCCAGTCCTGCCCTCCCCAGCAGGCATACAAGAGCTGCAGGGACCAGGCTGCCCCTAGCCCTCTGATAAATGCTGTCACAGCCTGGCTGCAGGTACCAGGACTCAGAGGTTGTCCCGGGCTTCCCCAGTCTGGGTAAGAAGCAGCTGTGATGGATGGCCCCAGAGGGACAGGCTGACCCAGGCCCCCTTTCTGGTCCTGATGAGAACTGTGCAGCAAGCTCATAGCCAGGACTGTTGGTACATCAACTGACAAAGAAGGACTTGGCCTCTGGTGAGCATAAAATCCTGTCTTGACTAAGGTTGAGGGGGTGGAATTGACCTTTCCAGAATGTGCACCCTTCCCCTTAGTCTAAACAAATCCTTTTGCCCTTTTCCACTCAGCTGAGGGCCAGGCCCCCTTCCTGACTGCCCCAGCTCACACGAGCCCCCTTCTCGAAATCCCATTGCGCTCCCCATCGCCATTGGCCTCACCTTACTCCGTCTTGCCTTTTCATTGCTGATTCATGTGGGTTACTGTGGTGCAGTGGAAAGAGTGCAGACCTTGAGCCAGCAGATCCAGGTGTGAATCGCAGCTGTAGAGTGCAGTGTCTACCTCTCAGAGTCTCAGGGTCTTGTGTGTTCAGTGGTGATGAGACCACACAGCATCGTGCAGGGTGAAATAACATGACCCATGGAAAGCTCTTGATGCAAAATGAGACTCCTCCCTGTCCTGCAGAGCATACCAGTTTAAGCTATATTAGATACAGCTCTGCTTTTCTGTTCCTAGAAAGTTTGACAGCAGCTGACATTTCCTGAGTACTTACTGCCTGCTAGGCACTGTGCTAAGTTCTTTCATGTGTTATTTCAGTCAATGATCCCAACCACCCTGTCAGATAGGTCCTATTATTATCCCCATTCCACAGATCTGAAAAATAGAGGTTAGCTTGGTTAAGCCATCTGCCAAAGAGCAGATAGTGATAAGCTGTGGTCAGAAATCAAACCCAGGTGTGTCTGGTTCCAGGGCCCGTGGGATGCTAGTCTCTGACCACAACTCACATGAGTATTATGTGAGTTGTGACTCACATACACACTTGCTGACTGTAAGTTTCTGGATGTTTTCATGTCAATGAATACTGTAACGAACCAACCAAGTTCCTAATTTTTTTTAAGGGCAATGGTTCCTTCATCCTTATAGTCCCACGACTACACTATAAATTCCCACAATCCACCTCTAAGCACCTCTAAACCCAAATTATTTTCCTTCTAAAATAAACCAGTATAATAAATAACAACAGTAATGATCATGGTAACAATAAACATTTTGAACGTAGTTTTTCTCTTCTTTTTCTCCTTTTGTTTCATGACAGTGGATAATGTGAGAGTGGAGAATGGAACAGAAGCTTGGAGAGGTGACGGCAGCGACTGAGCAATGTGTGTTTGTTGTACCTACCCTCTGTCAGGGCTGTCTGGGGAGAGCCGTGATGGGGTGCAGGGCGAGGCGTCTTATACCATGCTCGTCACTCTGGAGGAAACACAACTCCAATCACAAGAACTGAGCTGAAGTCTCTGGTTCGTTATTTTTTGTTTTGTAGCTGAGAATGTTAGTAAGCTCTGCTGCTGTTCCACACACAATAATGCCAACTTCCTTGTGAGTCACTGAAGAACATGGAATGTGGTGTGTGAATTGCTTCGAAGACCCTGACTGGCCACCCGAACAACAGGTGTCAGTTCTGAATTTAGGAGGTGCTTAGTAAATGTTTACTTCGGGATTTTAATTATAAATAATTGTCTTAATCCTAAATTATTGAATTTGACCACACTTGGAGGAGGCAGATCTTGAGTTCACTGGGTTCATTACCTGTAGCATTATACACCCACCTGGATCAGTTAATAAAAATGGATAAGCAAGAGCTACAATGAGCATCCGAGAAACACATGCCTGCCTGACCCCACACATCTGACAGTCAAAGTCAGTGACATTTCAATGCTTTTCCAACCACCAATTCGTATGATCCTCATACTGGGTGAGCACCGACGTTCTGTAGATAAGTAAATGAGGAGAAGTCGGTCCACTTTACATAAGCTTGAATCATATGTGTCAAAAAAAAAAAAAAGTAGGGGGATGTTAACATCTTTAACCATTGTGTTCCAGAAGGTAATTTTCTCCCCACCTCACTGTAGGAAACTGTGTAGCATCATTTTGCTGTTTATTCTGTCTACTCTCTTTCTTTGAAGAAATAAGTGTGATAACATAATTTCTAACTCTGTTAATCAGTAATTAAGACAAGAGAAGACATTGTTTTACTGGTAGTAAATTTGTAAGAGTAAAGCACATAAAATTGATTTGAACAATTTCCAGTGATATGCTTTTTAAAATATTTACTCTTAACTTTTCAGTAATCACATTGAGGTTTTTCTATTATCAGTATTTTAAAATGAAATTTTTAATAGTGCTGTATAAAAATTGATTTATGTCATACTAAAAACCATTTCCAGCTGATTAGTTTCTGCTGTATCTTAGGCTAACTCAAGTGCACAAAATTTACATTTAGCTGTATTTGGCTCTTGGACCTGTTATAAAATATTAGTGATGAAAACCCCTTAGTTTTAGCATGGTGTCTCTTAGCACAAATTCAGTTACAAACAGTTAAAATTTCTAAATTCTCTGCTGTAGACTTTCACATATTGGATTGTCATAATAAGCTTCAAAAAGAAGAAAATAAACACTTTTATATACAGTTATATATATATAAAACAATTTCAAAAATAGAAGAAAGTGAAAACATTTTATTTTATCAGCAAAATAAAAGTAAATACACATTTGTATGTATATTTAAAGTTGCAAAAATGTTTAATAGTGAACATCGTTAGGAGAATGTAATAAATGATAAATGTTCATTCTTTCTCATACATTTTTCTAGCTAAGTATGTGACTATAGCATGTGCTGCCTCGTTAGGTAACAAAAAATTTCTTGGATTTGACATTCAAGAAAAACTGCATTACTGTAATTAAATTAAAAATTAACTGTAATACTACCTCTAGTGATAATTCTTAAATTATTTTTCTTCAATGTTTTTCCAATGATTGTTTTATGATCTGTGAATGGATTCATAATTTTCATATTTTCAAACCAGAGCCCTTATGAAATAGTAATTTAAAAATTACTTTGAAGCATTCAGAAAATTATTTGTGCTGCTTTTTTTTTTTTTTTTGTGATGGAGTCTCGCTGTGTTGCCCAGGCTGGAGTGCAATGGCGTGATCTCAGCTCACTACAAACCTCCACCTCCCGGGTTCAAGCAATCCTTCCACCTCAGCCTCCTGAATAGCTGGGACTACAGGCACGCACCACCATACCTGGCTAATTTTTGTATTTTTAGTAGAGACAGGGTTTCACTATATTGGCTAGGCTGGTCCCGAACTCCTGACCTCAAGTGATTCACCTGCTTCGGCCTCCCAGAGTGCTGGAATTACAGGCATAGGAAAAGTATTTTTGTTGAAGTGCAGTGATATCGGCAATTTGAAAAATCAAAGAGACGTCTCATAGTGAACTTTTTTTGTGCATTTCAAAACATTTTAACTTTCTTAAATATGTGAGTTTAACTCCAAAATTGAAGACAAGTCATCATTCCTTGAAGATTCAGCTTAAGTAAAAGACACATCTATGGGAGTTTTGCAATTCATTCTTCCAAGAATATTTAGCCAAATATTAAAGAATTGTCCATTTAAGACTATAAACTAATAATCTTTTGAAAAATCTTCTTTCCAAGTAAACAAACTTTATTCAACATTAAGTAATAAATGCATTCTTATTCTCTTTTTAAAGAGAAGTGTTACATTTTTATGTCATGTATTGCCCTTAATAAAATATACACTTGTACAGATTATACAAGAACTTTAGTTAAGCGTGAAAGCATTTGTGAGGGATGGATGCTGCACAGTGTTGGCAATGACCAAACTAATGTGTGCATGTCAATCTGGCCTTGCCAGTTTGTTTAATTCTATTTCTTACACTAGATCATCTGCCAATCATATTCACCAGCCCACCCAGAAACAGTTCAATACATTTTCTATACAGATATTTTGATAATAAATGTATGTAATTATAGATTAAATATGTCAAACCAGGTACCTGAGAAGTGATTGAATAGCCTCATATTAATTCTACTTTCATATTATAATCAACAAACCAAAAACAGAATGTAAGGGCTATGCTTAAGATACCAATTAGCTTATCATCTACCAGACTAATCATTTTTATATTTTAGAATGTTTAGTGTTTTTGAATCAATATGGAATGTATGAATAGTGGTGGTTTTCATTCTTTTTTTTTTTTTTTTTGAGATGGAGTTTTGTTCTTGTTGCTCAGGCTGGAGTGCAATGGCATGATCTCGCTCTCTGCAACCTCTGCCTGCCACCACACCTGGGTACTTTTTTTGTATTTTTAGTAGAGACGGGGTTTCACCACGTTGGCCAGGCTGGTCTCGAACTCAGGTGTTCTGCCTGCCTTGGCCTCTCGAAGTGCTGGGATTACAGGCGTGAGCCACGGCGCTGAGCTGAGTTCTGATGAATTCTGATAAACCTCCCTCTCCTAATATGAGAAGTGAGTGTGTAATGGCACCTACTTCATGAAGATGGTGAGAGGATTAAATGAAATATGTGTACAGTCTTACCTAGTCAGCACACAATAAATGATAGCTGTTTTCAGTTTACAGTTGTTTTGGTTTCCTAGGGCTGCCATAACAATGTGCTGCACACCAGGTGCTTAAACAACAGATTTTTGTTTTCCTACCATTCTGGAAGCCAGAAGTTCAAGATCAAGGTTCCAGCAGGGTTGGTTTCTTCTGAGGCCTCTTTCCTTGGCTTTAGATGGCTGTCTTCTTGCTTACCCTCATGTGGTCTTTCTTTTATGCATTTTCTGATACTTAATCCCTCCCCTTATAAGGACACCAGTGATACCAGATTATGATCCACTCTAATGGCCTCCTTTTAACATAATTACCTCTTTCATTCTGAGCTACCGACTCAGAATGAAATGTATGAATTTTGAGGGGAGGGGAACCCATTTTGACCCATAACAATGGTCAACAATAAAGTTTTGTAGAATGGCAAAACATGGCTATGGAAAACTACTCATCTCTTTAGCACTCATTTTACAAAAGATCAAGCTGATAACCAAGAGGTAAAGTGTTTAGCCCAACTACACGGATTAATTTGTTCTGAACAAAGAATTTAGGCCATAAAAGCCTGATCTCTTTTCAGAAAAATTTAAAGCATCAAATACTTAATAGTTACTTAAATCAACATTTTAGCTCGTATTTTTCTGAAAATCTATTGAGAATATTTATTTCTCCTCAACCTTAAAAGTCCTTTAATTTTTTATTAAAAGTTAATTTGATGAAAATGTCTGCTTACCTTGATTCTACCTAATTTTTATGTCCTAATGATCCAATATCTTGCAGGCCATCTGGCCCTGATGATTTTTGTAAGTTCTCTGGTACAAAAAGTCACACAATATAGCTAAAATAGTATCGACTCAACGCTTGTTAGCTCTTCTGCAAATAAGCTGTGTTATTTAGGCAACTGTCTTCACCTTTGTTGGCCTCAGTCTGTTTATCTGTAAAATGAGAGAATAAAGTTCTGTGATTTTGTGAAAAACTATTGAATTCGAATGATCGTGTGAATCAAGCTATGTTTCCCATAAGGACCACACCACCATCCAATTCCAACATGCATTTGTCGTCTGCATTTCTATACAGTGGATCAGAGCTGGAAATACTACTTCCATTGCCCTTAGATGACAATCAAGGCTGGATTCAGACTGTTAAAATGCATTTTACCATGACTACAGAAAATGCTGGAATTCCCATTTTCTGGATTTCAATCAGTATTAGCTTCATTCACTCTGGTTTAAATTATTCTCTATTTTTCCTCCAAGAATTTTTGGTGTGTCTTAAGAGTTGGGAATATTGATTATTTTCACCTTAAAAAACCCTGTCTTTTAGCCGGAAGCAAGGTTTGTGAGCCACGTTCACAATCTTCCTAGAAATAAACTCTCATGGAAATCATATCATCTTAAGGAGACTCTCAAAAGTATTTTAACATTTTGTCGAGAAAAAAGGGGCAAGTAAACCTACAATAGATGCCAGTGGGGCCAGAAATAAAGAACAGAGTGCAAAATTAAAACCCCAAATCAGTTCTAAAGATTGTGACCTTCACAGCAGAAGATTCACTGAGGACATTTGAGAGTCTAGTCATCTGTGTTGACTGTTCCTTTGATCATTCTGTGTTTAAGCATATATCTCATTTACTCTCCCAACTGCCTAACAAATTATTTATAAAATTTTACAAAGAAAAGGAAACCCCCTAATAGCACTAGAAACTAGGCTATTCATTAGCATGCAAGGATGTCACCTGTCCCATCTGTGAGTATCTGGATAGATCTTGCCTCAATCAAGACGGGAAAAAAACAAAGCCAATGAAACACTTCTAGCCACAGGAAAAGAAAAGTCCTATTCAGAAGAAGCATCAGCTGGGTGCAGTGGCTCACACCTGTAATCCCAGCACTTCGGGAGGCCGAGGTGAGAGGATAGCTTGAGTCCAGGAGTTCAAGACCAGCCTGGTTTACATAGCAAGACCCTGACTCAAAATAAATAAATAAATAAATAAATAAATAAATATAAAAGAAGCACCTTACCACAAGAAATACAAGAAAGTTTTCAAAAACATTAGATTATGTTCTCAATAAATCTCAATGAAGCATGAACTTCATGAAGACAGTGATAAAGGCTGAAATATAAGATGAGATGGAGCAGGGCACGGTGGCTCATGTCTGTAATCCCAGCACTTTGGGAAGAAGCCAAGGCAGGCGGATCACCTGACGTCAGGAGTTCGAGACCAGCCTGGCCAACATGGTGAAATCCTGTCTCTATTAAAAATACAAAAAATTAGCTGGGCATGGTGGCGGGCACCTATAATCCCAGCTACTTGGGAGGCTAAGGTAGGAGAATTGTTTGAACCTGGGGGGCAGAGGTTGCAGTGAGCCAAGATCGTGCCATTGCACTCAAGCCTGGGCAACAGTGTGAGACACTCTGTCTCAAAAAAAAAAAAAAAAAAAAAAAAAAAAAAAAAAGATGTGATGGAAGGAAGCAGTGGCAACTGAAAAGGTGATGGCACAAAATTTTTAAATCCGCAAGGAGCTCAAGTTCAAGGTGAAGCTTGAGCATATGTTTGCCTTTCCTTCCAGCCCAAATTCCATGGCAATAAGTGAGGTTTATAAGAGCAGAATAAATCCATAGCAAAAAAGCATAATGAGTGAGTATGGTACTACTGGGAGAATTTTTGAGAGGCAGTTTCAAGACAGAAGTTGAACTGATGGAGAAACCAGACTCTGCAGAGGCCTCCACCTTCCAGCTCAGGGGAAAGAGGGACCAGCAAGAGAACTGCCGATGTTTCCGACGGACAGCAGCATTGGTAAAAGTAATTTAAACTGACATTACTCATTTTCAACCACTGAGATGTACTCTCCCCACCCCCCGACCCCATCCCATAAGCCTCCAGTTCATCTGGCCCCAGGGGGCTTCAGAGACCAAACCTCAAGTTCAGGAGAGAGAAGACTGTTCATCTTATGATACTGAGGGCTGAGTCTGAAGCTGGGGTGAGTCATCCATCCAGTGAGTACTCTTGGAAGGCCATACTAATAAGGCTTTGGCTATTTTAGGATTAGTTTGTGGGGATTAGTAGGGCCTGTCACAGATATCCAGTGGGGCTTTGGTGAGCAGGCTATGGATAATACAGTCCATTATGTGTATACAATTTTTGCTACTATGTAAACATCAGAAGGGCATGTGTGGAGACAACTAAACAAATAGGCAAAAATAAAAATATTGGTAGTTGAGGTGCAGAGACAACGAGTGAGTGCCTCGCTTCCTGCCCTGGCCTTGGTGGCACTGTCATAATTATGGGGCCGCCCTCATTGTGTTCAAGCAATTACCCTGTAGCAGGCTGCCTGGGCTCTGCAGCCAGCCCCATCCCCCAGATAATGAGAGGAACATCTTCGTAGAGTTGTTGTGAGTGGTAAATGAACTCGTACACAGCACATTAAAAAGTCTAAGTTGTGGCCGGGCACGGTGGCTCACACCTGCAATCCCAGCACTTTGGGAGGCCAAGGCGGGCAGATCATGAGGTCAAGAGTTAGAGACCATTCTGGCCAACATGGTGAAACCCCATCTCTACTAAAAGTACAAAAATTAGCCGGGCGTGGTGGTGCTCGCCTGTAGTCCCAGCTACTTGGGAGGCTGAGGCAGGAGAATTGCTTGAACCCAGGAGGCGGAGGTTGCAGTGAGCTGAGATCACGCCACTGCACTCCAGCCTGGCGACAGAGTGAGACTCCGTCTCAAAAAAAAAAAAAAAGTCTAAGTTGTTAGCTCTATTTCTTGTCTGTCTTCCCGCTGAATTATGCACCTCTGTGCGTGGAGGCTGTGTCTGTTTGATTCTCCAAAGCATGCCTAGTATCTAGTACAGCACTACAGCAAAAAGTGTAGGATAAATGCTTGTTAAAAACCTGGATTTTAGTTTAAAAAATAATATTTTTCATATCGCATGGTTTTCAGCAAAAAATAAAACCTATCATTCTACGTTTCCTCATTGGGACGCCTCTGGTTTTGCTCTTGTCGCCCCGTGTAGCAGTTTAGATTTGTCATCAATTACAAAAGACACAGAGTAACCTGGCCTCTATACTGTTCACCCATCTGTTGCTCTTTCATGAGGCAAACTCCTCACAGGTGATAAACGAACTTAACCCTAAAAGAAAATGACATCACCTGCATCTCAATGTAGTTCTGCAAGGCTGAGTCTGTGTTTCTGGCCCTGCCTATGCCGCTGATGGGCCTGCCAGGATTCTCTTCACTTGGTTTCTGCCCTTCAGTTCAGTTTCCTTATCTGCGAAGTCAGCTTTAGGCTTTGTTCCTGACAATGGGAGGGTTGGGAAAGGTGAGAGGCTGGGAGAAAGAAGGGAGGGTGAACAGGTGGAGTCTACACTTGCCTTCCCCTGCCCCTAGCAAAGCTGCCCCTGCTCCTGCCAGAGGCGTTGAGCTTCCACTTCCAAAAAGAAGTTACTTCTGCCACATGCTTTGAAAATCACTTCACTCAATAATTGCCAAAGTTTCTTTCGCCTTCGACAGATTTTGACTCAGTCCACTCCTGCTTTGGAAGTGTATATATATCTTTTATAACTTCAAAACTCTGACCAGAGGGAAATGAGTTCAATATATGGCTAAATAAGAGCAATGAAGTAGTGAAATGAAGGGTTACTTTGATCTTTGTTAACAGCAACACGTATATATACAAATTCTCTCCCACCTGCCACCCATTCTAAACCCTTTCTTCATCCTGCGTTGAGTTCGAGTTTCAGTTAAACTTGTCATCTCCATCAAATCACCCGGGTAGGGCAGGAGGTCATTTTCTTTATCTATCGATCACTCTATCTATCTATCATCTCTCACCGTAGCAGTTCACTCTGGAATGAAAGACTTTCAAATTTGTGGTTTCCTGAACATGTCAAATTCCTATCTGCCTTCATAGCTCTCTATATGCATATTCCCTCTTGCTGAGGAAGTTATTTCTTCACTGTTTACCCATTGAACATTCAGATATCCCATACTGTGATCTCTGGAGCCTACCTCTTTATAATTTATATCACAGGTAATTACAGTTATTTAAGTATGTATTTCCTCTCCTAAACTCTGAGTTCCTCCAGGGCTGGGACCACATCGGAATCACCTATCCCTTGCACTGAGCAGACACTAGATAATTATCAGGTGCTCAGGAATGTCTGATCAATACTGAATGCAGAGATGTGGAAATGTGCATTCATTATAGCTCTCACAGTAGGTTTCTAGTGTCAGCTTTTGTAGTCTCATACTAAAGGAAGGAGACTTTGATGAGGGTAGATAGATTGGGTGTTTATCAAACATGGTAATGCAGGGGTCATAAGACACTTGCTTAGGACGAGAAACCTCACAAGTGATTCCAGGCACGGAGAGCCACGCGGAAGGAGGCCCAAAACTACATACACCCTCCTTTTAGTGTCCCAGAAAGGAAATGAGACATCAGACCGTGGGAATTACAGGGGACAGTGAGAAGCTCAACCAGGGAAAGGGAATATTTAAGGACATCATACCAGCTATTTTCAGATTTTCCAATAGCAATCATGTCAGTGAGAGACTAGATTTGTTCTAAGCTTTTGCATGTTGCAGAGTAAGGACCAGTGTGATGGAGATTTGGGTATAATTTCAGGAGGAAGTGCTGAAACTTTCCTCTGTCTTACAGTGGAGTAGCTTGTCTCTGGAGCACGCTGTCCTGCCCCTGACCACGAGGGTCCTGGCGTATGTCAGAGAACCTTGGCGAGGGCACCCACTTCACAGGGCCCATTAGACCAGATACGCTCCAACAGCCCTTCCTCAAGCCTTGGGGTTTCTGGTTCCACAGTTTGGGAGAAGAGAAATACTGAGCAAAGATAACCAATACGGAAGGATAGCTTTGTGATTTTTGCTACCCAAGAATGATATTAAATTATTAAATTCCCCCACCCCACACAATGATAAACTTCAGTTTGTTGCTCAAGATAAAAACGATCTGTGAATAAGACTTTGTCATAAAATGAGCTGTCTACTTCCTAAGCTTATTTGAGTCCTGACCCCCAACCTGAGAGGTGGCTTGTCATCGTATCTCTTCTTATTGCTTGGTGGAGGAGTCAAAATTAATAGTGGGGAATATCCCTTTCTGGCCTGTTTTCAATTATCAGAAGATTTAGCCGGCTCGGAGGTGGGGGACTCTGCTGTCTCTGCTGCCCTGCGACCTCCTGAGTTAGTTCCTTTTATCTCTTTCTGGATGCCCTCAGCCCCAGCATGCCATGCTGCACTGGCTAAATAAACCCGTAAATCTAGCTTTTGTGCCCTGCTAATCCTTTTATTTCCTAAATCTTATTTAATCCGAAAGGCTGCCTTTCATCTCTTGAACTGTCCGCTGGGTCACTCACCCGTCCTATCAGCAGTCCTTGCAAACCCTGGACAGAGTCGAAAAGCTTCCCATAGTCTCCGGATTCTCATTAGGTGCTGGTGGACTAGGGGACTCCTGCCAAGTGGCACTCTAGAGAAAGGCCCCACCTGCAGGGGTCTGCTGCACTCAGGGAAAGTTGAGACCTGTGCATTGCTCACCTGGACACTGCCCCGCCCGCCAGCAAAACCAGCTCCTCTCCTCTGCGATGCTCTGGGATGATGAAAGGAGAAAGGTTGCCTCTCTGGCCTCCGGGACATTGGACCACAGGCCAATGACAAAATTAATTTGGGCACAAAGAAACAAGGAAGGGCCATTTCCTGCTAAGTACAATTTGGTTTTTGTCTAACTTAAGTAAAGATAAGCCCTGGGGAAAAAGAATAGTAACTAAGACAATTTCACTGTCTAACGACAGGCAACAGGCAAATTCATCCAACATCCAAAATGACCATTTGCATCTCAACTCCTCCTAGATGCTTATTTGGAAAAAGGATGTAATAGGAAATTAAAATCTCAGACATCACGTTTGTAACTTTGTTATCATCAGCATTTGTTTGCTGACTTTGAGAGTTTGACTCCCCTGCCTTCCCTGTCCCAAGCGCTCCTGCCCCTTCCTATAAAGACCCACACTTTTTGGCCTGTTCCTCTATTGTCTTATGATTGTTCCTGTATTGTTACTTATTAGATCTGTTTTCATGAGAGTAGTTGAAAAATCCCTGGACTTAGAGTCGAGAGCATTCCATCCATCTTTAACGTAGGCTTTTTACCACTTGTCTGATGTTAGTGAAGACATGGCAAGCCCCACTGCTTCCATTTTCCCAAATGTAAACTAGGAAAGTGATATTGGCCTGGCAGTATTGGAGAAGGGTTAAATGAGATGAGAAATGTAAAGCAACTGAGAGAGCAATACATAGCAGGCCAAAAAAAAAGAAAAAAGAAAAAAACAGTTAGCTTCATTGTCTACGAAGTTTTTGTGAGGATTCGTGAGATAATGTGTGTGCAAGTGACTTTTTACTCTCAAGAAGATAATATGAGTATAAATGATGCTTGCATAGACCTTGTTTCCCCAGTGAGGTTGTAGAAGTATATGAATTATAAGAATGTTAGTGAGAGTTGGGCGCAGCGGCTCACGCCTGTAATCCCAACACTTTGGGAGGCCGAGGAGGGTGGATCACCTGAGGTGAGGAGTTCGAGACCAGCCTGGCCAACATGGTGAAACCCTGTCTCAACTAAAAATACAAAAAAATTGGCTGGATGTGGTGGTGGGTGCCTGTAATCCCGGCTACTCGAGAAGCTGAGGCAGGAGAATCGCTTGAACACGGGAGACGAACTTTGCAGTGAGCTGAGATCGCGCCACTGCGCTCCAGCCTGGGCAACAAGAGCGAAACTCCATCTCAAAAAAAAAAAAAACGATAATAATGATAAGGATGTTAGTAGATATCCTACACGCCCCCTTCCCCCTACTGCTGCCTTGCCAGGAACTGGAAAATAATCATATCAATAATAAATGAAGGAAATGAATATCTCCAAGGCCAATGTGATTAGCAACTAGTTCTAGTTTAATTAACCAATGTATGCACCAAGCTAAAGACAAACTCTCTTATTAGACAAGCCAATGGGATGGAGAAAATAGGAAAGATGGAGAGGACCAGCTCTCCAGGAAGGGAGATGCAGCGCTGGAGGACAGGAGCTCTCTGACCAGCAGCTACCTGGCTGCAAGATATTCAAGGCAACCTACTTTCTCCTTTCTTTAAACCCCCGTTTCTAAGCAACCTTCTGACCACTGCTTTTCTCTCCCAGTCCCTTCCTACTCGGCAGGTGCACCTTGGATGACAGTCCAATCCACAGGAAGAGTCTTCCTCATAGTAACTTAATGCTTTGCTGGTTTGGGCTGCAGAGCAGTCTCTCTCTCGAGGTGGGATAGTGTGAGTCCAGCATCGGCAGTCTGACTTTTGCTGATGGTGCTGCTAACTGCTAGCTCCTGGGTCCTCCACGCTGAGGACCAGAGTCTAGATGATTTGAGTTGCCTACGGTCCTGCCGTAAGGAGAGTCCGTTGAGTAATACCGTCCCCTGTCTGGGAGTACTCTTTAGATTTAGTCAAAGACACTGGGAATCCAAGCCTTACTATCGGTTTCTTTGGATTTCCCATGAAGTATTCAGCATAGTGCTTTACTTAAACAGGTGCTGAAATCATTCACTGTCTAGAAATGTGGAATATTTGCTTTTTAATACTTTAAGATGATCGTCTGAATGGTCTGCCATCCTAGTGTGGACCTCAGCCAGACACATTCCTGAGTGATAACCTTCCCCGGGCATTTCTGCACCCACCTGTGCTCTGAATGGAGCTGCAGTGTCACATATGAGACCCTTATAGGTCACCTGAGGCCTCTTTCCTTCTTTTCCGTGTTCTTAAAACATCTTTGCGATTTTTGCTACTCTAGATTGATAAGAAATTCCCCCTTCCCACACAATGATAAATTTTGGTTTGTTGCTCAAGATAAAAATGATCTGTGAATAAGACTTTGTCATAAAATGAGCTGTCTACTTCCTAAGCTTATTTGAGTCCTGACCCCCAACCTGCAAGGTGGCTTGTCATCGTAACTCTTCTTGTAATGTGACTTGCTTTGTGGAACTTATTTCATTCTTTATTGCTTTGTAAATTGTTTTTTATATTCTTCTAGCTCCCATAAATTGTCAGCATCCAGAAAAGTTCCCTGTTATAGTTCATCTTAGAAATGCCCTGTACAAAAATGATCCAGTAAAGAGCTCAGTCCCTATTTTTTGAAAAGAATTATGCCGCTTCCTGAATATGGCTCCCTTGAACTTCTCAAGCCTCACTCTTACCTTATCACACATTAAAGCTGGTTCTAATCTGTTTAGTGTGATGTCAACCTGGGAGAACTTAAATTTTTGTAAAAAGCCACACTTTTAACCTATAGGATTCCACGAGAAATAATTGATATTTCTAAGGTGAAAAATGTCACTAAAGGAAGGAAGGGCTATGCTCTGTGCCTTTCCACCGAAGAACTGCAAGAAGCTGTGGTGCTGGATGGCTGGGGGTTGGGGGAGAATGGTGGTGATGGCCAACCCAGGGGCCTCTTCCCCACCCACAGGCCAGGAAGTCCAAAAAGCCGGTGGGTTACTCCAAGTATGTAATTGTTATGGAAACAGACCCGCCCTCTCCCTTGAACCATCTGTTTCAATGTTAGAGTTTGTTAATTCTAGGGAGTTTTTGAATGTCCAAGTTTTAAATACTTTGAAGGTTATAATGATAGTTTTCCCTTAAGACATAGGTTGTTTAATAGTGTGTTAAGACATCGCTTAACTCTTATAGTACGCAGTTTTCTAAAAATGGAAAATGTGGGACCAGGCACCGTGGCTCATCCTGTAATTCCAACACTGAGAGGCCGAGGTAGGAGGATCGCTTGAGCCCAGGAGTTTAAGACCAGTCTGGGTAAAATGACAAAACCCTGTCTCTACAAAAAAAAAGAAAAAAGAGGTAGGAGGATCGCTTGAGCCCAGGAGTTTAAGACCAGTCTGGGCAAAATGACAAAACCCTGTCTCTGCAAAAAAAAAGAAAAAAGAATCCAAAAAAAAAGTCTGGCATGGTGGCACCTGCTTGTACCTGTAGACCCAGCTATTCAGGAGACTGAGGTGGGAGAATCACCTGAGCCCAGGAAGTCAAGGCTGCAGTGAGCCATGATCATGCCACTGCACTCCAGCCTGGGCAACACAGCAAGACCCTGTCTCAAAAAAAAAAAAAAAAGAAAGAAAAGAAAAAGAGGGAAGCTGATCTTTAAGGGACTTATGGCCTTAAAAAGAGAGAGAAAGAAGGTCAACACAAATAAAGTGTGTAAAGACACAATGGCAGCAACCTGTAAACATAGACATCTATGGAACAGCTGGGCAGAGAGGCACACACAGGCGATAAGGGGTTTTCACAAGAAATTTGAACAATTAGAAACATTTTGCAAAGCCCAGAACACATAAATCTGAGCAAAACAACCCTTCCAGGCTGGCAAGAGGAGAAGCAGATGTGACGTGGGAACCACTTAGAGAGGGGACTGTTTGTCCTTAGTGTCCCCTCCTGTGACCTAACAAAAGGTCCTCATGGGGTGCGCCCCGCCCGCCATTCCCTTGTGCTGGGTTTTGTGCTCCATGGCCAAGGTCTCCGCCCAGGGTCCCTTGCTAGGCAGGCCACGCGAAACACGCAGTGCACGTGTGCACACGCCATGTCCCTGGAGGGCAGGAATGTGGGTGTGGAGCAAGAGCCCGCAGGCTTCGGAGGCTCCCCACCCCAAATCTTAAGAGCATAGTCATTAAGTGTCCTCAAAATACTTAACAAAAATAGCCTGAGACATTAAGAGCAAGGCGTTTCCATTACTAGCACTACCCAGCTTGCTAATGCTTGCTAGCCCTGTGCTTCTCAAATGTGAATGATGTAGAACTCCCTCAGAAGGGAAACATATTCTGTTGCATCCCTAGAGTTGACCTAAACGTATTTTTGTTACAGTATTTACATACATAAACACTACATTAACATAAATAAACACTACATTATGTCTAGAGTCCTTATATTCTTAATCAACTCTAAAACCTGGAATTGACTGGATTACATTTTCCAGTATTAGGCAGAATGAGGGCTCAAGATAAAAGTTCAGCACAATTAGACAGATAGAAGATTGCGTTTTTGTACCCAAGATGATGTGATTCTGAAAAATAGACCTGCTACAATATGTTCAAATATATACACAACCTTTAAAATCATTTCATATACCTGCATAATGATATGAGTATCACTTTTTAAGAAATGCTGCTGTGATGGAAATTAAAGCCTATTAGTCCACAAAGTTAAAAAGAAAAACATCCCTGGTGGGAAGAATACATTTACCTAATTTCCCCAGGTTTAACCTGTAGAGTTCCATGAAAAATTCTTGATGTTTCCAAGTTGAAAAAGGTCACAGAAGGACCCAGTATGGAGAGCTATGCTCTTTCCACTAAAGAGCAGATTCAAGCCCTTGGTGCAAGGCTAGTGGGATGATAGGAGAATGGTGGTAGTGGCAGAATATGTCTGTTCTGTGAGAATGTCTTTAAGTTGATTTTTGTTTGGGCGTTAATCTTTAAAATGTACTTGCGTTAGAGACTTTTTCTCCAGATCACAGACGAGGGACAGAGTCCACCAGGTGAATGGAATAGCAGGAGCTGCCCCACCTCCCCTGACCAACTCAGCGAACCTGGGTTTGAAGAAGATGGAAAGAGGAGAGAATATCTTGCGCATCTTGAGCAAAATATGTTCTCCCGTCTCCAGTCTCCACGTTTGTAAAGTAGAGCTGAGAGGACTTAGCTTGTGAGGCGTGCCAGTGTGTGCCCTGGCAGGCAATAGGCACTTGATAAACATCATTTTCTACTCCCAGGATTAGTTTTTTGCTTCTTAATGATTGAAAGCAGGTAGGCCATTAAAAGGATGTTCAGAAAGCACTCCCATTGCACACAGTATCTTCTCCTTGTCCACTGGGGTGGGCAACAGCAGGATCCCTTCTCACGTGCCCAGATGAAGTAGGGAAAGTGTTGACAGGGATGGGAGCCAGGCCCCCAGATTAGTGAACCCTGGAATAGATGGACACGGCAGAGCGGGGCCCACAAGGAGATGCCTGGGGGTGAGGAGCGGCCCCAAGGGAAGATGGGCTAAGAGTAAGAACAGCCAGGATGCCTGTGCAAAGGGCTTGTTGGGCTGGATGTCTGTCGTCCCATTTTTTTCCTTTGTTTTATTCTTTTTAAAAGTGGATTTTTTTTTTTTAATAGAGTCTCACTTTGTCACCTAGGCTGGAGTGCAGTGGTGTGATCTTGGCTCACTGCAGCCTCAACCTCTTAGGCTCAAGCCATCCTCCCACCTCAACCCTTACAAGTAGCTGGGACTACAGGCACATGCCACCACGCCTGGGCTAATTTTTTTTTTTTTGTATTTTTTATAGAGGCAGGATTTCGCCATGTTGCCCAGGCTGGTCTTGAACTCCTGAGTTCAGGTGATCCACCCGCCTCAGCCTCCCAAAGTGCTAGGATGACAGGCATGAGCCACGCACCCGGCCTGTCATCCCATTTAAGTGCTCTCATACTCACGTTTCATGGTGTGTGTCTGGATTCCAATGGTGATGACGGATGTCCCCGAAAGTAAACTGGATCAGACACATATGAAGGGCCAAGCACATTGCAGACATCATCATCCCTGCTCTCACAATGCCCTGAAAGATTTTCCCAGATGTGGATACTTGGTAATTCACTAAGGTAATGGTTTGTACTTGTGATATTCATTCTTCTCCAATTTTTTTAAACAAATAGTTATTTAGATGGATGGATTCTAACAAATGAAAGATTCGTGGAATAGGCTTAGGACAAGGTGGCTTTATATGTACAACTGAACTAGTTGTTTAACTTCAGATTTTTAGCTTCCACATTTATTGAATGAGAGAAAATAAGATCTAACTTTTGAGGTTAAATTTATTTTTAAAAGGACACACATTTATTGAAAAACACCAAAAAATCAAAGTCCCAATTCCAAGAACTCCCTCAGTCATGGGCAAACTAGACTTTTCCTAGTCACTGTCTGGGAAGTTGGCTGTGAAAACTGGAAAGTTTCATAAATAGAGTTGAAGCTGCCACTGTCCTGAGTGTCATCATCAGGACCTTTGGCTGGTGATGGCTCTAGCTTTATGGTCTTGTCACAAAGGTTCTGCCTGGACACGTGCAAACCTGGGCTGAAATCCCAGCTGTGCCTATAAGAAGTCTACCTCAAATTTAAAAACAACAACAAGAAAGAGTTAAGTCACACAGCCTGGGAGCGGTAGATGGGGAATTTGTAACAGGGTTGTGGAGCCCAGAGCTGCTGCTCCCACCGCTACGGTATCACAGTGTCTCTTAGCACTAGAGATGGTCTCATTCCTCTTCCTTATTTTAAAAGCATCTTGTTCTTCGCTGAATTTCTTTTTGCCTCCTCTTGTCCGGTGCCTCCTCAGGAAGCTCTTGAGAAAACAGGTAAGTGATAAAATAAGCAGCTGGAGAGGCGGCTGCCAAGTGAGCTATGTAGGAAGGACCATCACCCCTGGGGTACCTCCCAGAGGAACCCTACTCCCAGCAACACGCTGTTGACATCTCAGGACCCTGTTGGGGAGCAGAGCCAGCCAGCCTGCTGCTGGAGAAGCCTCTAGAAATGTCCTCGCCTCTAGAAGTCCCCTTCATTTCATGGATAATTGAACTGTGGTGTGAGGCAGTCTGGGCCTGTCTGGAAAAGGTTTTCTTTCAGCCAGTATGCTGGGGAGCAGGCAGCTTGTTCACTAACCGGAGTGAACCCTCTCCCCCTTCCCTTGCTCAGGTGCTGAAGGAGGCAGCAGCTTTCAGGTAACCTAACATCCGAGGAGGTGATCCAGCCCACGCTCACGAGGAAGCCGTTCCCAGCCTTCCATGGGAACCAGATGAAGAAATAATAAAGAAAATGCCAAGAAAATTAGCCCCGCAAGCCAGGAAGCCCGGGGCCTTTGCTCAACCCACAGGCCGCAAGAGACAGTGCCAGATATCCAGAAAGCCCCATCCATGGGTCGGGCATGGCTCCCAGAAGCTCCTAGGGATGCAGGTGTGGGGTCGTTGAGAAGCTCGGCTTCTTCAAGTCATTTGGGTGACGTGGGATTTTTCATTGTCACCTCCTTCTGCATCATGGCTGGGCTGAGTGACCCTCACTGTGGACAAGGACCATGCTGTACACTCTGGGAGCTGCCAACACCCCCAGGGCCCAACCCTGCTGGAGGGTAAGCTCATGTGATCAAGGAGCTCTGATGCCTCTGCACATGCGGTGAGGGCCAGGAGGCATCTGACAGCAATCCCGGGGCAGCCCAACCCATGAACTGGAGAGGAGTTACCCCAACCACAGGGGCCTGGGACAGGGCCTGCAAAGGAGACCTGAGTGACAGGGTCGTGGCCAAAAGAAAAGGTGCCTGGGCATCCACATGCTCTTGTCCATTCTGTCACTCCTAAATCTCTATTCTCTGCATTTCCAGTGGCTGCCTGGTCTGCATCCTCATCCACAGCTCAGGTCCCTCCCAGTTCCCTTTATTGTCAGCCCCACTCCTGCTCTGCACAGGCTGTGCTCCTCCCCTGTGGCCATGCCACCTCCCACTTACCCTCTGACCTCAGGGTGTCTGCAGAGCCCACTGCGGCTCCCTTGAACTGAGACCAAGGAGGCGCCGCTCATGACCCTTGCTTTGGAAACTTCCACTGTTTCTTTCCTCTCCCACCCCCTAACCATGAATCTGATAAACGGTCCATGGTCCTTTGATAACAGGTGTTGGTGGTTAACATCTGACTCTAGTCAGACGTCTGCATTTTAACAGAGGCACTTATGAGAATGCCCTGACAAGTCTGGTCTCACCAGCATTGCAGGCAGCAGGGCCCACCTTGCAGGTGGGCTGGGGGATGTTATTAGGCAGACAGAGCATTTTTGTCTCTATAATCAAAGCACTGAATAACATGTTTATTCCACTTCTCCTAAAACTTGTCGAGGCCCAGCTAGCACCCACCCACCATGATATGGTTTGGCTCTGTGTCTCCACCCAAATCTCATCTTGAATTGTACTCCCATAATTCCCACGTGTTGTGGGAGGGACCTGGTGGGAGATAATTGAATCATGGAGACAGTTTCCCCCATACTTTTCTCCTAGTAGTGAATACATCTCACAAGATCTGATGGTTTTATCAGGGGTTTCCACTTTTATGTCTTCCTCACTCTCTCTTTGCCTGCTGCCATCCATGTAAGATGTGACTTGCTCCTCTTTGCCTTCCACCATGATTGTGAGGCTTCCCCAGCCACTGGACCTGTAAGTCCAATTAAACCTCTTTCTTTTGTAAATTGCCCAGTCTCAGGTATGTCTTTATCAGCAGCATGAAAACAAGCTAACACACAACCCACCAGACCACCCCTCCGGTATGCTCACACGCCCCCTTGCAAAGGACTGCAAACTGGCCAGAGGGCACAGGTGTCCCTTTTCTAAGAGTTATAGCTCATACCAGACAGAAATTCTCTCTACTCTATTTTATAGAGTGAGATCACTACATTGAGTGATACAGTAAATACAATGTTCATGTAAATATAACATAAAATTCAACCAAATATTTTCTGCAAATATGACATGCTTCTCTTTGCTTTTTCACATATATGTCATGTCCTGCCGTGGGACTTTAGTGTCATAGAAAGAACAAGAGTTTGGTGTCGGACAGTTATGTGTTCAGATCCTGGTGTTGGGCTACTGCCAGGAAAGATGAACCCATTCTTAAACCTGCAACACCCTTCTGGAAGGGACCTCCTCTCATAGGTCCTCAGACCTCTTTATCATAATGAGAGGAAGAAAGCACCTGCCTGGGATGGCCCACCATGTCTCTGCAGACGATGGGCTCACAGCTTGCAGGCCCCACAGCCCAGGGCTTTCCTGCACAGCTGAGAGGAAACTCCCATCTCAGGACTTCCAGCTGGGAGGAAGTTCCAGTCCATGCCCACATATGACCAGCATTGTATACACAAGCGGTATCTGCTTATAACTTGTAAATACTGATTTCACTCAGAATTCTGTCTTTGCCCTTCTCACCACTTGACATGCTCTTTTGAAGGGATGTCAGCTGCTACTCATAAGTCCAAAGTCCTAACCTCATGACTCCAGCTGAAACCCTTTTCTTGAGGTAGCTCTCTATTTCCCAAGGCCTGCTGCACGTCTCCACTTAGGGACTCACAGGCATCACAAATTCAGCATGTCCATGCCTGAATGATCATCTTTGCTCCCAAACCTGCCTCTTCTCCTGTATCTTCTGACTCAAACACTGTCACACACTCAGTCATCCCAGCTAGCGTCTGTGGAGTCGTCCTTCTGGTGTCTTTCCTTCCCGGTCTCCCTTCCCTCACATCTGAGAAGTGCAAAAATCCCATGGGTGTCACTCCCTCTGTGCCTCTGCAGCTAGCCCCCTCTCCAGCCCCTCCCACTCTCCTCACCTTCTCCCACCTGGACAATCTCAGCTGCATCCTTAATGGAACCCATGCCACGGGCTCTGTAGGAATGGCCTTCCTCCTCTCCTCTGAGCATGCACGCATTTTCCTGCACCATCACATTTGCTGCGGGAGGCCTAGCTTCTCTGCAAAGCCATCTCCAAACCCTGTACTGGCCTCGCATGCCCCCTTCTGGGTTGGACCCTGAAAACTTGGGGCTGTAGTGATCTGATCTTCAGAGCTGGGATTGTGTGCTGCAGAGCAGATAAGTGGCATGTCGAGTGTGTTCCATAAATGCTGTTGATGTTAAGAGTGGACGAATGGGCCAGGCACGGTGGCTCATGCCTGTAATCCCAGAACTTTGGGAGGCCGGGGCAGGTGGATTGTTTGAGGTCAGGAGTTCAAGACCATCCTGGGCAACATGGCGAAACCCCATCTCTACTAAAAATACAAAAATTAGCCGGGCAGTGGTGGCGCATGCCTGTAATCCCAGCTACTTGGAAGGCTGAAGTGGGAGAATCGCTTGAGCCTGGGAGGCAGAGGTTGCAGTGAGTTGAGATTGCGCCACTGCATTCCAGGGTGGGCGGCAGAGGAAGACCCCGTCACAAAAAAAAAAAAAAGTAGATGAATGGGTGAACCTGGTAAGCTTTGAAGAAATAAGCACAGGATATAAAAATGAACATTAGCACTAACACACTGCTATAGACTGAATGTCTGTGTCCATCCTGTGCCGAGAAGAGGGATTTAAGGTGCTGCCTGGGGAGGCGGGAATGGGGTGGCCTGGAAGGTGACTTCTGAGTGAAGACTGGGGGAAAGGAGACTCCTTGAGGGACTGTCCAGGTAGAGAAACAGCACACACAAGGACCAAGGGGTGGCGGAGGCGTTCCTGGAGCTGCAAGTTACAGAAAAGGGGCCACTTGGCATCAGAGCTGGGCTGTGCATCAGAGAAAATATCAATGGAAAAATGAACCCATTCAACCTGGCTCCCAGAAAAATAAAATGTTGTGGACAGGGGAGGGAAGAGTGAGGAACAAGGAAGGAGAGAGCAACGGTGGGTGCCCTGGCAGGAGCTGCGACATCCCTGCCTTGGCCTCATTCCTGGCTGGACCTCGGAGTTTCCAGCTTCCTCCTGGGCACTCTGTGGCAGGCCTGTGCCGAGTGGGGGTGACCACATCACTAGGGATTTCACCAGAGCCTGGCCTCCCCTGCTGGAGGGGCCGGCGGGCTGCAGGTTCCCTGGGAGCACTGGCCGGTGCCCAGCGGGCGGGCCAGCCACTCAATCGGGCACTGTCCACACGCCCCTGTGGCCCACTCTCTGCAGGAACTGCACGAACCTTGGACAAGGGGCCTCAGAGAAGAAGTTGGCCACTAGCCCTGCTGTGGCAAAGCAAATTTGAAGGGGGGGATTATTTCCAGTAACAGAAAGAAGTGGCTCAAATGGTGAGTTCACAGAGGGAGACTTGGTGCTTTGGAGGTGTCTGCAGCAGCGAGGAGAACCGCCCTGAACCTGTGCAGCCTCAGCTTCTGCCCCTTGCAAGCAGGGCACATGCCTTAGTGGTGATAACAGTGTGTTTGCCCGTCGCACATAGCCCCTGACTGGTGCTCAGCCTTGCCCTGTGTGAGGCCAGGGAAGGAAGTGCATGTTCAAAGACAGCATGGCCGAGTCCACGGATGACAGGGACCCAGCCATCAAGCGCCGGCCCCTGTGATCAGCCCCAGGGGCCCTGCACTGTCCCATCTACAGCAAGTGCACCCTTTCCCTCTGCTGTCCCTCGTTCCTCACAGCTCCCCCACTACTCTGTTAGCGCCACTCTGACAACTGCAAAGCGCTGAGCATTAAACTCCTGATGCCCTCCTGTCCCACACGATTAGTGTGAATTCACTTAATCAGATTCTTTTTCGGAACTTGCCTGACTGAGAGAGTGGGAATGTTAAAGTCTTGAGGAGGAGGAAAGGGCAGTTTTCAAGCTGGGGAGCTGGGGCCCTGGGCCATAGCAGAATGCCTGGGAGGTGGGGTGGGGTCTTTCCGGATGTACTCGAGGCTGTGCTAGGCACCCAGGGCCATGGGCCTGGTGCCCGTGGTCCACAGATCAGACTTGGAACAGCAGTAGTGTGGGCTCCAGCATGGGACTGCCGGGTCTCCCTCCACTCCATCACTCAGAGAAAGATGCGAACAGGAGGTTATTGAGTTCCCGCAGCCTCTGTGTCCTGATCTGCAAAGGCAAGTGCCAAGAGTGCCCTCTCAAGGGGCCACTTTGAGGAGCAAATGAGATGAATTCTGCACAATGCTGAGCATAGCACCTGGCATCAAGGATTCCCTTTTGTTGGGTTGGGCATCATAGTAACAGGTAAAGGCTGCAAGACCAGGGGCTGGATTCCAGCGCTCAGGGTGGAACAGGAGGCTACAGGCTCCATCCCTGCCCTCCCCAAATCTGAGAATACGGACAGATGAGTGGGGCGGCTGACAGCACCTCTCCCGTGGCCCTGCAGTGGGTGTGCTTGCCTGTTGTCCTGCCTGCCCTCTGCTTAATCACAAGGCCTCCTCACCAGTGACAGTGACATCTCCTATGGGAAGGGCGGAAGCCTGCTTCAAAGAACGTATCTATAATCCTGAGATACTGAGCTTTAAATAAATTAATGTGGCACTGTGTTATCAAAGCTGAGATGCTATCTATTGGAAGACACACCATTAATTTATGTTTTCAAGAGAATAAAAATATATTATCAGTTAATATTTATGTTTTCAAGAGAATAAAAATATATTATCAGTTAAACTGATTGATCGGAAGTTACATCCTGAATTCAGAGATGTTAAGACACCGGGAGGGAGAGTGTATTTGAGAACTGAAAAAATGTGCTGTATCATTTTGGCTTAGATACTGTCTTATGTTACATGTGATTATAGATGCAGTCGTAACACATTTGAAAATATCTACAACACCTAATTTCAGAACATTTTCTCTAGTAACTTCTTCTGTGAATTTGACAGCTTCTCCCTCTATTAAGTTTTATCAGCCATGGTAGGGGCACCACGATGGTGTGGGGTGTGCCGAACTTCTCCTGCGTGTCCAGGGCGTGAATGTCCTGGGCTTCTGGAACCTGTGTCATCTAGCCTGGGCCTGGGGCCTGATGGGCAGTGATGTGAAGGAGAACCCGTGTTGACCACTCCTCCTTGACCATCAGAGAGGAGGCAGGACTGGGCTCCTGGGCCACAGGGTGCTGGCAACCAGGTGTGATTAGCTCCAGCGGTGGTGAGCTGGAGAGGGGAACCCAACTCCAGGTTCTGGGGACATGACTGGACCTAGGTCTGATTCCAGCAATTTGAGCCAGCAATCAGCGGGTGAAAGGCCTCAAAACCAGTTGTATTTTCTAGATATTATTAACTTCAGGATTATTTTCTAGCCATTATTAAATTTAGTATATATACAGGTGCACACACTTGTATATATACATCCATACTCACACATATATTGACACACACTCTTCACTCTTCCACACACAGCTTATACACAAGCATACACAACTCACACACACTCAAGCGCTTGGACCACCAGAACAAAACATCCCGTTTGAAGAGGAAAAAGACCTCTCAGATGTCTGAAGATGGAAGGATATCAGCATAAGAAACGAATCATTCCAGAGCCCTTTCTTTTTCAGAACTCAAAAAAGCAAATTTTATCTGCTTTGAAGTAAATCCATTTTCTAGGACAAAAGAAGGAAAACCCCTTGATAGCCTAAGAAAGTTGCTGGTGTGTTGTGGAAAATCTTGGAGCTAGGAAGAGCCTTGGGAATCACACACCTAACACGCAAAATGAACTTGCGCGCACACGCACACACACAGGCACACACACACACACACACACATCCCACAACTCACTCACAAACTTGCAATCCAATCCAAGACAGCCTGCAGATTTCTTTCTCTTGATAAAGAAACAATGCATTTTTTTTCTTCGTGTACAAACCTAAAAGCACGGTGGTAATTACAAAATTATCAATCCCAGTTCAAGATATTTTTCTTGTTAACCATAATATGACAAGGACGCTTACATGGAAATAGAAATAGATTTTTAAGGAAAGCCTTGCTTGCATTTTTTGCTTTGGCAAACGACTTGTGTTTACTTGTTTTCTGCATTCATGCCTGAGAATGAAACGTTTCTCTCAAAGGCCAAGCCAGAAACAATCTCAGCCCTTGATGCTGTGCCCCTGGTGAGACCTCGGCCATGTGCAGAAAGGCCCACAACTGACCGCTGGGAGGCCCAGGCTGTGGCAGGGGAAGGCCATCCTGGAGGAGTCAACCCCGGTGAGAGGGCAAGCCTCCACGTGGCCGTGCCTAGGAATAATGCCATGAAGCAGGCATGCAGCCCTGTGGCGGAGCCACTAGTTTTTCACCCACCAACACTGATTATCCATGTTGCTGATGAAATCCATCCCTAGGCCCGAAGAAATCCTTGGGAGTTTGGGGTGGTGTGGGTGGGGTGGGGAGGAGGGCAGGATTCGGGTGTGGGGTTCGGGCTGAGGGACAAGGTGAGCCTTCTGGACGCTCATGATTGTCGGACACAGTCACCTGGTCCACTTACGCATCCCCAGGCAGGAGGGGCCCACGAGGACTGTGGGCCGGAGCCTGTATCTGCCTTTATCCTTGGGTTCCTGAACTTCCCTGAACTCTGGAAGCACCTGGGGTGTAAATAGAAAATCCTGGACAATGCCTCCAGAGCTTTTGATTCAGCAAGTCTCACATTTTTAATAAACACAGTACATGATACATGATTCTGGTATAGTTGGTCTGGTTTTCAAATTTGAGCTATTTCCTTACCTAGAAGGAATTCCTCAAGGAAACAAGAAAAGAAAGTAGGTAGAATACAAATTGTTCAACTTTTTTCCTTGTTACAAATCTGAAAAGGCAAGTGATATATTTAGCTCTAGGTTGGTTTTAATTCCTGATGATTTTCCTCTCCCATTCATCTCTGGCTAATGCGTCTGTACTAAATTGATCAATATCATCCTTTATTTGCCTTTGTGTTTATATTGAGCCTCATTCCAGAAAGAATTTAAAAGCCTTTTACAAACCATATTGTATATGAGCTGAAATAAAGTTTACAAAAGGGATTGGGAAAATATGTACTCTAAGGTAAAGCTGCTCAGCTTCAGTAAAGCTGTCCATCATAAAGTAGAAACATTTGTCACATAACTCTAATACTTCACTACTTCATAAAATGGGGACCCTAAGTATCCTTTGTAATCATTTCACAGCATCAATGTTACCGAAATGTTCTAAAAACTTTCAAAATTCAAAAAATAACTTTTGATAGAGAACTAATATTATCAGTGCAAAAGGCTGGAAAAAATAAAGAGAAGTATAAATGATTGAAGACATGAACTGTAATATTTATGTGTGCTTCCTTCAATATAGATATACATAGTCATCCCTTCGTATCCGTGGGTGATTGGTTGCTGGAGCCACCTTGGGTACCAAAATCTGTGGATGTTCAAATCCCTAATATAAAATGTATTTGCATATAACCTACAAACCTTCTCCCATATACTTTAAATCATCTCTAGATTACTTATAATATCTAATACAATGCCCACACATCGCTTGACTCTCATGGATTTAACATGGTACTCGGCACGTGGTAAGTTGAAGTTTTGCTTTTTGGAACTTTGAGGAATATTTTTCTTCTAAAAACTTTTGATTCATGTTTGGTTGAATCCATAAATGTGGAGCTCATGAATGCAGAGGGCCAACTGAACATGGATATGCATATCTGTATCCATAAAGACTGGATGGATGGACCACAGTGGGAATTATGTTAAAATAAGGTCCTTTGTTTTCAGTTCTGCTTTATATGCAGTGTCCAGAATAGGCAAATTTGCAGAGAAAGTAGATTAATGTTTGCCTGGGAGTGAGGAGTGGGAAGGGGAGGGGAGAGGGGTTGAGGAGTGACTGCCAAGGGGCAAAAGTTTCCTTTTAGGAAAATGTTTAGGATAAATTGTTCTAAAACTAGATTATTGGGATGATTGAGCAACTCTGTGAATTTACTAAAAACCATTAAATTACACACTTTAAATGGGTGAACTATATAGTGTGAATTACATATCAATTCTGCTAAAGCTGTTAAACATATTTTAGCCAGCGACATACCAAGATGTCATAAAATAAATTCCATATTTTCTTAGCAATTTTCTTCCATTACTTTGAAACATAAAATAAAAATCAGTTTATGTTCGTTCATTATATAAATTGTGAATGTGTAAGGGTGATCACTTTGCTCCACCTGGAAACCTTACAAAGTATTTTAACACAATGATGTACGTCCTTGGGGGCTGGGGGGAGACTTTTCCTGGATTTTAACACACGTAGCAACAACAGATATGGACAGGTTCATTCATTCATTCATTCATTCATTCAGGATTGAGTGCCTTCCGTTTGCCAAGCCCTGTCTAGATGCTGATGGAAGTGCTGCCTTCACTGAGATTATGGGGGTCACAGTCACAGCCCTGGTGGGACACAAGCATGTCTCTTCAGCTTTTCTTCTTCTACTTACCAATAAAATAATTTGTTAAATAAAATATGAAAGGCCTGTTTGAAAGAAAATAAATTAGGCAGGCATAGATTCCTAGAATTTCACACTTTTTAAGGTCTATAGCAGTTTTTAAAAACTCAACCATTTTACAAACAAAGGAATTAAACCATGGGAGTTCAGTGATTTGACCAAGGAAATGAGCCTGTAGCAAAATGAAAACTTCTAAAAGCCACAAACTTATGTATACAACAAGGCAAAAAAAATCATTTTTGTCTCTCGAGGCATATTTATAAGGCAGACCTTCTGGGAGGGTCCCAATTATACGCACTTTCATTCTTTTCCAAAAGGCCATTTAAAACATATAAGTATATAGATCTATTTTTATTCCTTTGTTCAGGGTTAGAAAACATAAATTCCTAAGTCCAAAGTGATGGGTGTTTTAAAGCATGCTTTTGATTCCTTTGTCAGGCTGTATTGTGGGTTTATGAAATACTGTCACCAAAGCCACATTCTTTTAAAAAAGAGTAGGTGGTTGTGTCTTTGGAGCCCCTGTCCCTTGCCCCTGCCAATGTCATTAACGGACTAAGCCCGAACCTCTGCTTTACTCAAAAACTTTAATCACTCCCTGTGTTTCTCAGCCCCTTCATTATTACCAGCAATTAAACTTCAGAAGTAACGTCATCTTTTTGACATCTGGAAGATATTACTACAAGTCTCCTTTCTCTCCCACCAAACCCCACTCAGAGCCTGAGCGGAGACCCTAAGGTTGGGGTCTGTGAGGGGAGACTGGGGTCAGCACAGGGGGCTGCCTCAGCTGAGTCCCAGGTCACTCCATGCGTGACTCAAGATGAGGCATCCAGCCCCTAGGGTCTCAGGGCCCCACCTGTAAGCTCTCGCCTGTGAAGGGACAGATTCTGCTCTCTGTGTTTCTCAATCTGACACTTTTAAACTCGGGGGTATATGAAGGCGCAAAGGAATTCAGAGAACATCAGATATCCTTCCTGCAAAGTCATTATTTGATAGAAATGTAAAACGTAGTCTAAGTGTCTTACATGTGAAAGTTTCGGGTTCAGCCCAGAGCCTCCTGGGGCGCCCTGCCCTGTGGCCACCCCGGGCACCTTAGTGGATTGCTTTGGGAGCGCTGCAATGGTGCCAGGCCTCCTCAGCAATAAAGTTTGAAGACGCTATGAAGAAAGGATAAAACTTTTACAGAGGCCTTAAAGAAGGTCTTCATTTCATAAATGAACAATTGCCCAGAGAAACTTACAGGCAAGAGTAGCCCTTTTATCTAAACTGAGATCTGGATTTCAATCCAAGGGATATTTAGTGTGAATGACAAAGGAGCCTCTGCCGCCTTTTCCAGGCTGTGTCTTCTCAGCAGTCTGAGGGCAGATTCTCTGCAGCTCCCCTGAGCCGAGCCACCAGGAGTTGACAGTCCCAGAGAGGCCTGGGGGAGGCTTTGTGGGTGTCTGGACATAGGGCTTTTCCAGTGCGGGCTGCATTCCTTCCCATTCCAGGGGTCCCTGGCACCTCAGCTCAAGCTGCGCGGTATGGACAGTCTCCCTGGGTAGCTGACGTGTGGATCTGGTATGTTTTTATCGGAAAGGGGAGCAAATACTGCCAGAACAGCAACCAACCAGTTTTTGAAGCTGGCTACTGTCTTAGGGAGGATGGAGAACGCTGGGGAGAGAGAGGATCCCACAGTAGGAAATGAAGGAGAGGTGAGGCTAGCAGGCCCAGTCCTCCGAACTCAGGACGAGCTCTCCTGGGAAGAGGATGAAGGTGTGTGCCCCCACACCGGGCAGTCCTCGGAGAGGAGGGGTCAGCATGGACTCTGTCTCCGCCACTACCTGCTGCTACAAGTACTGGAAACACCTTGAGGTGGAATTCCATTCTCTTTCTCTTTCATTTGTGCGTTTTCATTCCTTCGTTTTGTACTTCAGTCTACGCATGGTTTCTCTGCCTGTAAACTTTGCTATGACAATAATACATGTCATTGTTCCTCCATTTTTCACAGTGCTTTTCCTATATTGATGGCAAATGCTTTGTGACTATTTTTAGTGACCTCATCCTACTCCATCATATGCCATGGTATTTTACACTCAAAGATGTTCACAACAATTTCTCATTCCTTTGCAATGAGACTTTGGCACTCCTCCCTTCAACAGGGGGTGTCTATTCTCCCACCCTTTGAATCTGGGCTGCCTCGTAACTAGCTCTAAATAACAGAATGTACTGGAAGTGATGCTATGAGATTTCCAGTGCTAGGCCTCAAGAAACCCTGTTGTCGTGCCCTGACAGCCGAGCCTCCTGGAGGATGGGCAACTGCAGGGAGGAGAGCGGAGAGGCAGCACAGCTGTCAGGCATGTGAGAGGGGTCTCCTGGGACCCTCCAGCCCATCTCACCCTCCAGCTGCATGGAGCCCATGAGTGAGCCTGGTGACACAAGGCCGAGAAGTCACCCAGCCAAGTCACAGAACTGTGAGAAACAGTAAACTGCTGTTGTTTGAAGCCAATACGTTTTAGGGGTAGTTTGGTGTGTAGAAAAAGCTAACTGAAACTAATGGAAAAATTGTGAATTCAACAAATTTATAATTCCACCCTACCTAACCCTAGGGAGTATTTATCCCTAGTAGCCGGCTGAATTTAGGAATTTATCTGATAGTGACAAAATGGGTGGAGAGACTTAAAGAAGAGAAGATTGTAAGACACAAGCTCTCGAGGTGGCTGCTCACCGAATTCTTGAAAAGTGCAAGCTCACACATGGTAACAAGCTAGGTGGTGTTCAAGGGCGTCAGTGTTGGCACCAGCCAGACATGAGTTTCACTCCTATCTCTGCCACTTATTTAGTTAGCTGCATGACCTCTAAATCTCTCAACTTGGTGATCTTTAAAATAGAAATAATAATATCAAACTAGGGTGCTGTTGTGAGGATTAAATGGGAGTATATAGGAAATACTCAGCCTGGTTTCTGGCACACAGCACTCCCTGTCACCAGGCACCTCGCCCAGGGTCCTATGGGCAGTGGGTGAGGGCTGTTGTTGTCCCTGTCCCTGTCTGACTTCGAATTGTATGCTCTTTCAGCTGCACTTTGTCCTTAACCCCTGAGGCTCAGCCTGGAAAGCAATGAGATATACTTATTCCATGTGTATGCTCATAATTATTGATTCAGTGAATTTTAACTGAATGCCTGCTGAGTGCCAGGGATCAAGCTCTGCTCCAGGATGATGTAGCCAGGCAACATGCTATGGTGTTCTGTCGGGGGAGACAGATGATAGGAGATAAATCTCATTATACTCCACAATTAGTGCTGGCAGGAACAGGACCAGGCCCTCGGGAGGTGAGGAGGAGGAGGCCCGACCTTGACCAGGTGCAGGGACAATTGAAGGAAGCTTCCTGGGGAGGTAACACTTGAACCAGGTAAATAGGAGTTAACTAGGTAAAAAGATGTGTGTGCATGGCAGGGGTTGGGGGGAATCATGGACTATTCTGGGCATAAGGACAACAAGGTTGAAGGTCCTAAAGCCAGGAAGAATACAGGCCTGCCTTCTGTGGAGGCCCCAGTAGAGAATGCAGCTGGAAGATGAAGCAAGGATGAGGCTGGCCTCCAGGGAGACAGCAGAGGGAGCAGGGCCAGAGCATCCAGGCTTCAGGGCCCCACTCAGTACTCAAGTCTTTATCTTAAGTAGGAGGGCAGCCATTGAGGGATTCTAAGTAGGCGAGTACCATAAACAAAAGGAGAGTGTCTTGGGATGGCTGCCCTCCATCCTTCAAGAAACGTCTACTAGAGATGTTGGCCATGGTCTTGGGAGATGGGAAGTATTCCGACTCACGCCAAGGCCGTCATGCTACTCTTGCACTTAGTAGGCACAGAATAAGAATTTGTTGAACAAAAGAATGGATAAATAAACGACTCTTCAGTGGTAAGCTTTTAAACACCTTGGTGGGCTATGATGGAAAGAATCCGGAGGGACTCTAAGTATGCCTTCTCAAATTATACCAAGAAGGGGCAATTTAGGCAGCCTTTGATCAGAGAAGGACCTGGGGTGCCAGAGGCAGTAAGAGAAAGGGACTATCTTAAGGCCAGAGCCCCCAAACTCTACCAAAAAGCATGTAAGCTTTTCTTTTCATTATTTTCCGCTTTTCTCTAGTTTCTCTATTTTGCAAATTATCGGTTAAGTCTCCTTTCAACATCTGTTTATAAGGTGCTTAGAAATTCTGAAATGAAAGTCATTGTGAAAATGCTGGAAGCTGTTGTCTTCTCCTCTTTGTTTAATGTCTTCTGATTCTTTATCCAACCCTGACCCAATCTTCTCTAATGTGGATCACTGTCATTTAAAAGAACCATCTATTGCTTAAAAATAGAAAGAGGTAAACTATGCTGTTTTGGTGCCAATTCTCCTAAACACAAGTCACTGCTGAGCAATAAAGGAAAGGAGCTTTTCCGAACATCTTTTGTATGTCTCCCTTAGAGAAACCCCACTTTTCCTTGCTTCCCTATGAGATCAAATGTACAGACAGAGAAATATGCAGATAGACATTGCGGGGAGAAAATCAGGAGAAGAAACCCACTAAAAATAAACACAGCTCTTTCTACCATATATTTTTAAAGATTCATCCATGTAATTCAAGCTCAGTCATTTAGAAGCAGCCCTGCTTGATACCACATGGCATTAAAATCCAGCTGCTATGAAATGAGTCACCCTGTAAGAGCAGGTTGGACTGCAGGCTATGTCAGAAGACACTTACATTCCTCTCTGAAATCTACTCTTTTGATAATGAAAGGGGTGAAGAGTTTAGAGTCACCATTTATGATGTCCTGGAATGTTCTCTTAAAGGAAGAGAAAAGATCCTTCAAAAATGCACTTGAGGATTCAAAGACAAGGACACGGGGACAGGGAGACTATAAAATTGCCTCTTCTGGGATAACAAGGGGCTGAGTAGCCTTCTCCTTTACTTGGTGACTTAACGTTGAAAAGAAAAAGAAAAAGAAAGCTTTATTTCAGCATTAGGCACATGGTTGGCATTCACCATGTGTTTATTAATAATAATGACTTATCTGTGCCAAAATCCCTTTAGAGCAAATTGTCTCACATCCAAATCCCAGAGTGAGCCAAAGGATTTCAATGCCCTAGCAGGAAGCTGGAAGGCTCTGGAACAATTCACTCATAGCAAACTCCAGCCCACACCATAGAGCATTTTCTCTCAGACACTCAGCCCCACCTCCACCCATACCCCACAGCTAGTGGGGCGACCCCTGTATTTCTTTAGTTTGTAAAGGGAAGTCACTTTTTCTCACCTATACCAGGCTTTCTGCATTTCCTTCACAAGACAAACAAGGTTCTCCCTTTGTTCTTCCTTCTGAGAGTATGAACAAAGATAGCCTTCATAAAAGAGGAAATTGTAGCAGTGTCCCCATGACCCAATGGTGATGAGAATGCTGGGTGACTTCCCTGTGCCTGTTCTTCTGTGAGAGTGCTCAGTACCCCCCTACAGGGCCATTTCCAATCCCTCTTCCCTGGAGTAAGCAGGACATTCACTTACTTCCAGCCATGACTATTTTAGTGAGTGCCCATGACTTTGGAATAATGTAGTCACCCAACACATTTTTCAAAGTTTGCAGATGAGCAAATCTAGGCCACAAATTTCTCTACTTTTTTTTGTCTCTCAAAGATAAATACAAGATGATAGGTGCTGGGCTTGGTGAGGATGAGTGCTATTCATCATGGATAAGATTTGGACTCAACTTGTGGAACTTGGCTCAAACTGCTCCCTGCTCCTTCCTTGAGTAGCAAACCCAACTTCTTATCCAAAAGGAGCAGATTCTTATTGTCACTCGGATTGCCAGACCATAATGGATTTTTCCAACTTCAATGCATTTTCTACCCCAAACACATTTGCTCTCATGAACACATACAGCTGTCCACAGCACCCTAACTCTAAGCAGTTTCAATTGCCAACATTTGTCAAAATGGGAGAGGCTGTGTCTGTTTTCTTCATAGGTACAATAGAGAAAAAGTTTGCTTTGTTTTTGTAATTGTCATTTAAATATATTTTCAATGATGGCAATTTTACTGAGCTTTGTTGTGTATTACACACTTAGGATAAATGTGTCAGTAACAGCCAAGGAGAAAGGAATTGCATTTTTTTACAGATGGCGTTCAATTTATTTCCAGTAAGAGCATGGCTCCATCTCCCTAATACCATCAAAAAATTTATTCAACAAATTAGGCCCTCAATATGGGCCAGACACTATGCTATAACCCTTGAGACACAAAAGTGAGCAACCAATATGCAGTTCCTGCCCTCAGAAAGCTTACAGTCAGCCTCATAGCAAAGATAGCCCAGGAAAGTAGGAATAAAATGCAATTTCAGTGTTCCGATTCTAAATCTGGATGTTGGCTACACAAGTGTGTTCTATTTGGGAAAATTAAAAACCCGTACACTTACTTAAATATACTTGTCTCTATGTGAGTGAAGATTATATATAATCTTATCTAAAAAGGTAAAGATACTTCTTAAATCTAGTGTATACAATAGAAGCGGCCATTTTTCCAGTCTCAAAAATTCATTCCCCTAAAAAACCCACCATCCAGGGTAGGGGATGATAAACACACAGAAAGGAAAATATGAATAAGATAAAGAGATTTATGTGCAGCTAAAATTACCATTCATAATAGGCATGAACGTAAAAAAATACATAAAGGTGAGAATTTCCTAGATGAAATTATAAGGTGCTTAAGAGATTGTAGTCAATTGAACCGTTTTAAGAGGAGTGCATCTGAAAGTAAGGCATTCTAGGGCTGCAGGAATACACAACAGGGAGTGAGTGTCTGGTGCTGGGCAGATTTCTGCTCTTCAAGAGAAGCGACTGGACAGCAATGTATCTGGTGCTGAGGCCAGCCTGGCCAGAATAACCAGGTGAGTCCAAGCAAAGCATCTGGGATCCTGCCATGGTTTAGGAAAGTATTAGAACCTCAAAATTGAGGCCAAAGGCCATGGAGAGGTAAGAAGTACCCAGGTGGCTGAACAGGTGCTGAAGTGTTTGTGGGAGGTCTTTCTGTTTATGATGAGGTCCCAGCCGGAGACTGCAACGAAAAAAGGAGTAGTGGCTGCATAGGACCAGTTAAAAAAAAGAGCAAAAGGGTTACGAAAAGGCTAAGTAAAGAGGAAACTAAATGGGAGAGGACCAAGGAAGTAAAGCCCAGGTAGATTACAGAAAAACAATTAAGCTGAAACTCACTCTGGGACGTCAAGGCATCCCATTGATAGAGGGGCCCAGATAGAGGGGCAGGGCTTGAATTTATGCTCCCACCTAAAACAATCAAAATACTGAGAAAAGCATTTGAAACAACAGTTTTCAGGCATTGCACAAGAGGCAGGAAAGGGTAATCCCTGAGATATGAGAAATGGCATATACAAACCGACTATGGCCAGACTGCATGGAAACATAGAACTCTGACACACAACTGGCAAAGCCAGCCCAGGAATTCAGACTACCACCTGCAGTGAGGAGCCCAGGAAGCCAACCCACTGTCTATAGTAACCAATGCAGAAAGCCACCCACTGTTTACAGTAACCAGTTCAGGAAGCCAGTCCACCCGCTGCAGTAACCAATGCAAAAAGCCAACCCACTGTCTACAGTAACCAGTTTAGGAAGCCAACTCACAATCTGCAATAACCAATGAAGAAAGCCACCCAGTGTCTAAAGTAACCAGTTCAGGAAGCCAATCCACCCTCTGCAGCAACCAATGCAGAAAGCCACCTACTGTCAACAGTAACCAGCCCAGGAAGTCACACTACCATCTACAGTAACCAGTGCAGGAAGCCAACCCACCATCTACAGTAACCAGCCCAGGAAGTCACACTACCATCTACAGTAACCAGTGCAGGAAGCCAACCCACCATCTACAGTAACCAGCCCAGGAAATCACACTACCATCTACAGTAACCAGTTCAGGAAGCCAAACTATGATCTACAGTAACTGGCCCAGGAAGCCAACCCACCATCTATAGCAACAAGCCCAGGAAGCCAGGCTATGATCCCTAGCCACCATTCCAGGAAGCCAGCCAATAACCTTGGTGTGGTTTGGACCTGCTTCCCCACCCAAATCTCATGTCAAATTGTAATCCCCAGTGTTGGAGGTGGGGCCTGGTGGGAGGTGATTGAATTAGGAGGGTGGATTTTCCCCTTGGTACTATGTCACAGTAGTGAGTGAGTTCTCACAAGATCTGGTTGGTTAAAAGTGTGTGGCACTCCACCACCTCTCTTGCTCCTGCTCTGGTCATGTAAGACGTGCCTGCTTCCTTCCCCTTCACCATCTGCCATGATTAGAAGCTTCCTGAGGCCTCCCCAGTATCAGAATCGGTATGCTTCCTGTACAGCCTGCAACCATGAGCCAATTAAACCCCTTTTCTTTATAAATTATCCAGTCTTAGGTATTTCTTTATAGCAATGTGAAAGCAGACTACAAACCTCTACAACAATTTGTGCAAAATGGCCATGACTTTATTAACTGAAAACTTACCTAATTTTTGCCCCTACCCTCAACTTAGGACCAACCAGAGAAATCCAAGTATTCACCTCTAACAAATCATCCAGGCTATCCCACTTCTGTAGCCTGCCCACAGCTTTCCCAAGCCAACAGCCTCCAACTGGGGCATTTGCCTATTCTCCTCTGGGTTGCTTGCATTTATTTCCACCTAGGGGAACAATGAGGTGAGCCCCATGAATACCCCAGTCCATTGCCTGCAAGGAGTTTCCATGCCACAACACAGGGAGGGTGCTAAAGTGAAGCCCGCCAGTCTCCCAAAGTGGAACAGACAGAGCTCCACGGAGCCTGGTGAGGTCAGGGTGACTGCAGTCAATGGAGCAGAATCTGGGAGAGGAGAGAGCTGTACAGAAGAGACTAGAGGAAGGTATGCAATTGCTCCAGCTACCACTGTGGCAACTGGAGCTCAATCTCCTGGGCAGATCTCAGAGTTACCCACATCAGAAAAATGAGACCAGCAGTGGCTGAGGGTTACTTCTTAAAACCAACTTTCCAGCATTTTTGGCTTGCATTTCTTCTAGGATAGAAAAAAAAAAAAAAAGCCCTAGAAAGAATCACAGTTGGAATATGGGTGAGGCACTAACAATGCCTGCATTATCTTTGTATTTCCAATTTGCCAGAAGTTTTTTTTTCTCTTCCTGAGCTGGTACTGAACTTAATTAAATGTTCTTATATATTTATTGAAATCAGAAGTTCTGTTTTTCTACTTTATTTTGTTGGCGTTATCAGTTACCCTGATTCCTTCTTAAATGATAAGTCACACCTTGTTTCCTAGAATGAGCCCAACTTGTTTGGATGGATTATCCTTTTTTATATACTGTTAGTATTCACTATATACTTTAAAATATACTTTATAAGCTATACGCCATCAAGTGTATATAATTTAAACTATCTGCTAATGAGGGTTATTACGGCCTGAAATATTTTTCCTTCTAATGCCTTTATCAGGTTTTGTTATTAAGTTATTCTGGCCTCATAAAATGGGCTGGAAAGTAGTTCCTTTTCTATTTTCTGGAAAAGTTTGTGTAAGATTATAAGAAGAATTTTCCAGTACATCCTTTTAGACCTGTGGTTTGGGGAATGGATTTATTTACAAATTCAATTTAATTTTAATTAGTACATTTTACTTACTAAAAATAGTATTAGCTGGTTATCTACTTCTAGAATCTGCTTTTGTTAAGTTGTACTGTTCAAGGAATTTTATCTAAATTTTTTTAAAAATGGAATTATGTCTTAATATGACTAAAAGTTGACAAAGTGTCAAAGATTACTGAATATAACTTTTATCGCATATGTCTAGATGTTCTGTTAATGGACAGATAGTGTTTCAAAGAGTAAAACAATAAAGACCAACATTATTCATAAATTATATTTTTTTTTATAAAATTTATTTTCTTGTTTTACTCTCAATGAAGTCACTAGTTGTGCTTTCATAATTGAAAATTTTATAATATATAGTTTGTTTTCTGTTGATACTAATGCCAAATGAAACCAGTTTTCTTGAGCCTTTATAATTTAGATTGATTTTAATTAATTCCAATTTGGAGAAACTACTCTGCAGCAGCAACTGGAATTTTCAATAAAAAATTTAAAGAAATTCTTAGATTCAGAAATGAATCATAAATGTGACATATCATGATTTATATACTATATCAGGTTTTTGTGATACATTATTTTTATCATGAAAAATATTATGAAATAATTTAATTTTAATTATATATCATTTAATATGTGATTTTTTTACCATCTATATTTTAGCTTTTCTTCTAATGTCTGAATTTGGAGACTTCATGAAGACAGTCGAAAATATCAGTTAATATTGCACAATTTGTTTAACTTTCTCTAAGTAAGAGTATATTGTACTTTGACCTTTAATAGCCAGACCACAGTCTCTATAGAAATAAGTTTTGGGGCCCTTTGTATGTAAATCTGTTCATTTTTAGTCATGTAAACATTTCATTTTTGTTTAAATTTCTTTGTATTTTATTGGAATATGGCTCTTTTTGTAAGCTTCACATGCAATTTCATTTTTGTTCCACATTTTATCATGAATATTACCAGAGACACAGCAAAGTTGAAAGCATTTTTAGTAAACACCTATATACTCACCACCTTGATTCTATTAATACCTTTAACATTTTACTATGTTTTATATATTTATCTATCAATTCATCACCTATCCATGTGTCAACTCATCTTATTTTTTGATACATCATTAAGTAAGTTATAGATACCAGAACATTCCCTGCTAAATATTTCATCTCATGAAATTTCCTTTGATTTTAAAAACATTTCCTTAAGTATCTTTACGTTTTAATACTTTTTTTTTGAGACAAGGTCTCACTCTGTCACCCAGGCTGAAGTGCAGTGGTGCGATCAGGGCTCACTGCAACCTCCGCCTCCTGGGTTCAAGCGATTCTCCTGCCTCAGCCTTCCTAGTACCTGGGACTACGGGTGCCCACCACCGTGCCCGGCTAATTTTTGTGTTTTTAGTAGAGACGGGGTTTCACCATGTTAGCCAAGCTGGTCTCAAACTCCTGACCCATTAAAGATAATGTTGATGATTTGCTGTAAAACACTCTGACTATAGCCACAAAAGGTGTTCTTTCAGGCTAGCATATAGAGACTACACTTTTTCCCTACATTTAAAAGATTTTGGTATAAAATAGAATCCTAAAATTTCTGCCACTTTCAACCAATGAATAAACCATAATTAATTTGAGCACATTGTATTTTGCTGGAAACATTCTCATACTGTCTGATGATGCCATGGCCATTTTCCAGGATGATTATTCAATAAACAGAGCCAAGTTTCTCAGGTTTCATATTTTCCACTTCAGTTTGCCTATTTCATCTCTAATTGACAAGTCAGAGTTGCGATAATTGCCTTCAGGTTGACTTTTCAAATTGTTATATTCAAAACCAGTAGTTAAATCTTCATTTAGTAAAGATTATGAAATTGTGAGGATTTCACATGATCTTATAAACTTGTGGATTTGATGAGAATAATTTTATTGCTCATATTCCTTGTTTTAATAAATGATTAAATATAAATAAAAATGCCAAATGCTTTGTTCATATTTAATGCAAGTTATGTTCAGTAAAATATCAGCTTATTTCTATTTGTTCTAGTTGTTTTTTTTTTTTTTTTTTGAGACAGAGTCTTGCTCTGTTGCCCAGGCTGAAGTGCAGTGGCCTGATCTTGGCTCACTGCAACCTCTGCCTCCCGGGTTCAAGCAATTCTCCTGCCTCAGCCTCCTGAGTAGCTGGGATTACAGGCGAGTGCCACCACACCCAGCTAATTTTTTGTATTTTTAGTAGAGGCAGGGCTTCACTGTGTTAGCCAGGACTGTCTCGAACTCCTGACCTTATGATCTGCCCCCGTCGGCCTCCCAAAGTGTTGGGATTACAGGCGTGAGCCACCGCACCCAGCCTATTTTTTTCTAGTTTTTAACCATTTAAGAATACCTCCGTTTTGGAAATGTTCATTTTTTCCCTATTTTTTCTTTCTCAGGTCTATTTGCATTTTTATTTCCATTGTAATCACTACTTATATTCATTGCTAATAATCTAAAGGATTAATATGTCATTGTTTTAAAATATAAATGTATTTTCATCAATATTTGTATGTACATAAAGTAAATGACAAAATAAAACATTTGAAATTCTTTTATATAGTTTCAAAAAGTTATTTTTTTCTAAAATGTTAAAAATTATCCATCAATATTCAAAAGCAAAATACAAATTACAATTGATAAATATTAGTACTCCAATTAAAATGTTATTTTTTGAAATGTAAATAAATCTTCTTAAATATTTTTCTAATTCTAACATTTAATCTTATCTAGTTTCTAACATTATGTTTCAATTAACATATTGACATATTTGAGAGTAATACAATTTTTTTACATATTGCAAAATGTTCCTTAAATTTTTGTGTCCGACTTTTACAAATAAATACTAATTTGTGATGATCTTTGGAACCACAACTTAGAAAACCAAGAGAAGTAAAACAAAACCACAGAAAAATCATGTTCAATTCTACTATTACATAACAATATTGTGTTATGCCAGAATCTATTGCCTTTGGCCAGGCACAGTCACTCATGCCTGTAGTCCCAACACTTTGGGAGGTCAAGGAGGGCAGATTGCTTGAGGCCAGGAGTTTGAAACCAGCCTGGCCAACATGGTGGAACCCCACCTCTACTAAAAATACAGAAAAAATATTAGCCAGGCGTATTGGCACACACCTCTAACCCCAGCTACTTGGGAGGCTGAGACATAAGAATCGCTTGAACCCGGGAGGCAGAAATTGGAATGAGCTAAGATCACACCACCGTACTCCAGCCTGGGTGCCAGAGTGAGACCTTGTCTCAAAAAAAAAAAAAAAAAAAAAAAAAATCTACTGCCTTTGTGCTCTCTGAGACGAAGGATTTGACAAGGCAATTAATTTTTATTTTATCTTAGTTAAGTTCTCCCATTGCTAACATTATCCAAGCACAACAACACAATGTCATTTTCTAAAGTCAGCAGCAGCATGAGCCACACACCTTCACGGCATTTTGAAATACTTGCCTTTTATGCCAGGGCATAGGGTAAGAGATATGGACAAGTATTTCCCTGGGGCCTGAAAAGTGTTAGCTGTGGGAGTAAATGTTTGGCTCAGTAATTTTAAAATTTAGAACAAAATCTCCTAGAGAAAAATAACAAAACCAAAAGTTGAATCTTTAAAAAGCTACTGAGTGAGATTGCTGGCAAAAGTAATCAAGTAGAAGAGAGAAGATGCAAAGAAACCAAATTCAGAACGACTATGGGAAAATAATCTTAGATACAATAAACTTTAAAAAAAATTATGAAAGGATATTATAGATGGCTGATATGGTTTGGATTTGTGTCCCTGCCCAAATCTTACGTCAAATTGTAATTTCCAGTGTTGGAGGAGGGCCTGGTGGGAGGTGATTGGATCATGGGCACAGACATCCCTTGCTGTTCTCATGGTAGTGAGTAAGATCTCGTGAGATCTGGTTGTTTAAAAATATGTAGCACCTTCCCCCTTGTTCTCTTCCTCCTTCTCCTGCCATGTAAGAATTTCCTGCTTCCCCTTTGCCTTCTGCCATGATTGTAAGTTTCCTGAGGCCTCCCCAGCCAGGCTTTCTGTACAGCCTGCAGGACTGTGAGTCAATTAAACCTCTTTTTAAAATAAATTACCCAGTCTCTGGTAGTTCTTTACAGCAATGCGAGAACAAACTGATATAATGGCTATGCCCCAATAAATCTGAAAACCTAGATGAAATGAATATATTTCTAGAAAAATGAAAGAGAGAAAAAAAAACTTCAAGTGGGTAAAAACTTTCAAGTTCATTAAATTACTTGAAATGGTGATCAAAACTCTGTCCAATCTTAAACAGATTAAAATTCAACAAGTGCCGAATTTTGGCTTTATAACATCTTTTAATAGATGGGGACTATTAATTCCTTGAGTGTTTGATTGACACTGAAGGAATTAATAGTCCCTATCTATTAAGGTCCCAATTAAATTAAATAGTCCCCATTAAATTAAAATTAAAATTATTAAAAGATGTTGCCCTAAAAGATAGAAAATTAATTTTAAAAATTAGTATTACAATAAACATAAAAAGACTAAATTCTGTTGAAAACCTGATATCTCCAGATTGTATAAAAACAACAAAACCCAACTAAATGCTAAAAATTAGAAACTTAAAGCAAAATTTAGTATTATTTCTTCTATTTTGTTACTTTTTCTTATGTTTGTTCATATGATCCAGTTTCGTTTTTCTGCCCCCTTTCTCTATGGTTAATGGCTATTTTCCCTTTTCTGGTGTTCATGAGCTTTATAATCTTTTCACATTCCCACTCACCTCTCTCAACTCCTCACTCATTCCCACATGAGAAATTTGGTTGTTGTATTAGTCTGTTCTCAAACTGCTATAAAAATACTACGTGAGACTGGATAATTTATAAACAAAAGAGGTTTAATTGACTAACAGTTCCGCATGGCTGGGGAGGCTTCAGGAAACTTACAATCATGGCAGAAGGTAAAGGGGAAGCAAGGCACATCTTACATAGCAGCAGGAGAGAGAGAGAGACTGAATGAAGAAGTGTCATACTTTAATGCCATCAGCTCTCATGAGAATTCACTCACTATCATGAGAACAGCATGGGGGGAGCCACCCCATGATACAGTCACCGCCCACCAGGCCTCTCCCTCGACACGTGGAAATTACAATTTGAGATGAGATTTGGGTAGGGACACAGATCCAAACCATATCAGTCATCTTTGTTTACTTCCTTTCTTTCCTCTTTATTCTCCCTAACATCAAGATTTCTCTCTCTGTCTCTCTCTCTCTCTCTCTCTCTCTCTCTCTCTCTCTCTCTCTCTCTATATATATATATATATATATATATATATATATATTCCAGTCAATTTTGCTGTGAGATATATATATATATTCTAGTCAAAATCTCTCTTCAAGTTTTCCTCTATTTTAAATAACAAAGAAGGATTTAAAATAAAGGGATATGCAAAGAGATAGCAGACAAATGTAAACACATAGACAGTGGAACTTCAATATTCCTTTTAAGTTCTTGAAAGTTTATAAGAGCAGTTTAAAGTCTCTGCTTACTCATTTCATATCTAGGTCATCCCGGAGCTGGTATTTATTGACTTTTTTCTTGAGTATAGGTCACAATTTTTTGTTTTCTTTGTATTTCTATGAAGTTTTTAATTGTATACTGAATATTGTAAATATATGTAGAGACTCTGGGTTTAATTATGTTCCCCTGAAACATGTCAAGTCTTGTAGCAGGTTGTCAAATGGTCTCTCCTGTGATATCCAGCAGCTGAAATCTCTCAATTATTTCAGCCTCCAGCTGCTTTACTTGCCTGGCCTTTTAAAGTCTCACATGCATATGCATGGTCCAATGGTTAAGAGAGTTTATTATCTGGGAAGAGTTTACATGCAGACTGATGGACTCACTCCCTCCTGAAGTTTCCTTTCTTTTGGGATTTTCCTTCTAATTGTCTAGTTACCTTGTCAGACTTGAACTGTGGCTCCTGGCTCCTTAAACTTATAAGACTTTCTGTACCTGCAGTGCAAATTAGAAAGTGCCACCAGGCAAAATGCATGAACCCTTAAATCTCACTGTGGTAGACAAAGTTCTAAGATGGTCCTTAAGATTCCTGCCACCAGCACACATGTGCTGACTAATCTCTTTCCTTTGAGTGTGGTGAGACTTTTGATTATGACAGCACTTCACTTGTGCAATTAGGTTGATTATGTGGGAACAGTGAGGGAATTTTGCAAATGTAATTAAGGGTCCTAATCAGTTGACATTGAGTTAGTCAAAGGGGAGATTATCTTGGGTGGGTGTGATCTAATCACATGAACAGAAGTCAGAGAGATTAGAAGCAGCAGGAACACTCCCACTGTCCTTGAAGAAGCAGCCTCCACATATGAGGAGTGCCATCTGCCAGGGCTTCATGAGCAGCCTATAAGACTTGACGGCTTTAGTTCTACAGCTGCAAGCATGTGAATTCTGCCAATAGCCAGGGAGCTGGAAGGAGACCCAAGCCTCAGATGAAATGGCAGCCCTGACTGTCACTTTGATTTCAATCTGGTGTGACCCTGAAGAGAGGACCCAGCTAACACATATCCAGACTCCTGATTTACAGATACTATGCAATAATAAATTCATAGTTTTTCAGCCATTACATTTGCAATACTTTGTTAGGCTGCAATAGGAAACTAAGACATTTACTCAGTTTAATTCTCATCTTTCAAAGGTCAACTTTCCTATAGTTTCTGTTTGCTTTTGGTAGCTCGTCAGTGGCTTTTAACTGCAATTTTGGGGGTAGCATTTTGTGCAGATTTTGTAAATACTACTTTCCTTCTACTCCCTTAAACCATCCCGGCAAGGACACAAATCTAAATGCCCCTGCCTATGAAATGGCAGTGGCTCGTTTGGTGAACTACTTAGGAAATTTGGTTTCCAAATAACTTCTTGGGAATAAAAAAATTAAATGCAATTTTTATTTGTGATTCTCTATTGTTTCATGGGAGAAGAATCATAGTTTTCCAATGGTTTAGCCAGATAAAAGAACAAATGAGATTATTACACATAAATCCATCTTAAAGGGTTTTATAGTCACACGTATAAACCCCGTATGATGAGACCACTGAAGTGAATGCTAAACAAGAGGAAGATTTGCAAAGAATGTCAGTGTTTGGCCTCATGTTATTGTTTGTGTACAGTAATAACACTCATGGACATCTGCCGGGAAGCTTCTCTCCCGAGCTCTTCCAATCGTGCAGAAGTTAATGAATTTTCAAAGAGAAAATGACTTCCATTTCTGCATGTGGATCAGTTTGTTTATAGCTATGCTTGCAAAAAAAGAATCTGGAATTATTTATTGGTAATTTGCACATTACTAAATAACAGATGGTCTGCAAAAAATATGTATTTTGCAACTTTAAAAAAAAAGATTGGATTTCAAATGCCTAATGTGGAGGAAGTCTCATGTTTTATAAAAAGTCCTTCAAGGGACACCAAACTAGCCAGGCCAAGGGAATACTTCAAAGATTGAAAAGATCTTTTAAAACCCAAGAGATCCTTTCTCAGTGACTGGGGGCAGTTTCCATTGTTATGAATTGCTTTTTGTGAGATTGCTTGCGTGAGTCTCCTGGTGACATGTAAGAACAATAAAATATTAGTGAGATCCTCAGGGCTGGGGTCATCACCGTGTTTCTTCAAAAAATCTTGAATAATAATAATGATAAGAAGAAAATTTCATTTTAATTCTGTGGATATGCTGCACCTGATGCCCTAAAACAAAAAAGGAAAGAGAAGACAAGAGATGTCACATCCTGTTAGTTTTTACCAAACAGCTGCTTGAGCTCTCCTGGTGGAGAGCTGCCTCCAAGGACTCCTCCGTGGAGATATGTTTGATGGGACACCTCCATCTACGTTTTAGTGACAGTAGTGCTCATTCAGTAAGCCCTGATGCTCTGATGTCTGCTGGCAACATTTGCCTGCTCCCTTAGGAAGAAGCTCAGTGCTCTGATTTCGGGCCTGTGACCCTTTGTGTAAGTGCGTGTGAGCCCAGGGCTCAGAGAGCAGGTAATGAGGTTGAGGACACCAACTAGGGGAGGTGCCATTGCACTCGTGAGACAAGAGACGTGCTGCCCAGTGGAGAAGCCCCTTGCTTTCTGCAGCCAGGAGCTCATCCTTCTGAAAGCTTTGTGGGTGGGTAGCGCTATCTTCTTCCTCCTCCACCCCTCTCCCAAGGGGAGAAGGAAAGCCAATTGTCTAAAGGCTGTTGGACTGATGGGTGAGCAGGTGGAGGAGCGGAAGAGGGTGAGGGCCTCTAGAAGATTTGGGAAGGGCTGAGACCATTTTCTGTCCTCAGGATAACACAGTAGGGTGAGTTGTGCCTTTGAACTAGGACTTCTTTATGGGCTTAGCCCCTCACTCATAGGCGAGGTTGTTATTTTTTCAGCAGAAAGACAGAGAATACTGATTTAAGAGCCTGAAATTATTGGCAGCTGGTAAGAAGCCCACTGGGGCTCCTTTTGAGCATTTCAGATACCAAAAAGAAGAGAACTCAAGGTGGTTAGAAATGTCCTTCCAGGACTGCCTAGGACTTCCCCTTTCTAGAAGGAATTTGTATGAAAGTTAGTCCTGTTGAAACTATGTGAAATTTGAGGCCCAATCTGTCCTTTTAACCTCATGTGCCCCCAGAAGATTCCAGTTCCTGAATAATAATTTGCCAGTTTATAGGTGCATTCTAAGTGTCTGAATTTTCTGTACAGTTTCATTGTATTTACATCATTTAATCTTTAATTTTTTTTTCCCAGAGCACATTTATAAAATTATTACCAAATGGAAAAGAATTAAAAAGCATCAGAATATCAATGGGGTGGGGGATGCTGGAAGCTTCAGTGTTCATATGGCCAGAGATACTTCCATGAGGAATGAAAAGGAAAAGAGAACCATAAGGAATGAAAAGGAAAAGAGAAAAGCAAGGAAAAAGGGAAGAAAGAGAGGGGAAAAAGGAAAGGGAAGGAAGGAAGGAAGGAGGGAAAGAAGGGAGGGAGGGAGGAAGAGAGGGAGAGTCCCTGGGAGCAGTTCTCTGGTGTGTTTCTTAGACCGGAAGGATGCATTGCTCAGGCTGGAGTCAACGTGTGAGCTGGGTGAGATGGGCTAACTTTATTCCTGTTTTACAGAGGAGGCAGCCACATGACTTGTCCAAGGTCAGCAATTTCCTTAGCTATACTGCTGAATTACAGCCCAGATCTAGACCCTGAGCGGTTGTTTCCACTCAGAAAAAATGATTTGAGAAGGTCAGTAAAAGTCCATGAAGCCATCTCACAAGGGGCTCACCAAGGAGAGGACATCTCAGAGGTGGCTCTGAGAGCCTTTGTGTCTGCATGGGAAGACTTCCAACTTTTCTGAGCTACTGCATATCAGCTTGGGGCTAGGGTTTCAGGACCATAGAAACTGAAGTGACACCTGAGTCCACTTCCAGTGAGGGGCCAGTTTTGCCATGACCAAGCCTGTGGTTTTAAGATAGTGGGTGTCCAGAGGAGAAAGGGAGTGGGAAACAGGCAGTGAGAGTGAGGGCCAGGGGAGGGACATAAGGAGGGAGGGAGAGAGAGAGGGAGGGTGAGAGAAATGGAGAGGAAACCAGGAGAGAGAGAGGGAGAGAGAGAGGAGAGGGAGAGAGAGAGGAGAGGGAGAGGGAGGAAGGGAGAGGGAGGGAGAAGGGAGGGAGAGCAGAGAGAGGGAGGAAGGGAGAGAGAGAAGGAGAGAGAGAGGGAGGAAGGGAGAGGGAGAGAGGGAGGGAGAAAGGGAGACAGAGAAGGATAGAGGGAGGTAGAGAGAGGGGGAGAAGAAAGGAGAGATGGAGAGAGGAAGAAGGAGAGGGAGACTGAGGAAGAGGGAGAGGAAGAGCGGGAAAGGGAGAGACGGAGGAGAGAGAAAGAAAGAGCTAGCAGGGAGGAGGAAGAGAAAAAGCGGGAGGGAAAGAGGGGGAGAGGGAGACCCCTGCCTCATCACTGCATGTCTCCCCAGTGTCTCAGTTTCTCAGCTCTTCCCCCTTGTTCTCTGCACACATCCCCCTCCTCCAGCTGTGTCTAGGCTGGGCCTTGGTCGCCTTTGCTCAGCAATGTCCCTAGGCAGCCTCTGCAGAGTCTGCCCTCCCTGGCTGGCTGGGCACGCTCCACCTGCCCCATGCATTGCCTGGACCGCCACTGCTGGCCTGGAGCGGTCTCCCTCAGCATCCCCCAGTGGCTGGTGGTGCCCATTGGGGTGGGTCCTCTTCCCACATCCCTTACATCGCCCAGCTCCCAAGTGGGACTGGGACAGACTTATCCATACTCAGGATGTCCCCAGCTATTACAGTCACAGGCTGAGCAGGAGCTCTGCAGGAAGGGGGTTAAAGAGAGGCTGGTTTACTCTGCCTCTCATTATCAACTCTGGTAAACACAGAAAGCTTGGCTTGGCATAGGAGGAATTTAAACTATTAGCTCAAATGGAGGTTTGGGGATTATCTCTGGATTTCCTTTATTTGTTCTCTTTCCTCCTTTACCACAGCTAATCCAAATTTGATGGGAAGTAAGGCATAAGCTATTCCAGAAACCTCACAGAATCCTTTGTGATGTCGGCTCCCAGCCTGCTCAGGGATAATTTTTGTCACCTCTCGCCTTCATGTCCCAAGCCTGTGTCCCTCCAGCTTAGTGCATTGTGTGATTGTCTTTCCTGAAGCCTCTGCCAAATGGTTTTTGAACCAAAGCTGCTCTTGCAGGTCCAGGGCTTCGGTGAGCTCATTCCAGGCCTCAGAGGACCATCACATAAAAGTGGCCTGGCTTCCAGGTCTGACACCCCTTTCGATCCGAGTGAGCACTGGGGAGACTGCTGGCTCATGCCACAAACCTCCACTCCTAACCCACAGAGGAGTCTGTTAGCACCCACACCCCACATGATCCCCAGAGAGGGAAAAAGATTCTGTGCCCATAGCTCTTGAGACCCCAGAGGCTGGGATGGGAGCTGAACCCTGTGGGAAGGGAGGGTGCAGACTGCCCCCTCCAACAGCCCTGGGAGCCCCTAAAGTTTGCATCCTGCCGTAAAGTCCTTACAACTCCAGTCAAAAACACAACTGCCTCAGAAAATGTTTGCATTAATACTGAAGAGAAAACCCACTTTCAGTTTTTTCTCAAACTTTTAAAATCTCAAAGCTTCCAACTTTTCTGAGCATGATTCTAACAAGCTTTACTCAGTTTACATCAAAGTGGGTGGTAAAGTCCAGAGAGCGCTGTGTGAGTTGCTATTATTTATCATGTTCACTTTTGTTTTTAAATTACTGAAAGTCACTGACTTTGAGTCTAAAAAACTCTAAATATTCATTTAGAAATATTGCTCAGTTTAAATTTCTTAATATCTAAAGTCACCTAATATACTATTTAAAAATATGATTAATGCCAAAGTTAGTCTTTATGATTAAAATATTTAACATTTCTTAACATTTTTCTAGAGATCAAATCATTTCAATTGTTCCATATGTGCTGAAAAATGTGAAATAAAGCCCAGGTTTAATATATGTCCATGAGGCCAAACTTCTGCACTGTGTTTTTCAAAATTTTAAATTGTCAATACATTTTATCTGCTTTATCTAACAATAAAAATAAATAAGTAAATAGGAAGTCAAAAGGCAAGTTTTAATTTAAAAAAAGGCATTCTATTAGAAAATTCAAAAGTTTGACTTATGCCATTCAAGGATAAAAATGATTAGAGGTACGTGAAAGGGGACCGAAAAAAAAAAGAATAAAAATGATATCCCTGTACAAATCACATGATGTATTTGAGGGCTGATCTAATAGAATTAGTCAGGAGAAGACAGAGATAAAAAGAAACTGTGTCTCTTCTAACAAATGAAAGTAGACTAATGGATAAAATAAGGCAGATGATCAGTTGAACCTTGGAGTTCTCTGGTTCAGTCTTTGGGGAGTGAAGTCATCTGTGCCTGAGGCGTGTGCCCATCCCATGTTGGGAAAGCTCTAGAGGCCAGAGACCAAGCTCTGAACAACCTTTCTGGCTTTTAGACTCTGGGCTCTCGAATTCCAAGAGTGACAGTGACACGACTGATTTTTGAAACCAACGTTTCCAGAGCTACAGTAAAAGCAGTTTAAGAAATGTCGCGAGATTTTAATCTGGTTACACATTTGTCGTCAGTTATGACTTAAGGACCCATTTGTGGATTTCAGATCCTGGCAGCCTGTGGGCATGTGTCTGCAAATGCACGTGAGCTGAGCATAGAGGCACACTCCCAGGGCAGGTCACAGGCAAATAATTGTTCTTTAAACTAGCTTCGAATAGATAGCTTTTCTTTCTTTTTGGAACAATGTAAGGTGAAGTTATTTGAGAAGTGGTTTAGGCTTCCGTAAAGATTATAGTAACCAATGAAGAATTCACAATAGGAATATCTATCAGAACACACTACTTAACTCCAGCTGCTAAGACCCACCTATCTGCAGTGCTTGAAATGTTAATGAACAGCCCTTAATTGACCGCTGTGCCTGGAGTTCCACACCTAGCTCATTCCATTTATTCTGCAGAGGCCATTTTGAGCTGTGCTTTAAAGACAGAAAAAGTATAGATTTTAATTTTTTACCTATTTAAATGCCTCATCATGGCATGTAAACATTTAGGGGACTTGTACATTGCACATGTCACACTCATCACTGATAGCAATTGAGCAGGAGCTGCCTCCCCTGCCCCAGCAGGGTCCCGAGCCCTTGACACAAGGCCCCAAGGAAGGACTCAGCACACCAGCTGTAATTTGTAGAAACAAATGAAATCACTCCTTATTATTTCCTACCTCCCCACCCCAAATACCAGGCCGTGTCAGGCATCGCCACTTAATCCAGCAGGAGAGACTGTGGGATTGCTGGCTGCAGGGCCCTAGCAGTGGCCCAAACAGTTAAAGAGGAGATGGAGTTCACTGCTCTTCTTCTGAACAGAAAGTCAGGGCTTCAAGATTTCAACAAACATTAGCATTACTCATTTAGAGCTGAGCCTAATTCCTAAACGTGATCGGCACTAGCTTGACATGCGTCACACCAATTTTAACCACACTTCAATTTGGAGGGAAGTAAAAAACAAATAACATCTTAATAATATTGAACTGAAACATAACTTGGCTAGAAAACGAAGATGTTACTAGAGATTTTATACATATATACATATTTCTATGAAACAGAGATATGTAGAATTTCAATGTTAAACTTCTTTAAAAGATGAGCCTTACGAATGGCCACCGCCCATCCAGCCTCACAGAATCTTTGTGAATAACACTTGGAGGCAATTAATTCTCAACTGGAAGTACTGTCATCAAGTTTTAATTACCTTCTGGATAGCAAATCTCAGCAGACACTTTTCGGTCCTTTTTAACACCTTCTGCAATATTTGACACTCCTAGACACCTCCAATTTGACATTCCAGCCTCCCTTGACTTTGGTGGAACGTTGCTTTTCTGGGCTCACAGATCCCAGCCCACTTTGCGGTCTTCTGTTCCTGGGTCCATGTCATAAAATGTTGGGATTCATTATGACTTCATCTGTGGCCTTATTTTCTCACAGCATCCAATCTTTCTGTGTGATTTGGTTCAACCCCCTGGCTTCTGCTGCCACCTGAGAGCTAATAACTCTCTTCTGGGCATGACAGACCCTCCCCTAACGCTCACTGGGTCCCCTTCTTGGGTGTCTCCAAAACACTTCGAGTCAAGCATGTCAAAACGGAACACGTCCTCCTGCTCCATAAACTGGCTTTCCATGCATTTTCCCTCTTATGGATAACCTCACCGCCTTCCCCCATTTACCTAATGCAGAAGCCTCAGAGGTTTCTCTCTTCTTTCCCCTCAACATCTAACCAAGCTGCAGGTCCCATCAATTGCTTTTCCCTAAGTAGCCATCAAATCTACTCTTCCATCTCCAGCCGACTTCTCTTGGTTTAAACTGTCATCTCTCCTGTGCTGGGTTATTTAAGTAGCTTCCTAACAGATCTTTCTGATGTTTTCATTCCCGTAAACCCATCATTTACACACTGCCTCAGTAATCCTTCCAAGTGCAAACAAGTCCATATTAATCCAACCCATCACGGCCTTCAATAACCGCTCCATGACATTTAAGACATTTTCTGAGGGAAAGTTCTGTCATTATCTGGCCTCGTCCCAGCCGTCCAATCTTGATACCTTGATAAGCATGTTGAAAATGCCCCATCAGGTCCGCTCAGCAGGGCAAAGCCGTTTTGTGGAAGCCGGAATGTTTATTTTTGATATGGCAGTGCTGGGTTGCAGAGGGTGTGTAGCACAGGTAGACTACGCAGGTTGACTGTGGGGCTTCCAGAGCCTGGAGAGGAAAGAAGACTCTAAAGAAAAGATAAATGTCCTTTTCATTACTGCTTCATTTCTTGAGATAAAATCATTAAAATCATACATGTGTAATGACTAACCGAATACTCTTGGTAGACAAGGAGCAAACATGCATGTCCTCTTAAACATCACGTGTTCATTGCATATCAGACTTCTTCTTTTTTTTTTTTTTTTTTTAGATAGTGTCTCGTTCTGCCACCCAGGCTGGAGTGCAGTGGCGCAATCTCGGCTCACTGCAACCTCTGCCTCCTGGTTTCAAGCAATTCTCCTGCCTCAGTCTCCCTAGTAGCTGGGATTACAGGTGCCTGCCATCACAACCCGCTAATTTTTGTATTTTTAGTAGAGAGAGGGTTTCGCCGTGTTGCCCAGGCTAGATTCAAACTCCTGACCTCAGGTGATCCACCCACCTCGGCCTCCTAAAATGCTGGGATTACAGGCATGAGCCACCGCGCCCGGCCTAGATTTTATAACTCCTTCAACTTTGTGTTTTCAGTCAGAAAGAGTCAGCTATGCTGTAGAATCTGGTCACAAAGAGGTAGTGGTTGCAGTTTTAAAAACATTGTGTGCACCAGCATTGAAATCATCTGCAGAAGGGATGCAATGCATGCTACAGGAGAGCCTGCAACATGGGGTACCTAGCAGCGACCCTACTCCTCTGTCTTGCTGCCTCCTCCAGGGACCTGGAAGGCTGGCCCAGGGGTTCTGGGACTTTACCCCAATCTGATTTGGTTTGCTTACAGCCTCCTTGACTGGTGAGTGCTGCTGCAATTGGAGCTACTGACCCTTTGTGGATTTAATATAATTTTTGCTTACCTACATGTAGGGGCCTTTAGAGTTTTTAAAATGCTCTCACAGATATGACTATAACCGCTCATTTTATGGAGAGGGAAACTGACTCTCAGCAATGGAAACATCTCATCCACATTTACAAGGCTGAGAAGTGGAGGCTTGTGGCAACAGAGACTCAGGTTTCTGAATCCTGCTTTATAACACATGTGGATGTTCAATGCACCTGTGTTACGTACGAGAAGGAAGAGCCCACAGAATGGGCTGTTCCATGTGTGTTTTATGCTTTGTGAACGGGAAGCAAAGAGCACCAGGGAGGCTGGTTGCACCAGAGTGCCTTGACTCTGGCGCTGGCGCTGGCGCCTTGACGGCAGGCGGTGAGATGCCTGGAGGAGACATAGACTCTTTCAAAGTGGAGAAAGAGCCCTTTGGATAACCTAGGTCAGGGAAGCTGGTGGTTTTGTTCTGAAGAGAAGGCTGCAGATGCATTGTCTATGGTCAGAAGTGTCTGTTGGCCTGTCTCTGGGTGAAACTCCAGCTTCGGGACATGACAGCACGTGGAACAATGGCGAGGGATCAGCTTCCCTCTTGGAAATCAGATGACCACGGAATGCCATAGGTCCGCCAAGCATCAGAACTTCATCAGCGTGGCACAGAGGCTCGCGAGCTGAATTGCCTTTGCAAAGTGTGCTCTGCACGCATGATTTTAAACAGCCTGGCCTGCTCCTTTTATCCTGTCATGAATATTTATGTTCCTGTTTTGTTCGGATGGGACAGCCTCAGGCAAAGCATGATTCAGATGGCGCTGGTGGCAGGCAAGGGCTTCACGGGACAGCTAATTGTCTTCTCAGGATTGCTGAGAGCAGGAAGGGGTGGTGCTGACCGTGCTGGTGCTGGAGCTGGGAGAGCAGGCGTCTGGATTTCGGCTCCCCTTATGGAGTCAGTTTGAACAAGCTGCTTAACTCCTTCAAGCCACCATTTCCTCATCTGCAATGTGGAGACAATAATAGCACTGTATACCTACCTCACATAGGCAATCTTTCATGGCGTGCCGTGAGTTCACTGAAGTCTGTCTCAGCACACACTCACACATGCACGCTCATACCCGTGCTGAGTGAATCCAGTTAATTCCCAGAGAACTGCAAATAAAGTGTCAGCACTTTAGGATGCTGCATCAAATACCATTCTACAAAAGAGGAGAGGTGGGTATTTACTTGATGTTTTATACAGAAGGGTATTAGGCAGCAGTAATGAAGGCAACGGAATCTAAGAGACGTCCAAACTCTACAAAGATTTTTTTGGCCTCCTAGTCAGTTGCAAAATTTTATAGGTTTGAATCTAAGCCCTGATGTCTACCTCAGGGGTTGGCAAGCTTTGGCCTGCTGCCTTTTTGTGTATAGCATGTGAGCTAAGAATGGCTTGTACTTTTTTAAATGATGGGAAAAAAATCAAAAGAATATTACTTTGTCATATGTGAGAAGTATGTGAAATTCAACATTAATGTTCATAAATGATTTCTACCAGGGGAAGCTCATTCATTGGGGTGTGGTCTACAGTTCCTTTCATGCCACAATGGCAGAGCTGTGTTGCTGTGGCAGAGACTACCATAGGCTTAAGATGCCTGCTCTCTGCTCCTTAACAGAAGAGGTTTGCCAACCCCTGATTTACACAGTTAAGTTACTTCATCTCTGTAGGTCTCAGTCTTCTCATCTGTAGAACAGAGAAAGAGACTCCTAACTCCCAGGCCTACTGACTGAGATCATAAAGGCAACCCATGTGACAATCACTGGTATACCCTGACCATGACATGAGTCTTGATCCCTTCCTTCTGGCCCTCTCAGGCACCTCAACAGCAGACACAAAGAACAGAGATATATGTCTGTATTTGGGGGAGGACACACCAGTCTCCCCTGGTGTCAAGAACAGGCCAACTACAGCGTTGCTCTCATGCTCACATATTCTGCTATTTTCCCACAGCCCAAATGTGGAGGCAGCATCATGTATTTGTAATTGTGAGGGAGGCACACTTTGTCATGATGGCATTCAGGCTTATCCATCTTAGGCCCTTTTTTCCTCCAGTATATCATCTATTTATTACCACAGTAATGTTGTACAAAGACAACCCCCAAAGCTCAGTGGTACACAAAAATATACACTTACTTAGCTCATGAGCCTAAGGGATTCAACTCATCTGGTGGATTCACTCCCTTTGCAGGGCTTGGCTAGCTTTTGGCTGCCCTAGGACAGCCTCTGCCCCTCGGCTTGGGGCGGGTGTCTTTTGGTCTCTGGCAGGCTGGTGCAGGAGTGTGCTTGTGACAGTTGCAAAGGTGTGAGAGCCATCGGGCCTGGTCCCCTAAGTGCCTGTCAAGGCTGTGCTTGCATATCACCTGTCCCACTGGCCCAGGCAAGTCACAATGCCAAGCTCAGCATCAAGGAGCTGGAAAACACCCTTCATCTCTTAATGGGACACTGCATAGACACATGGGAAGGGCCATGGCTGGGGGCGAGACCAGGGCCACAAACAGTCTTGGGGCCCCTTCACCCCAGAGCCTTTCTTCTCTCACTCGATACCTGTTTTCAAAACAGTTTCTAAAGCCCATTCATAAGTAAGAATAGGCTTGAAAGGAGTGACAGAGGTTTGAAGTATTATTCCTCTAAGTAATATTTAAATTTTAACCAGGAACAAATCTTGACTAAAGGCACATCCCTCTCTTGGTGGGATTTCAGGCAGCGGAGAAGCAGTAGCTGGGGGTGGAGAACTGTCGGATTGGAGAACCTGCCTTTCCATTTCCTTTGGGGGCATACGACTTAGGTGGTCCCCGACTTGGCCAGCTGGCAGCAGGAGTGGAAATGGAAGCTATTTACTCAGGGAACTCTGACCGCACGACTATTAAAATCCCTTGGAAACCCTGACAGCTCTCCACTCCACTATCATTAAAATGGCTCGCGCTCCCCTGCCAGCTGCTGGGCCTGGGAGTGACCCTCTCCCCCACCTATTCCCACAGTCGCATTGTGCCAAAAAATACATTTGTCCTCCAATTGTCGTAGAATTCACTGAACTTGGAAAAATCTCCAGACATTCAATTCACCAATTCTTTTAAAAACAGTCTCTTTCTGTGGCTTTGGGAATCAAGGTTCCAGCTGAAATGTGTTTATTTATCAGTAACGTCTCACTTTCTGTACATGTTCTACATCCATGTGGGGAATATTGCCACTTTTTTGTATATTCATGCCCAGTAGTGGGACTAGAAATCATTGGTTCTAGGAATTCTGCACATGTGACTGGGAATTCATGTGCATATTGTTTTATATATACATACTTTGCTGGTGTGACTGAGAAGTCCGCGGGAACTACCCTTGTGTGTTCTCTAACCCGCCCTAAGCATTCAATCATTCACTTTTTTGTTCATTAAAATTTAATGTACTTTTATTGTGCATGTAGTGGTTGGCATGCTCTATACTGTTGATCCAGAGATGAATAATATGTGGGCTTGCTCTCCAGAAACTGAGCACAGCCAAGAAAAGAGAGGCTTTTAGACAATTCTGTCCTGTGTGGCCAATACTTCTTTACCTTTCTGGTGTTCAGAGACATTTCTTCAAGTGAAACTGTAGCCTTGCCTGAGTAGACACTTTGTGGAATCTGAACAGGCGATCTGCCCTCTGCCCTTTCTTCCTGGGGAAGGGTATGGTTTTGGACTCTCAAAGTTCTGTCATCATACTCTCTGTCTCCTTATCCATCCAGCTTCAGCCAGTTCTCTTCACCACTTCCAAAGCGAGGATGAAAATTCCACCTGCTCGTCAAAACTCAGCCAGAGCTCAGCCTCCCTCCAATGAGAAAATGTCCCCTGTGCTACAAGCTGAAGCCACAAAGACCAGTGTCAACGGAGGAGACCCTAGTGCCCACAAATAAAGCCCAGCACTGTACATCCACGTAAAGTCCTGTGAAGTCAGAAGTAAGGGAGAAATTAAGGATTTAGTAGGGTCCCACAAAGTCTTTGGAACCAGATCTGATTGTTTCCTTTAGTTAAATTCACTCAAACATGCAAGCATTTGTATAAACATCAATGTTTTTTTCAGTGATTCTGTGGGATTCCTAAAATGTGCATCTCTTTAGTCTAAGATGAAACACTGGTTATAGGATGAAAAAAATTAAACATGCATTCTTCAGCTCTCAGACCTCAACCACAAACTGAAGTCCCAGAAAGAGTCATTAAATCACAATGTGTACTTAAAATAACAAATTTGAAATAAAAAATGTTCCAAGACATTAAACTTCAAAATGATCTCTGACTGTAATCCCTTCTGGACTTGGATCTGGACATCATTTGGGTCCCCTGAAAACATCAAAGGATAGATTGGCAGGGCATCCCAGGAGGGGACACAGCAGTCCCTGCTGAGTGGGAACATAGACAGCCGGGGTGCTGGGCTCCATATGGGACGTGCATTCCTAACAAACAGTTCGCGTGTGGACATCAGAGTCCAGAATCAGCTATAAAAGTATATAGATAACTTTTTCTTTCTTTTTTTTTTTTTTTTTTAAGATTTTGAGAAAGTGGAGGAATGAGCATAAGTGGGTTTACCTGGGGCTGTAAAGAGGACTTCTTTTCAGGAACCCAGGAGGACCAAATCAGGTCTGTTTCCCCAAAGCGCAGAGAGGTCCTTGAGGCCGTGGTTCTCAATTCTAGAAAAGGGATATGTGCATATCAAAGTCATCTGGAAGCCTTTTCCAAACTTCTACTCTGCCCCTCTGGGGAGATGGAGATTTTCAGGCTTGTTCCCACTCCTGCCTGAGAAACCCTGCCTTAGCAGAATGCCAGCTGGGGTTATAGACTTCACCTCTGCAGAAAAGGAGGAGCAGTGACTAAAGTACATAAAACTTCAGAAGACACAGCTCTCCCCAACCTACTGACTCATCATATCCAGCAGATCAGATGCATTTTCATAACTTCCTAGTAATTACATTTATATTCAAAAATAATTACTTTCTGAATTTAATTGTTGGCTGAGTATTTACAGTCTGTCAGAGGAAATCCAAAAGGATATTGCAAGATGAGGAGGTGTCCTCGCCTCTATGCCAGGCCAAGTCCCAGGTCAAGGCCGGGCTGCCAGAGTGGGGTTGGGGAAGTGATAGAAGCAGAAACTGCATCTTAAAAGGACTGCTTACAGAACGAGGTGCTCGCCAGAAGCAAAAAACAAAGGATGGATGACAGAGCTTCCTGCAAATGTTTGAAGCACTATTGTGGGCAAGAGGGAAATGCTTTGTTTTGTTTGGTGCCAGAGGATAGAATTAGAACAGACAGGAAGAGTTTCTAAAGACCCAGACTTTGCATCAACGTGAAAAGAACATTGTAACAGTTGTTCAGAAAAGCAATGGTCATCTTCTAAGAAGGAAGGATGCCACCTTTGAACTTGTTCAGGAAGTTCACCTGTCAGGGATCCCAGGGAAGACACTTCTGATTGGGATCAGTTCAACCAGATGACCTCCAAGATTCTGTGTAAGAGGTGAATTTGACGTTTAGAAATGAGCCGTAAAGAACCAGGGCGGCCAGCTTTCCATGCTGAATGCTGGGGGAGGGGAGGAAGAGGGTTGATTTGTATGTGTGTCTGCAGGATGAGTCTTTTTCTGAGTTGCCAAGTGAGAATGCTGGAAACATATTCCTATTCTGTTCCGTATTTGTACAAACAAATGTGTTTCCACTGAAACTTATGTAAATATGTGCTTACTAATGAATGCAGTCACCCCAAGCACTGACTAACCAAACTGACTTCCTTTTTCAGCTCAAATATCTAAGCCCAGTTGTTTTAAACGTTAATCAACTAAAAGAAAAAAACTGAAGTCCACATTTGTCTCAATTCTTAACTATAGAAACTAATGATAACAAAGTCATGTACCTTCCAGGTAAACAGGGCGAGAGATGTGGTGGGAAAGGTAACAGTGCATCATGAGAGCACTGTACGACAGAGCCCACTGTTTAATGGAAAACACCCAGTGGCACTCTCCCATAGTGTACACACGCACCTTGACACTTGTCCCTCTAAGAATCACAAGAATACGCATAGGGCTAGGTCATTGTGAATTCAATAGGCACATCGGCCACTGGAAGGTGAAGGGTAGCCATGAGGGCCATTTTCACCAGATGAACTCCAGTCTCCAAAAGTAAATAGAGTAGAAAACCATTTATCCAACAGTCTAAACACTAGAAACATCCACACACAGGGATCGTTATATAGGGACTTAAAAATGAGCAGTGACTTTAAATTTTTCACCTCTATGGTAATGGAAGAATCATATACAATGGTTTGTGGGTGATAGAGATGTCATAATCTGTGGATTGCAAATGACCTGTTACCAGGAGTTACCCAGGTAACATTGTCTAAGTATAGACACATGTCTAAGTATAGAGACATGGTGAAGTGCCTCCTAACAGAGCAGAAGTGACCCCATCGAAGACTACTTCTTGGGGAGGATTTCACACAGTTCATCATCAAGCAAAGATCATTGCCTTCTGAGCAGAAGAGACTCTAAATAAATATAGAAGAATAGAAATCTGAAGTGGAAAGTTGTAGCCAGAGCATGCATATGATACTGGCAGATCTTTTCTAAAGAGAAATTCATTTTCCATAAATGCTTTACAATGGATCCTGACGATAAGACATCTTGCCAAATGATTTGCTGCTCATCATAAAGATTTCCCAGTAAATAAAATTTCCAGGCTCATCTCCTGTTATTGCATGAATGTTTTGGAACTACATCTCAGGAAATAAGTGAGGATTGCAAATTATGACTTTCAGGTTGGAAATCCAGCAATGAACTTTGTTGACTTGGTCTGGCCATACTGGCCATGGCTTAGCATTTGACAGAACTTTAGGGTCTACAGTTTCTCCGCAAAGGAAGTTCTGAGCAATGGAAGCAAGGCTGGGCTGAGCAAAAAACTTCCTAAAGTGATTTTGGTTTCAGAAATCTGATTTATTCTCTCAGAATCACACATAACATTCTCAGCTCCGAGAGAGTGTGCGCATCACTTTAGAAAGAACTCTTGACTGGAAAGCAGTAGATGTAGGTTCAAGTTTAGTTCCCCAGTTTGGTAGGTGAGGGGAACCCCTCCTCTGTCATGTGAGAGAGAAACACCTTGTCCATCCGCACCTACAGAGTTGCATGGATCTACGCTGGACATAGCTCAAAAACAATGCATGAGAAAGAATAGAAAGAGCATTGGACATGGAGCCTCTGTAGGGCTGAATTCCTGCTCACCACTTACTCCTGATACTGGGAAGATTTTCAACGTCTCCAAGACTGGGGTTTTTCATTTGCAAAAGGCAGATTATAATCTCTTTTGGGATGGTTATGAGCATGTTAAATAAGATAATTTTTAAATGCTCCCAGCAGAGTGAATTGAAAATGGAAGATGCTGAACACCAACATATTAATTAGTTAATATTTATTTATTAAGCACTTAATATATCCCAGGCACTGCGCTTAGTGCTTCACATACATTCTGTCATTTAATCTTCATGACAACCTTAGGAGTCAGTATTATTATTAACACTACATCTTTATGAGGAAATGGAATATTAGGATAGTTTTATTACTCATTAAATGTCACACTGTTATTTCCCTTTTAAGGAAGCACACCAGAGATGCAGCATCCAAATACGTAGAGCAATTTTAGGAGCTACTGGATATCTTCTGAAAGTTGACCTCTGTCCCTTTGTGGAAAATATTATCAGAATGAGTATATTAACCACAAAAGAAAATCTGTTTAGTACTTCATACTTCTTTCATTTCTTTTGCCCCAAAATGTTATTGCCCAGGTTGTTCACCTACTTTTATCACTAGGTTCAGCTCAAAATGATTTTATTTTATACCACAAATTTCAGCACCATTCACAGGCTGGCCATGGCTTAGCATTTGACAGAACCTACTTTAGGGTCTATAGTTTCTCCACAAAGGAAGTTTTGAGCCATGGAAGCAACGCTGGGCTGAGCATAAAACTTCCTAAAGTGATTTTGGTTTCAAAAATCGAATTCATTCTCTTAGAATCACACATAACATTCTCAGCCTGGGGCCTCCTATTTTCCCTACATGGCGCTTTCAGCGACCACACCTCTGGGACAAACCATCTGCTCTTCCTTTCCATGTGTGGCTCTTGGCATGAGTCATTGCAAACCTTGAAATCAGTTTGATTTTTTTTCTTTAGCAGATTGGATTTTTTTTAAAGGTATATATTTAAGGTATACAATATGATGTTTGGATATACACATGCATAGTAAAATGGTCACTATATTCAAGCTAACTGACATATCCATCATCTCACATAGTTACCATTTTTTTATAGTAAACATACCTAAAGCCTATTCTCTTAGCAAATTTCCAGTCTGCAATAGAATGTTATTAACTATGCTCCCTGTGCTATGCATTAGATTTCTAGCCCTATTTATCCTATATAACTGCAGGTTTGTATCCTTTGATTTCCATCTCCCCATCCCCTTCCCTTGGTAACCACTGTTGTACTCTATGTTTCTATGTATTTGAGGTGTTTTGTTTTGTTTTTTTTTTTTGTTTTGTTTTAGATTCCACATGTAAGAGAGGTCATGCAGTACTTGTCTTTCTGTGCCTGGCTTCGTTCATTTAGCATAATGTCCTCCAAGTTCATCTATGGTGTCAGCCTTCTTTTTTAAGGCTGAATAATATTCCATTTGTGTGTGTATGTATAACAATTTCTTTATCCATTCATCCCTTGGTGGACCCATAGGTTGTGCTTTCATATCTTGGCTGTTGTGAGTAATGCAGCAGTGAACATGGAAGTGCAGATTCCTTTACAAGGTCGTGATTTCATCTCTTTTGAGTACATACCTAGAAGACGAGTGGGTGGGTCATATGGTAGTTGTATTTTTAATTTTCTTAGAACTTCCATATGCTTTCACAGTGGCTGCACAAATCTACATCCCCACCAAACATGAACAAGGGTTCCCTTTTCTTCACATGCTTGCCAATACTCATCTATTGTCTTTTTGGTAAAAGCCATCCTAACAGGTGTGAGGCAAGATGTCCTTGTGGTGGTTTTGATGTGCCTTTCCCTGATAATGAGTGATGCTGAGCACCTTTCCACATAGCCACTGGACATTTGTACATCTTCTTTAGAGAAATGCCCATTCCAGTCCTTCTCCCATACTTTAACGGGGTTATTTGTGTTTATACTTCTGAGTTGTTTGAGCTGCTTTTATTTTTTAGATATTAACCCCTCATCTGATACATGGTTTTCAAATAATTCCTCCTAATCCATTGGCTGCCTTTTCATTTTGTTGATTATTTCCTTTGCTGTGCAGAGACTTTTTGGTTTGATGCAACTTCACTTGTCTATTTTTGCTTTTGTTGCCTGTGCTTTGGGTGAGATATATATATTAAAAAAATGCTTGCCAAGGAAAATAGCAAGGGGCTTTCCCCCTGTGTTTCCTCCTAAGAGTTTTATGGTCTTAAGTTTTGATTTTTGTGTATGGTGTTAGATAAGGCGCCTTCATTCTTTTGCATGTGGATATTCATTTTTCCCAACACCATTTATTGAAGAGACTATCCTTCCCCATTGTGTCTTCTTGGTAGCCTTGTTGAAAATTAGGTAACCATATATGCATGAGTTTATTTTTGGGCTCTCTATTCTGTTTCATTGGTCTATGTGCCATTTTTATAACAGTACCATACTGTTTGTTTATTCTTGCTTTACAATATAATTTGAAACTGGGCAATGTGATGCTTCCAACTTTGTTTTACTTTCTCAACATTTTTTATTTTTTGGCAACTAAGGGTCTTTTCTGGTTCCATACAAATTTTAGAATTGTTTTTTCTATTTCAGTGAAAATACCGTTGGAATTTTGATAGGGATGGCATTTAATCTGTATATTGCCTTGGGTACTGTGGACATTTTAATAACATTTATTATTTTAATCCACAAACATGGATATCTTGAAGCTGATGGAGCTTCAGTTTCGCAATTCCTCACTTCCATGAGCTCCTTTCAAAGCCCGAAGAAGAGTCCTAGCAATTTTGTATTCATAATTTTGCATTCTTTTCCTTTGAAGGTCCCCAACGCTTGGAGTGTAACTTGAGTGGAGTACCTGTTTTCCTTTACTTCTCCCACCTAGACCTGAGTGCTTCTGGCCCTGAAACATGTGCAAATTCATCACATGCTGGAGAGCTACGATGCACCTTCTCTGCCCCAGCTAGACCTCCTATTTGCATGGTGGTTTTTAGTTTCAAAGCTCTTTCAATAGTATTGCCTCATTTAATCCTCCTACTAATTCTTCAAGGTAGGTTTAACAGATGTAAGAATCACAGAATATTAGAAGAGGACAAATGGTTTCATATTTAAATGTTGGGGTTTGGAATAATTCAGACAACTACAGGTGCCTCATCTTGCTGGACCTCCCTCCCATTTCTGCACCTTCCTATTTTCATAAATAAAATAGAGATACTAGTAGCACCTTCCCCAGGATCTGTGTAGATTAACTGAGATATGGCACAGAGAGGTATAGACAATTTCTAGGCCACCCAGCTATTGAATGGCAGGTGCCCTGCAGCAGGCTCATGCCCTTTCCACAGCCCACGCACTCTCTTATGTCCTGCCCACTTCTTTCAGTGATGAGAAAGTGAAGATATGGGAGGAGTAAGTGACTTGCTTTGGGTCACAGAGCAAGCACATGACATAATACCCCAATATCACATGCACAAGAAGGACTGCTGGGTGGTGTCGGCAATCCAGCTCTCAAGTCAGCTCTGGGTTCCCATCACAGCTCATCCTTTCTTGTAAGAATTGTAACCCTGGGTGTGTTCCCTTACCCTCTCCACCCCACCTTCCTTACCTATAAAACAGGGTCAACAAAAAATGCTTACTTCAAAGTTTTGATGGGAGTATTGAATGAGTGACTGTGCATAGGACCATCACAGTAGTGCCCGGCACAGAGAAGCCCCCGGCCAGTGTGAGCCGTTGTTATCATTAGTCAGAGTTCACCTGTGCTAGGAGCCCACTGTCTGCTGGTTCTCTGTGATGGCCTTCACCCCCTGGGCATGATGAAGACCTGAGGTCTGCCTACTGGAGCCTTTGTCTGACCCTCTTTTTTGCGTTTTTGCTTTTTCATGGCATCCACTTCAGGATCTTCCAGAATCTTGTGGGGAGGGAAAACATAAAATATAATTACTAAAGGGAGGGAGGGAGCAATGAATCCTAATTAATTATACTTTAAAGAAAAATTTGTCCCCAAAATGGCCAGCAGTGCTGAAGTAGTGTCTGTGGTCATTACTAGGGGACTCAGCAGCTATCAGCCACTACCCTGCACCCTTGTATGGGGCCCAGCCTCACCTCTGATCTTGTCCTTGCTGACGTTAGTGAGCCCTGGGCGTGGGGTTTGCTAAGGTTCACTGTGACCCTAGGCTCAGGCCTCAGCCTCTGGTCATGAGGGCCTCGGGCTCTGTCCCACCCAGGCTGTCTCAGCACCCTCAGGGCCGCCTCCTGGCCCAAACCTAGGGTCCTGAGCAGGGGGTGAACTGTGGCCACATGGAACAAAGGCCACTAGGCTGGGAATGTTTGTCTGCATTGTTTCGGAGGCGTCTGCTATACTCCTTCTGGGGCATCAGGCATCAAAAGATTCCCTGGCTCCTCTCTTGAAAGCTAGCCATGTATCCCTTGCCTTCCATTAAATATACTCATAAATATAAATTAAATGAACCAGTCTTAATTTAAATGAACATGTTAGTACTGTTCATTTCAGTGTGAATACAGGTAATTAAATATTGCTAATGTTATTATTTAGGAGGGTGATTGTGCCTTTTTCTCTTATTTATTGGGTGTTTTTAAAACTTTTGCTTTAAATAAATGCAACCCTACTTTAATGTTTGGCAGAATATTAGTCACAGCCCTGTAAACAATTCCTACATATTTCTCTAAATGTGGGTAGTAAAGTGCACACCCCTCATCTTACTGAAGGTCTTCTCCAGACATTCTGCAGGTAACTGGAGACACAAATATGAACAGGCCCCATTCAGCCCTTCAGGCCCAGGCTATCTAGCAGGGGGTTCCTATTTCCCTCCTGCTGGGCCTGAAATCTCTGCAATAGGAATTGCTCATAGTTAGAGAGCAAAGGCCTCCCTTCTTTGCTCTCAAGAGAGCAGAACTACACAGGAGAGATGACTCTTTTATTTTGAAAAGCTTCCCAAACTGAGCCTGGCAAAAACAATCTAAAATGTTAGAAGAGGTCGAGTGTACGCAAAATTGCTTGGAAATAGGTCCTGTTCCCAGAGCAGCTTTTAAAAGGGTGGCGGGCGGGAGGGGAATAGGAAAGGGAAGGATGGATATAAAAGCAACCAGAACCCAGGAGCACTTGATCCCTGAGGAATGAGCTTGTAAGGAAAGCAACTCAACAAAAAGTCAGCACTACAATGCCGCTTGGACAAGGTTGCCACTTTTCCCAGAAACACTGTCTTTGGAAGACAAGGTTGATAGTAAAACACACAGGCCCTGCTTCCTTTACCTACCTCCCACACCCTGGAGGTTATATTACAACAATTGCATCTGTTTAGATTTGTTCTGTCTTTTCTCTGTCCCATCTGCGAGAGGTGGCACTCTTCTAGCTTCCTATGTTACGATTCTCTGCTATGTTTGGGCAAGTACTATGTTGTCTGGTTTTAAAAACGGAAAAACAAAGAGTTCAGTGACTGACTTAGAAACACACATATTAGTCATCAATGGATCTGAAACTATCCAGTCTCCTGACTGCCATTTAAATATTCTTTTCAAAAGCCAATCCTTAAAAACTCATCATTCTGCAGAAAAGGCTTTTTCCCTGTGTTGGGAATTCATAATCACCATTTTCTTGAAGAATCCAATAATTAGCCTCCTGTGTGATCTCTCTAGTTTCTCTACATTTTATCTAGTGTTGTCTGAAATGTAAGAATCTGAAACCCAAGTTGCAATCATCTTGTCCCCAGCAACTGTTTTACTCTCAAGTTCCTCATCAGATCAGGACCATTGTCCCATTTCATGGCATGGTTAAGAAGTCTAGCCAGCAGCTTTCAACCAGCAAATTCTTTCAAAGCAAGTCATAATTTGCTCCATTGCTAAACAATCAAAGGTCCAGATGCACTCTTTTGTTCTTATCAGCAGAACCATGGCATAAGCATCCCTCCAAGTAATTTCTAACATCTTTATCATCGAGGCTCTCCCCACACGATTTCCCCAGAAGGTTGTGCTGAGGTCCTCAGTCTTGGCCTGATGATCAGTCCTTAGGGCTCTGCACCACTGTGTCTTTATTCCAACACTCACTGAACAAGGTCATATACACGTTATCTCTCCTCCTTATTGTAAAAAAAAAATGCATAGAATCAAATTTAACTATTCCTTGGTGAACACCTGCCATCTGCCAAGCATCCTGTAGGTATTTTAAAACACATTGTCTCACCCACTCTGTATGCAGGCAAACTCAGCTTCTTTTCTAGATAAAAACCTTGAGCTCAGACTTGCCAGCTCCCTGTCTTCTCACTCCTTGCATCTCTCTAGTTCCTCCTGGAAGTTATCCAATCCTCTCCTCGGCCCCATCTGTCAGAGGTAGCAGGCTTCTAGCTCCTACATTGCGATTCTATGATATGTTCACGCAAGCACTATGTTGTCTAGTTTTAAAGGCAGAAAAAACAAAGAGTTCAATAGCTTATCCAAAAACACACATATTAGTCATCAATGGATATAGAGCCATCCACAGTCTTGACTCTCATTTAAGTATTCTTATCAAAAACTGATCCTTAATATTTCATCATTCTTCAGGAGGGCTGCAGGAACTTGGAGTACTACATGTAATAACATACTGGTCATCACTCTTGGCAAATATTGAAAGCTTCACTTGGTCCCTGACACCTAAAGGATAAAGAAGAGCTTGATGATCTGATGTGAGGTAAGGAAAGTGGAGATGGGTAGCCTATATTCACAGTTTTGCAAAAGATTTATTGCATTAGGAGCCCTGTGGGAAATCTTGCTGTTCAGAAGATGAGGCCACAGTTGTAGAACCTTAGACCCCTGGAGGTGTAAGTGGCCTCACAGATCACCACATCCAGCTTGAGTCCACCTGACAACATTTTTGCTCCTTAGAAAGGTCTTCTAGAAAGCAGAGCCAGAGTCAAGGATTAAAGTACTAGCCCTTAACTTGGCAGGTAAAAATCCAAAGGTGTGTACAAGGAAACAAGACAAGGGAATGAGAGGAGCCATGCGGTTGGGTGTGCTGGCTGCTGCTTCATGACAGCCATGAAGAAACTCAGCAGTGGCTTGGCAGGTGTGTCCACAGGGCACAGAGCATTTCTCTGAGAAGTTGCTGAAATTAATGACTTCTTTGGGGGTATTTCACAGATGAAAGAAAGCAAACATGTTTGTCTGCTAAGCTATCTCCCTTCTCCCAGTTCTTACTAGTCAAGGTTCACCATGAGGCAAGATATTTCCCTCACACTTCCCAGTAGCAACACTGGCTGTTTGGTGAAAGTCCAAGACACATGAGATCACGTTGATTCATATCTGGAAGAGGAGTGGTGGTTTGACACACGTGGGCTTGGCCTTTGGGCACATGAGCCTTGGAGCCCAGGGTGCAACTCAGACACCAATCTGCTCAGGGATCATGGCAGAAATGGCCCCAGGAAGTGGGAAATGTTTTTGGACAGCAGGAGGCAGTTATGGGACTCTCAGAAGGTGCACAAGATTTAGGTCCAAAACATCTACTAAGTGATCATTCAGCAACTAATGTACATCTCCAATATGGAGGAACTCATTGCTTCATCAAGAAACCTCTTTTTTTTTATTAAGCAAAAATCTATGATCCCTTAGAAATTTAGCCTCTTACTCTAGTTATGTCCTCCCAGAACCACGTAGAACAATTTTAACCCATCATCCACATGATGGTTCTTTTGTCTGTTTGGGACTTCAGGTGTCGAGCTTTGAGTTCTCGTGGTATTGTTGGCCTGTACAGGATCTCATTCCATGCTTCCATTCCTCCCTCCTCTGTATGCCACAATTATAAGGTGGTTTATGTGTATCTGATTATTTGTATGTCTTCTCATAAAAACTATGTTGTTTTGTGTGCATACACTTTTAATTTACCTGAAGGGATTGTGCTCATGGTATTTTTTTACTTTTTTCACTTAGTTATGTTTTTAATATATAGCCATGTTGCTGTCCTGTTCATCCAGGAATGAACACCTACTTTGCCTCTTATGCCTATGCAAACAACAGGTTTTAATGCTTGTTATTTTATAAGAATGTGTTAGAATTTTTCTAGAATACATACCCAGAAGTGGTATATAGTCTAGAAAATATATTTCTGGTGGAGTTTCGGGGTCATTGGGTATAAACATACTTAGATTGACTAAGTACTTCCGGATTAATCTCCAAAGTGGCTGCCCGTCTATATTTTCACCAACAGCCCATGAGATTCTTACATTCCTACATTTTCACCAATATTTTCATTTTCTCACTTTTTCAATTGACATTTCTCATTTAAGTGCAAAGAAATGTTATCATTCTAGTTTATGGTTTCCTAATCACTAATAATTTTGAATATCATTTTGTATGTTTGTCAGCCTTTTGGACTTTTCTTCCATGAATTACTTGTTACATATTTTTTGGTTGTGTCGTCTTTTACTTATTCTTGATAGATTCCTAGCTAGCAGAGATATTAGCCTCTTTTTTTAGTGTATTGATTGCAAATATCCTCTCTTATGTTTTTATATCTGCTTGTCTTGTCCATGGTATCCTTCATTGGACATGAATTTTTAATTTTAATGTAATCGTTGTGCCTTATGGTTTTCTGCTTTTAAGGTTATGTTATGTTTTTTTTCACCTTCAATGGGTAATATGTCAATGCTATAATAAGGCTTTAAGGAGGCACATTTCACACGTTAGTGTGAAAAACCAATCATCATGCTTATGATCCACAAAAGGATCTAAGGTTATGTTTAAAAATCCGTTCCTCCTCCAGAAGTTAATACTGCATTCTTCTACATTATTTGATTATTTTATAGTTAATATCTCCATTTCTTAGGTCTTTTGCCCATCTGCAACACCTCTTTCTAAATGATGTTGGGTAAGAATCTGGTTTTATTTTCCTCCATAAAGAAAGCCACCCAGGGATGTGTTGGAGCAGCTTGTGCCATGTGGCAAGAGCCAATTGTTAAATATTGAGGAATTTTGTAAGCTGGTTGCTAAATTGTTGGCAGTTTGAAATAGGCCGTGCTGGGAGTTTTTATACCATGGGAATTATCAATAAATCAAGTATTTTTTCCTTTAGGGGACTGGTTTACCACTACGCCATTGAAATGTCTACTGAATGTTCCTTTCTTTATTGATCTATACTGCTACTTTTATCATATATTAAGTTCCCATATACAAGGGATCTTGTCTGCGACTTTTTATGCCATTTCATTGGCCTGTTTGTCTATTCTTATCTGGTGCCATACTGTTTTTATTACTGTGTCTTTGAAGCTTATCTTAGTGGCTCATAGAGCAAGATCCCACTCTGTGCTCCTCTTTTTTAAAGTTGACTTAACCCTTCATAGACTATTACATAGTAGAATATTATGTCCTAAACCATTTTAGAATAAGTTTAACAAGTGCCTTACAAATATATCTGGCATTTGATTGATGTTTTGAAGCTATGAAACAATGTTGGGAGAGTTGATATTTTCAAAAAGTCCATCCAAGAACATGACTAACTCTCTATTTATTCAGATTCTGTTGTACAAAGTTGAATTAAATTTTAATATTTTTCCAAATTGCTTTTATTCATTATTTGCTAATTCCTGATGCTTTACAGATATTGTCACAATTCTGAATGGCATTTTTTTAAGAATATTTTCCAGTTGATTGCTGTTAATGCTATTAATTTTTGAATTATGAATAAATTTTTGAAACATGCTAATTTTTTGAAATTTGACCTTGCCAAAAACTCTTATTATTTCAGTTGGGTTTTGTTGAATTTTCTATGATCATAGTGTTTTAAAATATGATAGGTTTATTTCTTCGTTTTCTATCTTCACACTGCATTTTCCTTTCTTGATAATGATGGACAGCATTTATACCACCACATTTTGCTGTAGCAGTGCTGATAAGCATTCAACAGAGCTTGGCCCAGAAATGATCTGATATTGGAACTATCATAAGGATGTTAAATATTTTAATAAATAAATATGTAAGTACAGATGTTAAATATGCTAAAAAACTATAGTACAACAAGTAGACAATAATGCTTGAACAGATGGTGGATGTCAGCAGAGAGATATAAACTATAACCAGAGTCAAATGAAAATGTTAGAAGTGAAAAACATAGTATCAGAGATGAAGAACTCTTTCAATGAGTTTATCAGCAAACTGGACATATCAAAATAAAACATCCGTGAACCTAAAGATAAGTAAATAGAAATTAAGCAAAGTGAAACACAAAGAAAGAACAAAGAGAAAAAATACAGCAAGGGATATAAGGCTATGGGACAACATAAAATACCTAAAATTGGAGAAGGTGGAGAGGAGAATAGGCAGAAGAAATATTTAAAAAGACTGGCTGATAATTATTTTTTAGTTAATGAGAGTCAACTAATTACAGATTGAAGAAGCTCAAGAAAACTGAAGCAGGATTAAAAAAATATATACTTGTCTACATCATAATGAAACTATAGAAAACCAAAAATGAAAGAGAAAATCTTGAAGAGAGCCAGAAAGTTTCAAAAGGAACAACTTACACACAGAGAAAAAATATATAAGAATTATGGACAACTTCTCATCAGAAGTTAACTAAGCCTAAAGAAAATGGAGAGACATCTTTAAAGTACTAAAATAAGCATCAGTCAACCAAGAATTCTATATCCAGTGAAAATGTCTTAGAAAAATGAAGGCAGAATGAAGAGATTTTAGACAAACAAAAGCTGAGAGAATTTACTGCCAAAAATATTGAGGACATTTTTTTTTAGAAAGAAAGAGTAAGATAGCAGATGGAGGCTAGGCGCGGTGGCTCACAACTGTAATCCCAGCATTTTCGGAAGATGAGATGGGTGGATCACTTGAGGTCAGGAGTTCAAGAACAGCCTGGCCAACATGGGGAAACCCCGTCTCTACTAAAAATACAAAAATTAGCCAAGAGTGCTGGGGCACGCCTGTAGTCCCAGCTACCGGGCAGGAGAATTGCTTGAATCCAGGAGGCGGAGGTTTCAGTGAACCGAGATTATGCCGTTGCACCTCAGTCTGTGTGACAGTGGAGACTCTGTTTAAAAAAAAAAAAATGACAGCAGATGGCAATTTAGATGTATACAAAGAAAAAAGTGTGCTAGAACAAATAAAAATACAGTTAAATAAAGTAGAAACTTTTCTTATCTTTAAAAGAGAACCGAACAACAAAACACACTAACAGTGTGTTGGGGGGCTTATAACATACATAGAAAAGAAATGACAGTAATAGCATGAAGTAATACAATATTATTTGCATGTATATATGTGTGTGTGTGGGGGTGTGTGTGTGTGTGTGTGTGTATTAGCCAGGATACAAATGAAAATCACTCATCATATCATGAACCAGGAAAATATCAACTTGAATGAAAAAAGACAATTAAAATATACCGACACTGAGATGACAGAGATGTTGAAATTATCTAACAAGGATTTTATAGAAGCCATTATAAAAACACTTTGACAGAAAATTATGAACATGTTTTAAACAAATAAAAAATACAAAGTCTCTACAAAGAAATAGAAAAAAATACGAAGAAATGAAGAAGAAACACGCACAAATTTTAGTACTGAAATATATGATAACTGAGTTCAGCAGAAGAATGGAGAAGACAGAAGAAAGAACCAGATGAATCAAAGATAAAACAATTCAAACTACCCAATTCTAACAATAGAGAAAAAAACTTTTGTTTCAAAAAAACAAAATAAACAGAGCCTCAGAGATTTGTGGTACTATAACAAAAGATCTAATATTGATTTAATGAAAGTCTGGGAAGAAGAGAGGAAAGAGAATGAGGCTGAAAATGTGTTCAAACAAGTAATGACTAAACATTTTCCAAATTCAGCAAGAGACATAAACCTAAAGATTTAAGAAGCTGAGTGAATCCCAAACAATAAAAACCCAAAGCAATAGTTTCCAAGACACAATGTAATCAAACTTGTGAAAACTAAATGCAAACAAAAAAATCTTTAAAGCAGCAAGAGGAAAAAAAAAACATAATTTAAATGACAGATTTCTCATCAGAAACAATGGAAGCCAGAAGGACATGACACAAATTTTTCCAGTGATAAAAGAAAAGAAACTGAAGTCCTATATTCAGCCAAAATAGCCTTTAGAAATGAACTTATTAAAAAAAATTAACTCACTCTCAGATATAGTAAAACGAAGAGAATTTGTCACCAGCAGACCTATCCTAAAAGAATGGCTAATAGAAGTTCTTGAAACTGAAAGGAAATCAAAAGCAGAATCTTGGTAACATTAGGAAGGATAAAAGAACATGGAAAAAGCAAAAAATTACTTGTAAATGGATTTTTTTCTATTTTTAAGTTTTGTAAGTTATGTTTGACTTTGAAGTCAAAATTACAACGCAAAAATTTTCTGGTATGGTTCCAAATGTACGCAGAGGAAATACTTAGTAAATTATATTACAAATGGAGGAGGGCAAAGGGACTTAAAAGGAAGTAAGGTTTTTACAGTTCACTCAAATTGGTAAAATGTCAACACCAATAGTCTTTGATGAATTATATATGTACAATATCATACTTGGAGGAATTATTAAAAATACACACACATAGTTATAGTCAAAATACTACAAATATATAAAGATGGAATTCTAAAAAATTAAGTAACCCACAGGTGAGCAAGAACAAGAAAAAAAGAGAAATAAAAAAACAGAAAAAACACAAAGAAAATTAAAAGGCAGACTTACACTTGAGCATATGAGTAATTACAATAAATGTAAATGATCTGAATTTACCAATTATAAGACAGAGATTGGCAGAGTGGATTTAAACTATGTCCCAACTATCTACTGTCTGAACTCTCTTTTATTAATAGCAATATAAGTAGGTTAAAAATGAAAGTTTGAAAAAAGATGTACCATGGAAACATTAATTAAAAGAAAACAGAAATTCTTTTCAGGAATTCTTTTTATAAATCAGAGAAAGTATGCTTCAGAGTATAGAAAATCACCAGGTACAGAAAAGGACATTATATAATGACAGAAGGTCGATCCACCAAGAAAACATAGCAATCCTAAACATTTATGCATCAAGCAACAGAGCTGCAACATACTGAAATGAGAAAAGTTCCCTTGTCCCCCTTGCAGGGTGTGTGATGGGGGTGTGGCTCACTTCTTCCGTGCCCTGCTGCTCAAACCCCTAAGGGGAGCATGCAGATGGGCAGGCTGTGGGGTTCTGACCCCACAGCAGTGCCTAGGGGTGAATGTTTACAGTTCCTGAAGCCCCAGTAGGCGTGTGTTACAGGGTGCTCTTTTAGTTTAGCCATCTGTAGGCAGCTTGTGTTAGTCAGCTCAATTAGACCCTCTGCCTTATCACAAGGACAGATGGCTTTCTGTATCCCAGGGTTTCTTGCCTTGGTGTACCAAAAGAATCAGAGGACACGTGGGACTGGAGAATGAATGCAAGGTTTTATTGAGTGGAAGTAGCTCTCAGCAGATGGGGGAGACAGAAGGGAGATGGAGTGGGAAGGTGGTTTTTGGCTGGAGTCAGGCCGGCTCTCCTCCAACCACCCCGCCAAACTCCATGTTGTTCTGCCAGTCAATGGCCTGCCAGTGTCTGTCTGTGTGCTCTTCTGCCAGCGTGCTCCTTTGGACGTCTTCTTGATGTCCAGCCACTTGTGTGTTCTTCTGCAAATATGTTCCTCTCAACGCCAGCTGTTTGTGTCCCGTCCTGCTAGGGTCTTAGGGTCTTTATAGGCACAGGATGAGGGCATGGCAGGCCAGAGTGGTCTTGGGAAATGCAACATTTAGGCAGGAAAACGGAAATGCCTGTCCTCACCTAGGTCCATGGGCACAGGCTTGGGGGTGGAGCCCTCACCTGGGAGCATGCCCTTCCCTTCTCAGCACTTCTCTGCCCCCTTCTGTATCAATATGTGAAGCAAAAACTGATAGAACCAAAAAAAGAAATAGGTAAATCTATTATTGTAGTCGGAGGCTTCAACACCTCTCTCTCATCAACTGCTAGAACATCTAGACAGAAAATCAGAAAATATGTAGAACAACTCAGTAGTTTATAGAACACTTCACTCAGTAACAGTAGAATATACATTCTTTTCAAATGCTCACAAAGCATTTACTATGCGCTGTGATTGGAATGTGTTCCCCAAAGTCCATGTGTGATAAACTTAATCTCCAATGCAGTAGTGTTGGGGGTGGGGCCTAATGGGAGTTACTTGGGTTATGAGGGCACCATTATCGTGATTGGATTAATGCTATTATCATGGGAGTGGGTTTTTTATAAAAGGGTTAGTTTGGCCCCTTTTTGTCTCTCTCTCTCACTGTTTCCTTGCCCTTCTGCCATGTGATGATTTCTCCCGTGTTAAGATGCAGCAAGAAGGCTCTTACCACATGCCAGCCCCTCAATCTTGAACTTTCCAGCATCCAGAACTGTTAGCCAATACATTTCTGTTTATTATATATTACCCAGTCTGCCATATTTTGTTATAGCAACACAAAATGAACCAAGACAGCAAGATAGATCATATACTGGGCCATAAAATAAATCTTAACAAATACAATAGAACTGAAATAATACAGACTGTCTTCTCTGACCACAATGGAATCAAACTAGAAATAAATGACAGAAAAAATAACAGACATACCTTCAAGCACTTAGAGACTAAATAACACATTTCTAAATAATCTATGGGTTAAAGAGGAAGTATCAAGGAAAAAAATTCAAATAATATGTTGAGCTGAAAGAAAATGAAAATACAACATAAGAAAATTTGTGGGACACAGCTGGAGCAATGCTGAGGAGGAAATTTATGGCACTAAATGTTTATGTTAGAAGAGAACAATTCACCGGTAGTTCTGGGAAAATCTTCAAAAACTGAGAACTAGTTACTATTTCAAGCTCGTGCATTTCTAATTCTTTCAAGTTCCACACGTTCAAGAAATATTATTATATCAAATGAACCTGCTCAAACATTTCTTTGCTTGAATTTAGAAAAATTTTTTCTCTTTGTTTTTATCAAAGCTTAACAAGCGGTAGGTTGGTTTTACCAGAATGTTTTGGATCCTAAGCAAACAAAGATGGAAAGAATGACTATGATTTGATGTTCATTTGGGGGTTTGTTTGGACATTTAATGAGTTATCAGCTCAGAGTATCATATCCACAGCTGAACCTTGCCATTGATAAGAATCTGAAAGTGATCAATTCAAGAACTCACCACAGTAACAGAATGAGCATGAATCAAGAGCAAGACATCTTTATTGTAACACCTCTATCCTGTCTGAGGGATGACAGTTTCAAGGATATTCCCAACCTCATAGACCAGAGATTCTCAGTATGGTTGGATATTTTTTTTTCACTTCCCATCTAAACTTGGAAAAAAAGAATGAGAAATCTCAATCAAGATGCTGGTCATAACAAAGTATTAGTCCAGCTAACAGGGCAATAAAGAATATCTGACTTTTGGCCAGGTGCAGTGGCTCACGCCTGTAATCCCAGCACTTTGGGAGGGTGAGGCAGGCGGATCACCTGGTCAGGAGATTGAGACCATCCTGGCTAACAAGGTGAAAGCCCATCTCTACTAAAAATACAAAAATTAGTTGGGCGTGGTGGTGGGCACCTGCAGTCCCAGCTACTCGGGAGGCTGAGGCAGGAGAATGGAATGAACCCTGGAGGCGGAGCTTGCAGTGAGCGGCGATTGAACCACTGCACTGCAGCCTGGGCGACAGAGCGAAACTCCTTCTCAAAAAAAAAAAAAAAAAAAAAAAAATCTGACTTTTGGGTATATTTTGCAGTTGGTTTAGAAATTAGTGTTTATCCACAGCCTCTTATTTTTCAGGAATGCTGTCTAAAATATAGCAGTCTTTCAGTAAATGGATGTGTCATTACTGCTGTGGTTAGTGTTATTATTAAAGATGACTGGCATGTGGAATTAAAACCCCTGGCCATAGAGCGAGGCCAACTGGATGAGGAAAGAGAGGCGGGGAAGGGGAAACTTGCCCAGGATCACACATGAGTTAGGTTCTCAGGATAATGACAAAAATGGGACTAGAATGGTCGCTTCGAGGATGAAATGAAAACAAGCTCAGGAAGACACCTTTCAAGAACTTTAACTTCATACAAATGTAATAAATAAAAGTAAGAAGTTGTTTCAAATAAAAGCCTGATAAATGAAAAACAGATATACAATTGCAGAAATAAGTACAAATATATCCAGTAGTCAAATTAACTATAAAATAATTTAGCTCACGTTAAAAAAAATAGAGGTTAAATTTTAAAATTCAGCTATGTGCTGATTATATGAATGAAAATAAATCAATTTTGAAAATATAATATTGAGTTTTAAGAAATGAAGTGGTTTTTCCTGGATGACACTATTTTTATATAATCTAAAAACACAGAGAGTGGTCCTACGTATAGTTTATGGATACATAACATACAACGTAAAAAAATTAACTAGAAGGACACTCACCAAATTCATGACACTGGTTCTGTAAGGAGGTGAGCAAGTTTGCACTTGGGTGTCAAAGATGGATGCAGCTTTGTCTTCTACATATTCCATTTTAATAAAACTCAGAACAAAAAAATGACTACATGTTAACTTTTTCTGTATTTTATTGTATCTGGGTGTTTGCATATGCTTTTGCTTTAAAAAATCAAATAAAGGAGAAAGATCTTTGGAATGAAAGCAGACAGCACCGATGCATTCACTGCCAGGGGAAAGCAGGTGCAAGGCTCCATGGGAACGATGACCTTAGTAGATTCTCATCTGAAAATGGGCATAACTTTGCACTTTTATTGCTCTGGACATTAATAAAACAGTGTACATGTACAAAAGTGTACTGTGCTTGAATGGGAATTAAACGTATGCAAGAAAAATGCAGGGACAGTGTTCCTGTCTGGCTTAAACTTTGGTACTATGTGTAACACACACTACAATAGGGGTGGTGTGTTTCCTACAACAGGAACTAGTGGCTACTATGGAATTCTGAGAAACTCAGCAAGATTGTATTGGCATCTGAAAAAAGAGCATTATCAATAGTTTTGGGGTTACATGAGGATGGAGTGACATGTTTTCAGTCTGCATTCTATAAGTAACACATGTTTAGGTTACGATATTGACTATGATTGCTAAGCTTTAAGGAATACACTACGATGGCCCAGTCCTGTCCCTGATTTCATTGATTTCCTTTTCTTCTGATAACTTGAGGTTATGGCCTTGAAGAAATTTATAAGGCACAGGAAGAGTGGTATTTGTTTGCCTGGTACAGAGTACCTAACATTAACAAGGGGAAAAAGTTTTTCATTCAATTGTTTAAATTAAATGATTGGGCAAGCCGCTGGATTTCCGTGTTCCTAAGAAAATGCAGTTGGAAAGTCATATGTAAATGAGAACTCACTGAAAACTGCTTCTTGCATCTAAGCCAACATTTCCTGGTTGAATGGCTCTTAAGAATCACATTAAAGCCTATTCATTATTTTAATATTGAAGGCCAACTTCTCACAAACTCATCCACCCAGGGAGTCCTCACCATCAGCTGTGAAAGGCACAGGACTTGGAGCTCTGAGAATTGCTGAGAATTGATGTAATGATCTCTGGCAAAGCACAAGTGTGGAGCCCATCTGTCTCCTTAGGGCGAGAAAGGGTAATAAAGAATGCTAAGTAAAGGAAAACCCTGGGACAGAGAAGTCACTGAGCAGCAGCTCTCTGCAATGTGGGTCTTGACACGGACACACACACACACACACACACACACCTGTCCACACACATCAGGTTGTTCAAATGTGGGTGGTTGTTCAAATGGTCTTGTGTGTCTCTGCTGGCACATTTCTTCTTATGATTTCTTTTTATAAACTTCAACAATAAAATTGACTTCTATGATCTTAGACCCTTAGTAAATGAAACCTGTTCATTTTCACTAGTAGATTTAAATGTCACAAAGCTGGTATTTTACATGAAAAAGGTCAAGCTTATAAAATACTTCTACATGAAATCCCCTGAAACAGAGACCATAGGATTTTCCCCCCTTTTGTCAGAGGCACAACAGACAAATACGTGGGTTCAAAAATATTAAAGGACTGCCTATCCTCCCCCGCTTCCTGTTCATAGAATGAAATCAGAATACTTTTATCGACTTGGGCTATTCAAGAATCATGTAACATAGAAATATTTTTAAAATTATTTAATTCAAAAGCAAGTTATATGTAGGTTTAAAATACAATCATACCCTGTATAATGATGTTTTTGGTCAATAACTGACCACATATATGACAGTGGTCCCATAAGATTATATTGCCATATTTTTACTGTACCTGTTCTACGTTTAGATACACAAATACTTACCATTGTGTTAGAACTGCTTATAGTATCCAATACAGTCACATGCTGCACAGGTTTGTAGCCTAGGAGCAATAGGCCGTATAATATAGCCTGGGTGTGTCGGCTCTACCATCTAGGTTTATGTAAGTACATGCTGTGATGTTTGCACAATGACAAAAATCACCTAATAATGCATTTCTCAAAACGTATCCCCATGGTTACGTGAGGCATGACTGTCTATTAAGAGACACCCATTTCTTTTCTTGGTGACATGCTGTAAATATCTATGAAAATAGGAAATATTGATGAATTTTGGACCTTACTACCTCAAGGAAGAATGACCAGGAAATGAAAATCTTGAGATTTGAAAACCCGTCATTTTTCTAGGCTTCAGTTTGCCTAATTTCTCTCTCATTTTCTCTTCTTTCCTTTTTCTACTAATCTTGTGAATCCATTTTGGGAAGAAGTGGGCCCTAGAGTCACCCTCTCTGCCCTCTAACAGGACCCGGCTTGGGGATGACGGCAGATCCTATCTCCCTTCTCTCCAGTCTCAATTCTAGCAAGCAGCATCTTTCAGCTTATGTTGGGGAGTGAAGCAGGATCTGTGACCTAGGACCGAAGCTGGCGCCTGGCGGGACGACTCAGACACCAGACTTTGGACCACAATACCATCAACTATTAGTGTCTGTCTCTCCAGGATCCCTAGCAACTAATGTTATTTTTAGTGACTGACTCTTTAATATGTACTGCTTGTGAATATGAATTTAAATGTTATGTCCAGGGCACACAGCAGTGCACACAGCACTAGCAGTTGGGGCAATTGAGGTATTAATTTTCTACTCGGTAACTCGCATCGTCATCCACAACCTGCAGAGCAAAGCCCAAACTCTGTACCGCAGCACTCAAGACCCTCTATTAGCTGACTCCATCCTAACTGCCTAGTGCCATGTTCCAGTCACAGGACCTGGGGTCCTGTCATACAGACATGTTCCATTTCCAAATAAGCCATGCAGAGCTCTGCATCTGTGCTGAGCTGCTCCTTCGGCCGAGAAGGTCGTTTCTGTCTTCTGTGGCTGAAACTCATGCTCCCTCAGGGTCCACAGCTGTGTACTAAGTGCTGGTGCTGGCACAGTGATGCACGTCCTTCTCACATCAAACTCGGACAGGGCTAGGGTGTGGCCTCAGAACAGCCCACTTCTCCTTAGCAGCACATTATCTGTCATCTACTTATGAGTTCAAAAGTGGAGATGACAGAAACAAGGAAATAAAAGTGCATCTTCAACATAAGAGGAAGTGCACAGTCTCACTCATAATAAGAAAAATGCTAAGTAAAAATTCCAGCAAGATACAGTTTCTAATCCAGCAGTTTGGCGGAAAGAAGAGAAGTTGGATGAAACAACTATGGTCAGGCTGTCAGAAAAAGGGCATTTTCGTGTAGAATTGGAAGGTTTGTAAATGTGTAAAACCACTGAGGATGACTATCTCGAAATACCTAGTAAATTATAAATACACCCTATCCTTTGACCCAGAAATTCCACTTCTAAGAATATATCCTACATATAGCAGTACACATGGGAAATAATATATGTTCAAAATGATCTAATGAGACCTCATTGTAACTGCAAAAGAATGTAAACGACCCATATCCATTTGTAGGGATTGATTGAATATATCATAGTGCAGTCACACAATGCAACTACAAAAAGAACAAGGCTTCCGTATGGACCGATGAGGAAATCTCTAAGATTTATTGTGATGCTAGCTATGGACAGTGCAGGCAATATTCAAGTGGGGGAAATAGATATCTGTATTTGCTTTTACAAGCACAAAGAAAATCTCTGAGAGGATATACAAGAAACCAATAATTATGGTGACTTGTTAATTGTGTTCTAATTTGGAGATGAAGGAATCTGAGTAGATGGAGAATGTGGTAGGAGGAAGATCTTGATCATAATTTTTTACATTTTCTGATTTGTAACCTTGTTAATGTGTTACCTGGTCAAAATGTTTAGACTATTAAAGTGGACTTGTCATTTCCTGGGCTAACTCCAAGCATTGGGACTAGCTGCTTAAGTTGCTGCGCTGAGAATTCTGAGCCTTCCCCTGGCTCATTGGGAAGTTGTCATGATTAATTATCTGCACGGGGGTGCGGGGGGTGAGTCAGAGGAGAGGAGCGGGGAGGAGAAAGGGGAAGGGGAGGGGAAGGAAGGAGACCTCAGCTTTGCCTTTGTGGTACCGGCTTCTTCTAGGCTGAAACAGCTCTTGGAATAAGTAAGATAAGTTTATTACCATCTGTTTTTCCTTTTATTTTGACAAAAATGACTTATTTCTTGGGACACAATGATATTACTTAATGGTAGTGTTCTGTGATTTGAGAAACAAGTACACCTCAATCCATTCCATTCAAAACGTAATGAAAAGACCCACAGAACTGAAGGAGGAAGGTTGGAATAATTCTGCCACCACTGTGGGGAGCTTCTGTCATGTTGGAAGTCACTGAAACCATTTTTATATCCTTTTATGAAAAATGGAGTCAGCTGTATCTATCTTGCTCTTTCCCCCAGGATGCCGTCAGATTCAATGAAGACAATACACGGGCTTTGTTCCTGTAGAAAAGGACATGACAGTCAGCTGGAATAATGCCGCTGTCCCTGCTGTTCCCTACCAGGCAGCAGCAGCCTAGGTGCTCTCTGCGGTCCCGCAAAATGTGGCAGTCAGAGCCATGTGGGGTGCCAGAGGCAGGCACTGTTCAAATGGAGGGTGGTAGTCCTATCTTTGTGCTCTTCCTGGTAATGGTCAGCTTTCAGTGGGTCCTCCAGATGACAGCAGAAGCATAGGCTGATGACTTGAGTGCACAAATTATATAATAGTTCCTGGGGTTGTTCTTGCAGTGAAACTAGGGCAGGGGGGCTCAGAGCCCACCCATGGTTTTATAAGAAGAATCTCTTCCCCCAAGGATGTTACAGTAGAGTTTGCACACAAAGACTCATCTGCCATGTTGCTCTGGGTCCTCCGTGGTGGCCCTTAGATCACAGCCTTGGTCTTTTTGGCAGACACCTATTCTTTTACTTTTCTTTTAAGTTCAGAGGTACATGTGCAGGTTTGTTATATAGGTAAACTTGTGTTTTTAAATTTTTATTATCTTTTTTTTAGCAAACATTTATTCTTAAGGCAGGCAGCAGACACTTTACATCCTGTAAAAATAAACTTAACGCACATGATCAAGCCCACAAGTGTGTTTCTGCTTTGTTGGTGCTAGTTCTCCAACCCCAGGGAGATGGCCTCGGAGACTTCTAGGTTAGCAAAGCACATTTAGCAAAGCACGTAGAGGGGGCATCCTCGTGTCCTGCTCACTAAAGGACATACGCATTAAAGCAAATGTGTCTCCAAATAAGTTCAAGACTTTCTGAATGTCTCTGTTGTGCAAGTACCATTGGTAAGATTTAACGCCACCCTGACATAGGAAACTGCACTCTTGCCCATACAAAGGAACCTAGGGACAGCTGGCTGCTAGCCAAAAAAGTAGTTAGCAAGAATGGACACTTGGTGTTAGAATACGTCTGAGAAACACTATAATTTATTATTATTGTTTCTACTTGTACTTTGATACGTTGGCTTCCTCAGAGTACAATCCCCTTGAGTTGAAAGAAACAAAACTGGCCAGAAGTGAACTGGTGGGAAAAATTAATCCCTGTCACCGTCTTCAAAGGGACCAGTGTTCCTGGAGAGAAGGACTCTCTGGCCCCACCTGGAGCCCTCTGCAGGGCATCCTTCCTGCCTCCAAGCCCAGTTCAACCCTCTGTCACCTCTGCACCATGGGCCTGAGGCACCACTGAGGGCAGCCCTCACCATTCCTTGGTGGATCCCGAGGGAAGGTTATTCTGTAGCATAGATTGTGAAAAGGCCTGGCTGAAGCTTTACAGTGATATTTGCATCTTGAGAAAGTTTTGCCATCATGAGAGTAGAAAAAAAATTCCTTCACTCTGGCATTCTGTCTCCCTCTGAGGTGGGGTCACTAGATGCACAATTTTGATTTTCAGATTAAAAGGCCCTGATGCTTTTGTGGCTGGCTGGGTAATCCTCGGCCACACAGATCCATTGTCCCTCTTGAACTCACTATAAATGGGGAATAAGCTCCTTCCATGAGCTCCTTAATTTCCTCAGAGGCTGAAACAACTCCCTGGCAACAGTGGTCCAGCTTTGCATCCATGCAGGGGGATTTGCAAGGCTGGTCCCCACCCCCACCCCAGGCACACAAAAAGGCTTCTATTTTTTTCAGAGATTACATGGTGGGCAGAGAAAGAGCAGCTGAAACACGTGACACGTGACAGGGTGTGAATAGCTGCGCCGCGCCGGCACTGAGTCTGTGGCTGATTTACTGAGGGGGTTTCCTTCGCTGACGGTCTGAAGGCGGGAGCTGCTGTCCACCATGATAATAAGCCTGCATGTCCTGGAAATGCTCCGAATGCCTGCCTTTTGAAAACTGGAGGGACTCAAGAGCCTTTGGCTTATCAGAAGTAAAGTAAATAAAAGGAATACGCAGAGAGATCCTTATTGCCTAAAACCCACTGACTCCCATGAAAGTTTCTGATAAGGCTTTTAAGAATATCGTCTTATTCTAACGTTCAAAGCAGCTTTGATGGTAAGGCTCTGAACTCGCCAGCCCTAGGCCCAGCCTGGCACATGGGCCACAGGGGCGGGGCATGTGTCCCTGCAGGGACAGGGAGGGCCCAGCCTACAGCTCTCTCCCACCAGCTTGGTGCCTGCAAGCCCACCATTCTCTCTCCATGCCATTGTGCTGAGCACAGAAGTCCTGAGCGGATCACAAGCCCAGTCTGCTCTTCCTGCCAAATGGTTCAATCGGAGCCAATTCCTTCCTCTATTCTCAGAGATTCAGGGCAACCCGAGAGAATAGGACCCTAAGAGGATTAAACACCCAGGGCGGAGAGATGGTGATGCCGAAAACAAGCAGAGGAGAGGAAAATTGTACTGGGGATTCACCTATTGTGAAGGCTGCAGGCTTTTGTTACTTTGTCTCATCGCCAACTCTAGTGGCAAACTAGGAAAATTGAAGGTGCCGAGTTTTAACTCTAGTTGTTAAATTGTACAGGGTTCCCGGAATCTCCTAACTTCTCCTGTTGCTCACAAATGTGGTAACTAGAAAAAACAGTTTAAAAACTTGGCATCCTTCAAAAGTATCTTAAAATAGATTTATATTTGTAGGTACGATCAATTTTCAAATGGCCCTTTTTAAGCCTGGAAACAAAGTTAAACTCCACAATATTGCAAAATTAGAATCTGCAATTGAACTAAAACTTTATACATGGGATTTGCGGTCTTTCTACATCTCTGGTTCAGAAATGAATTTGGAATTCAAGACAATTTATCATCTCTTAAGGAAAAATGAACTGGGAAACAAAAGCGGACTGAATTTGTATTGATATTAACCCAGTCTTGCGGGTGTTGTTGCTGTGTTATTTCACCCCAGTCTTCACATCTGCAAGCACTCACTCTCATCTGTCAATTACGCAACTGCAATTTTGATCAAAATGAAACACTCCGCACTGAGATAAAAACAGGGCGTGGTATTCTTTTTTGGACTAGGAGATTTGGATAAAACGTGATAACACTGTGGTTGAACTCTGCAAACACTCCCGATCATTCACACAATTTCGGCTTCACTCTGTGGTTTGGATGCAGATTGTGGAAATCACAGCCTGGACCCGGAGAACTTGTCGCAGCAGCAGCAGGGTTTCCGGACCCAGTATCTCCCTTCCCTTTGCTCTCCTGACAGCTGCCTGCATCTGGAAAACATTAAATAACCTCATCCTTTATGTGGATTCATTATGCTCTTCAAATTCATTATCAATTATCAACTGACTGTGAAGAATGTTTGAAATCAAAATGAAGAGGAAGTAATTAATGATGAAGAGTAGGATCTAGAAGGAAAGGTGAGCCCTCCTGGGGTTAGGACACGGAGCTGAATGCTGCAGCCACTGCGTGTTTCCTTAAATTCAATGGCATTTGCAATACTTTTTAAATAAGTGGAAGATAAGAAATTTGGCTCCATTGTATGTAAGAAGTAAAGCCAAGTCTCAGTGGTATATCTTCAATGGCACTGGAAGGTTTACATGGAAAAGCCAGACTTTTGGAGTATTGCTATCTGTAAAGGGAAAATATAAACAACCAGAACAACCTATCTGAGAATGGAACTCCCAAAGCAGTATGACTTAGATCAAATGATTTTTAAGGGGTTTCAGCCCTTAAATCAAATGATTTATACAAGGGAGGGGGTTCCATCATCCAGGGGACTCCCTCCTGCCTTATAAATCATGTGATCTAAGGGCTGAGACCCCATTGTGAACAGAGAAGGCCTGCCTTCGAATCTGCCACCAACTGGGGATGGGAAGCAACCTTTGACAAGATAGTTATTCTCTTTGTGAATCCAAAGCTGGTTTTTGGAAACCTGAGCCTCAGAAATTGGCGCTTAGAATGTGTAGTCCTACATTGGGCAACGAGACTATTTCTGTGCTGGGAGTATAGCCCCCTCTTCCCATATCACCCATTTACCTGCCTCTCATCCCATCAGCTGGGCGGGAGGGCAAGGCCAAAGGGCTTCCATCCTTCACTGTGAGGAATGCAAGTTCCCTACACGAGAGGGAGAGAGAGCTCATTATCAAGAGGTCTTTCCTCCCCAGGCAGCTTCAGAGAACCATCTGTTGATGTGGCCAGGAAATGCTGGCTGAGATCCCAACAAAGGAGCCGAGAAGTCCTGGCCAATGTCTGGCACCTGTGTAAATGTCTGTCACAGCAAGAGTGACCCCCATAATTACCTCGACCTTATTCAAGCGAGAAGTGCCCGTCAGCCTGAGCCCGGTTTGAGAGGCACGCCTGCTGCTCCGTCCCTCCCCCGTGAGCGCGCCAGCTGAATCTCCAGCTCAGCAGCAGCCCCAAAGCCCCCATCATCAGAATTTCACCTCCTCCAGCAGCAGGAGACCTCCTCCAAGTTGGGGGAGGCGCCCCACACAGTCCTGACATCAAGGGCTTTCCTCAGAAACACCCCAGCTGGGGGCTTTCTTTTGACTCACAGCACTTTCAGCCAGGATGTTCATGAGCCTGGGGTCCATTGTTTGTGAAGTCAACTGGATTCCAAGTTTAAACATGCAGAGGAAAGGAGGAGTTCCTCAAGCACCTCTGAACTCCAGCAGCTCTGGAATATTCCCATTTCAACATTCCCACCTGCGCTCCGTCCTCCCTCCTGCCTCTTCCATCATAGGGGATGAGATGTGTCCTTTTCAAAGGGTGTGAGGAACAACTGTTATGCACAGAACTAAGGTTAGAAAACACCTTGTAAGTCAACTGATTAACAAGCACATGGTAAGTGCTCACAAAATACAAATAATACCAATATTACCTCTCATATTTCAGCTTTCTTGTAGCCTAAAGTCCAAAACTCTGTTTTGTGGAACAGGATAGCATGGCCTATTTAAAGATAAAGTGCATTGTGCCCTTCAGATTGATATGGATATTTAAAACTCCATCATGCAATTTAAATAAGCTTGGAAAGACATGAATTCAAAAAGTAAAATTGTCACCTATAGAAGTGCATACTAACAATATTACTAACAGTAAAGGAAATGTGATTAAGCATATCTAAGTATCATTACAAACCTAATAAAAAATAAAAAATATAAGAGCCAGTTTCACTGGGATTATGAGTAAGCCATTCAATATTATGTGGCAATGTGAATTGGTTCAATATTTCTGGTGCCATAAGCTCACTGCTCAGATTTACAGCTCATCATCCCGAATACCTTCAACAAAAAGCTAATCTACAAAAAAAATTAAATGTCTTGTGCAAAGATAGAGGAAAACGGAGATCAACTTAAATGTCCCCCAAATTATTTGCCTGAAGGTAATGTTTTAGAGTTTTCAGAGTGGTGAGAGAATGAAAGTTTAAGAATCAGGACGTGGTTAGATGATGGTATGTCTGAGTAAAATAATGAACTGAATCAGGGGAGATGTCTATTTGTGAAGGAAGCTGTGCCTACCCACACCAGACCTCTCAGATAATGTCTAAGTCTCCAATGCCCAAAGTAGGAAGGACTCACCCACCTAGAAGGAGAATCCAGGCAGTGCCAGGTAGTGTGGTGTGGCGGTTAAGGGCATGGGAGCCAGGATACCTGCCTTTGAATGTGGCCTTCACTTCTTTGCTGTGTGACCATGGGAAGGAACTCAGCTTCTTTGTACCTAGGTTTTTCTCATCTGAGAAACAGGAATAATAATAGTCCATATCTTCTAATGTCCTGTGAAGATTAAATGAGTTAACCTTGGTGAAGGTCCTAAAAAATTGCCAATCTTATACCATGTGCTTGTTAGAAATGTTTATGTAATAAATAAGCAATATTAAGGTACACAAACTGTATCTTTTCTAATTCTCCCCTAGCTGGAGCGGGAGGACAAGGGTATACCCTAGGAGCCAGCGGTAGAACAGAAAGTTTATTGCCCCAGATTGAAGAAGACATCTAAGTCAATGGGGGGAAACACCACTAACAGCTGAGGTGATGGCTGATGAGTGGAGGGATTTTAAGTGGACGGAAGGAGTATGGAATGTCAGGGTCAGGAGCAATGGGGATCATCAGGGCAGTGCTGCCTCAGACTCGGGGGTCTGTTCATTGTCTTATGTCAGCTCCTTGGGATGAGTGGCTGAGCTGTGCCCAAGGCTGGGCAGACAGGTCCAGGGATAAAGAAGGGTTCAAATCTGATGAAGATAGGCAGTGGTGAGTGCCAGGCCATAATGAGACTTGTCATCTCAGCCACGAGGATCTGGAGAGGCTGGCTGAATTTATCCAACATGCTGGATGAAAGAGGCTGCCCACCAGCGAGCGGGAGGCTAAGACTGTACCTGAATGGAAGAGCGCATGCTTCCACCCTGCAGGAGGACTCTCCGAGGGGCTAGGAGCATCTTTGTTCTAAGGCGAGCCCCCAGAATCTCTCAGCAGTAGTGGCAGCTATGGAAACACATGCAACGCTGCCCTGATACAGCCTAGCTGCAGTTGTTGGGCTAAAATTATTCTGGGCCTATTTGATGTATTTGCAAGCTTCTGAGAGACAGGAGAGTTTGCAGACCTCTTACCACTTCACGAGGCTTGAGATACATTACATCCACACTGGATTTGACATTCACAGCTATAAATTGGGTATTTACTGCTCAGGAAAAGGGAGCTCAGAGCTGTTAAGTTACCAGCTTAAAAAGCTAGCAACTGTTAAGAAGCAGATCCCATACTTGACTCCAAATTTTATGATGCAGAATCCGTGTTCTTTAGTCACACTTCAGTGGATTGCAATGAGACATGGAATGGCTTATGAACATGAAATAGCATCACTTAAAGAAGCACAATTAAAATATAGGATGTAGCATAGAAAAATACATGGCTCGGCAATGATAAAAGTAAGAAGTAAAACGGAACTGATGAAAGGAGAGTTCAGTGATTATTTGCCCTTAGTTCCTATTAAATGTACATATGTTCATCTTAAATAAATGTTTGCATGGAAACTTTGACCTTGTGGACATGAGTTTAAAAATGGTTCTGCTATTACTGATTAGTTTAACTGGTTTTTCTTGTTTTCTATTTTACATTTCTCATATTCCATGGGAATATTAAATTGGAATTGATGTGTCATTTGCAAAATTTCTTCTCTATTGTTGGAGAACTCAAGTCATCCAAGGTATTTATACCTCATGCAGGTAAATTTTTTTCCAAAAAAGAAGGTAATTAAATTGCTGAGCATGTTGAGTCCTGCATATAATCCCAGTGCTTTGGAAGGCTGAGGCAAGAAGATCACTTCAGGTCAGCAGTTTGAGACCAGCCTGGGCCACATAGTGAGAACCCCCATCTCTACAAAATAATTTAAAAATTAAAAAAAGAAAATAGTTTAATATGCATCTTGCCAAGGAGCATCTTTACTCACTGGAACTGTCACTTTCACCCAAAAAATAGTACCCCTTTAGGGAACTCAAAGTAACTATCTGTTTATGAGGCTGAGATTTTTTCCCCTTTGTATAGTTATTTATCACTATACAAACAAAGTGCATTATAGTAACAAAGTACCATAAAGTTAGTGGCATAAAACAAAACCCATGTATGAGCTCACATTTCTGCCAACCAGCAGTCTGGATGGCTTAGCTGGATCCTCTGCTCAGGGTCCCCCGAAGGTGCAGTCAGGTATTAGTCATGCCACGGATCTCATTTGTAGCTTATGGTAGTCTCTCAAGTTCAATAAGTGGATGGTAGAATTCAGCTGTTTGTGGTTATAAGGGGTCTGGGGTCTCTGCTTTCTTGCTAACTGTTGGCCGGACACCATCGACAGCTCCTGACCACGTGGCCCAGAGGTCGTCACAATGACTCGGTTCTTGAAAGAGGCACCATTTTTTTTTTTCTCCAGTAGTTATTCTCCCAGGGAATGAAGAGTATGTGGGGAGGACGTTGATATCACATGACCTTACACTTTTGCTTGCTCTCCACTGAACTCAGAGGTGGATAGGGGAGCTTAGGCAGAAGGCAAGACATCTTTTACACCCCTCTGACCTCCTGGGCCCCAAGAGACTAAAGAAGTTTCAGAAGAGCTGAAGGAATTCAACTGTGGGTGGGAAGTTGCCTTTATGGGAGGACAGCAGAAGAAACAGATAAGTGTGTTTTCCAGAAACCCATACTCTTTGGAGAACAATGTTCTCAGATGTTGAGGAGAGTCCCTGGCCAGCCCCACTATGAGCTGTGCTGCAGCTCCTGGGCTGGTGTCGAGGGTTGCAGAAGCCATCCCAGTGGTGAAAGCCAACTGAGTCCAGCTGGTCTGATGTCCCTGTAAACAAACGGGGAGGCCACAGTGTGAGCATGGCAGTTTTGACCCGCGTGTCACTGTGCTGACATTGAGACTGCTGCTCTAAGGACCATCTGGAGAGTGAAAGGCACCTCTCCCCCCATGGATCATTCCAGTATCCTCTTATCCTAGAGCCACTCGCCTTGCTCAGATCCCAGGTACATCCGAGAACTGTACCGTGTCTGAGCTGAGAGAGAGCTTGAAGGTCATATGCAGTCCTCAGGCCTCACGGTGCAGATAGTGGAGCCAAGAACAGAGAACAGGAGTGCCTGCCCTGGTCAGCTTGTCTTAGTTCTCAGCTGAAACTTATGTTAAACAAGTAGCTGATCGAGATTAAGAATGATCCAGGTGACTGTTTTAATCCGTGCAAAAGAGAAACCAACACTCCTAGTGAATGAGCCCTGCCAGCTCATGGAAACCTTCTCCCACTTGTTCACACTTTAGTCACTACCCATCTGAACAATAAATCCACTGCCTGTGATGTGCTCAATGGATCGTCCTTACAGCATTTCCAGCAAGACCACACCTCCTGTTGCTGTCTGCTTTCAGATGGCCTGAAAGGCCCACTGTCATATGGTCAACAAATCCAGCCCTCTGCCAGGGAGAGGCCCCTCCTACTGCCCAGGAGGTCTTTGCGGCATGAGAATAATGCACTGGAGAGTGCTTCCTTTTGGCTGGTTCTGCATTCTCACACTGCCTGCAATGAGATCATTTTGGTGCTCCACAATGGGTGTTGCATGTGGGAGCCCTGCGAATCAAAGGGAAAGCAATCACAGGAAGATCTGTCAATCACACAGCACCTGCTATGTGCAAGGTGCTGCTCTAAGCACACTGCATATGTTGGCTTATTACTTCCCAAGGTAATACTACAGATGAGAGGCATAACCTGTCCACCCAGCCATGGCAGAGCCATGTGACACCGAAGGGCCAGGGGATCAGTGCCTCTCTCTATAGCCTTTCCATTGCTAAAATGGGCAGGGAAAGGAGCTATTATTTGTTGTTTACTATATGTGGATGGTGTTAGATGTGTGATTTTCATTCAGTCTTATCACCTTAGGGGGAGAGATTTTTCCTACCAGCTCACACACAGCCACACCCTACCCACACCTATGTCTGTCCCTGCTGTTCTGTTCTCATCACACTGATCACTGTGCAGTGGGTATTTCACTTCATTCTTTATTCTTTCTTCCCACCTAGAAGGCAAACTGCAGGACTTATTTACCCCTTTTTTTCCAACTCTTGGGTGGAACATGGTCTCTAGAACATGGCATGTAGTTGGTGATCAATAAGAAATCGTCAAAAACATATGTGTTTTGCAGATGAGAAAACATGCTCAGAGTCATTGTCTAATGTGCCTGTGGTCACAGAGGTGGTCAGTCACAAACCTGGAATTTGAACTCTGGGTGTTCTCACCTGGAGCCACTTTTTTTTTTCCACCATTCTAATTATTGGAAAACACTTCATTTCTATTGAGTGGAAACTTTCCTTCGATATTTCCATTTGTCAGCGTAGTTACCATTTAGAGTGATACAAAATCAGTCTCATCCCCTTTCTCCCTACCAGTTTTCCACATTTGCAGTTATTGTTCCCTCTCATACAAGCCAGGTCCTAACATAAAGCAGCTTTTCTGCCTCTCCCCTAGACCTATTTGAATTTGTCCTTCTTAACTTTTTTTTATTTTTTATTCTTTTGAGACAGAGTCTCCCTCTGTTGCCCAGGTTGGAGTACAGTGGCACGATCTTGGCTCACTGCAACTTTTGCCTCCTGGGTTCAAGTGATTCTCCTGCCTCAGCCTCCCAAGTAGCTGGGATTACAGATGCCCACCACCACATCCAGCTAATTTTTGTATTTTTATCAGAAACAGGGTTTCACCATGTTGGCCAGGCTGGTCTTGAACTCCTGACCTCAGGTGATCCACCTGCCTCGGCCTCCCAAAATGCTGGGATTACAGGCATGAGCCACCGAGCCAGCCCGAATTTGTCACTCTAAAAGGATGATGTGGGTGGGCATGCTGGCTCATGACTGTAATCCTAGCACTTTGGGAGGCTGAGGCAAGAGGATCACTTCAGTCCAGGAGTTTAAGGCCAGCCTGGGCAGCAGAGTGAGATCCCAACTCTACAAAAATTTAAAAATTAGCTGGGCATGATGGTGTGTGCCTGTAGTCCCAGCTACTCAGGGGGCTGAGTTGGGAGGATTGCTTGGGCCAGGGAGGTCAATGCTGCAGTGAGCGATGGTTATGCCACTGCACTCTAGCTTGGGTGACAGAGCAAGACCTTATCTCAAAATAATAATAATAAAATATATAAATAAAAGCACCGTGCAAATCTCATCTTACAGAAGCATGGATGTTGAAGAAGAGCAAGCTGAATAGAAGCTCCAGGTGTCTTGCTCCAGGGGCCACTAGCAACTTCTCTCATTACAACTCCAACAATGCCCCATCTATGGGCTCCAACAATGCCCCATCTGAGCAGTAGTGCCTCAATAACCATCAGCCCATCTCTTCTCTATCTCACCAACTGACAGGGTGGATACAAAGCCTCAAGCTGTGTCCACACATTCCCCACAAAAAGTGTTACATGGGCAGAGAGGAAAAGCCATTGGCAGCTGGGCCTTCCCATTTGTGAGCAGAGTCTGCCAGCCTCCTCCAGCTCCTCTGCAGGCTGAAGTCAAGACCCAACAGGCCTGTGCCAACGTCGTGTCCTCTCTGTGTTCAGGCTTGGCGGTATCGCATTCCTGGCATAATTTTCCATCCTTGTGCCTGCAAGGCATTACTGTGTGGGAACGGCACCCTTGCCTAATGATCTTGGCCAAATCCAGTATCTCTCATTCACATGGGTGCCCCCTTGCCCCCAGGATAGCATAAAAGGTGGCAGTTGAAGCTGAGTAAACAAAAATAGAAGATGGAAAACGTTTCGGTCCGGTCCCAACCTCAGGAAATCCTGCATCACGTTTGCTGTTCTGATCTAGAAGAAAGGTTGACAAATCTTTCCTTAGCTTTTCTCAGCTTATCTTTTTCTTAGCTTTTCTTAGCTTATCTCAGGATGGTGGTGTTAGGTTTTGCTGATGATGGGATCCCAACTTAACTCTTCTACAAATCTTAAGGCAAAGTGAAAACGCTTGTGAAAATGCATGGTATTCCTGAGTTCAGAACTTCCTGTCCATCCTCAAATCACCAGCCTTCTGCAGAGAATCACACAGTGGGTGTGATTCTGCCACCAGTCAGCTGCCACCAACGATGACTGGCCACAACAAAGCTGAATGACATGGGGCATATCACACCAAAGGACCTCTCTTTTGATGCTAGTATTTATCTTTGAGCCTTGCCTCTTTTAGAGGTGGCCTACATGACTTTAGTCAGTTCTGGCCCTTAGAGATCTTTCTTATGGAAATCTCCAGAACATTCTGCACACCATCATGCCTCATGGAATTGTGGCCTGGCAGACATTAAAATACCCGTTTTTCAAATAGAGGAAGTGGGTTCTTTGAAATGAACAGAATTCAGAAGCACTCTGCAGCATCTTGGAAATGGTGGCAAAGCAATTATTTTAAGTACAAGAGGCTGTTTTGATCTTGGGAATTACCTGTGAAGGCCCCGTCACAGGCTCTGCTGGCCAGTGGCAGCTGTGCACGGATGAATAACTGCTGCAGGCCTGTGTGAGCTTCTGCATGGCTGGAGCAGCACTGTGTCCCACAGCAGGTATCTCCTGGTGGTAGAAGTGGTGCCCTTCCCTTGGTTAAGCAGAGTGTGGACTGGCCAGTCTCAAGCTTCCCTCAAAAGTTCTTCCATCACCAGATACCTGGGTTTCTCCTAAGGCAAGGGATGCTGACTTTCCATCACAAAACGGAGCACTGCGGAAGCTGGGGAGCAGAATCTCAATGATGCCCACAGGGGGCAGGCAGAATGCCACCACTCGGCCAAGAAGGCGTGTTTGGCTACGACAGCCCAGAGTCCAGAGCCACGGCACTTCCGGTTGCTGTCCACGCGGCTTCTGCTGGTACTCAGCCACCACGCCCACCAGAGCCACCGCACTTCCGGTTGCTGTCCAGGCGGCTTCTGCTGGTACTCGCCCACCACGCCCACCAGAGCCACCGCACTTCCGGTTGCTGTCCAGGCGGCTTCTGCTGGTACTCGCCCACCACGCCCACCACGTGGAGTCTAGCAGCTCTCCCTGGTTCTCCCCAGCTTCTCTGTAATCCTTCCTCCACCTGGCAGCCGGAGGCATTCACTTAACATTTAGTGTATCATGCCCTTCCCTTGCTTGCCCTGTAAAGGCTTCCTCACATCCCTCATAGAATTCAAACTCCTCACCCCGAGGCTCAGCCCTCCACCTGTGGCCCTGCCTCGTCTCCATGCCACTTTGAAGCTCACAGGTGACCTTGCTTTTCCTTCAAGTTGCCAGCATTCCCTCATCATAGAGCCTTAACTCGCTGCTCCTTGCCCTGCAAGTCTTGTTCCCTGATTTAACCAACACGAATAGGGCAAGGGATTTTTGGCATCCAACTCATCTTCCCTGATCATCGTGTAGCTGCTCTCTTTGCTTTTCAAATCTCAGGGCCGGGCACAGTGGCTCACACCTGTAATCCCAGCACTTTGGGAGGATGAGGCAGGTGGATCTCTTGAGGTCAGGAGTCCGAGACCAGCCTGGCTAACACGGTGAAATCCCATCTCTACTGAAAATGTAGAAATTAGCTGGGCATGGTGGCAGGCGTCTGTAATCCCAGTTACTTGGGAAGCTGAGGCAGGAGAATCATTTGAACCTGGGAGGCGGAGGTTGCAGTGAGCCAAGATCATGCCACTGCACTCTAGCCTGGGTGACAGAGCAAGACTCCATCTTAAATGAAAATAAAAAGAAAGAAAAATCTCAGCATAGGGGCCAGCCCATCAGACAGCCCCTTCCCGATCATCCACACTGACCCAGCTGTGCAGCCGCATCGCCCGGTTCTCAGTCCTCGCCTTGCACTGACACTGCACGCTCTTTTCTGTATTCATCTGTTCTTGTCTCTCCCAGGAAAGCAGGCCTCTGTTGTATCCTTCGTGTATAGGACTGTACTGGGGGCATGAACACAATCACTCTTTTTTGAAGAATGAATGAATATATAGAACACTATGGCCCCTTCTCCCCAGACTTCACTGCACCTGACACTCTCAACACAGGCACAATTATTTATTTGCAAACTTGTAGGAATGTGAAATCTGCATGTTGGTGCTCTCCTGGCCCCACACAGGAACTTAGCTTTCAAATGCAGGCGTATGACGTAAATGTCTATTTAACCGAGAAGTGGAAAATATGTTCTGAAGGCACAATCATAAGGACAGTGTTTTTGCCTTCGGATCTTAACACCCAGCATTCTATTCCTTAGGTGTCCTGCTGAATACCCAATTCCTTTGACATTTAAAAATAAAGAATGCTTCCCCAACAGAAATATATCCCATTCCCTATGTTACTGTGCAGATTTGGGGACCCAAAAGTTACTTTGCTTCTGTATATTGATAACTAAGGAAAAAGTAGGTTTCAGATCTTAAACTATCATGAGAAATATAATCAGAATCGAGACAGAGCCTGACTTGTGATTTGCAGTTCCCGTCTCAACAATTGCTTCAGCTGCTTAGCTTGACACTGAATTTTTTATTACCTTGGTGGCGGTGGGGGGAGATGAAAAGGGAGAATTTCATGAGCTCCAGTGTCCTCTTTTGCATCCTTTGAAATTCAAATCATGTTCAGCAATGAGCAATTCATAGACAGGGTGTAATTGCCGATACAGCATATAAGATGTCCTTTCCTCACCAAAACGCGATCAGTCTACACACTGACCCGAAGACCACGCAGAGGAGCGGCACTCCTGACAGACACAGCCTCAGCCGGGCAGTGTGTTATAACTGTAAAGAGCCTTGTGCCCCAGAGGCCTAATTACATGGCAAAATGCTGTGTTTTCTCACATAGTTCTCAAAGACAACCACCTGCTCATTGTGGGGAGATTTAAGGTCTTAAACACCGAGGAAAGGCATTTCATGAAAAGGTTACCCCCAAAGAGAAATCCAAGGTCAAAGTTAGATGGCTAGATACACACTGGAATTAATATACTCATTAGTTCTTAATACAGGGGATGCCTAGAATTCAAAGGGGGCTGTCTTACACCAGGGGCATCCAATCTTTTGGCTTCCCTGGGCCACATTGGAAGATGAATTGTCTTGGGCCACACATAAAATACACTAACTCTAATGATAGCTGATGAGCTAAAAAAAAAAATTCCAAAAGAATCTCATGTTTTAATGTTTTAAGAAAGTTTACGAATTTGTGTTGGGCTAAATTCAAAGCCCTCCTGGGCCTCATGTAGCCCATGGTCTGCGGGTTGGACAAGCTTCTTTTACATATTCAGAGAAGGAATTTGGACGAATATGTGTGATATTTTTTCCTTTTATGAACATCCGTTGAAGGGAAGAAACAAGATATCCCAGGCTGCCCATGTATCCTCGTGGTGGGTGGGTTGAGAAGGAGCACCTAGGCCCCCAGGGGAGCAGATGTTGCCACTGATTTATTCAGTGTGTTTTCAGCTATATACGAGCTACATCTACATCCGTGTCAACTTCGCACACAAGTATATGAACAGTAAATTAAAAATTACAAGCAGCTTGGAACTGAAACACTCTCAGAGGAAAAGTGAACCATGACAGACAGGCAACAGGAAAGTCCCAAACCGACAAGTAGAATAAGTTTGGTTCAGGCAATGGAGGTGGTCAGTTCCCCTGGTCATTCCAAGGTGCCTTTATACCTTTATCCTTGGCTACTGTGCCCTCCATCCCAAAGGCCCCAAAAAATGAGCCATCGTGCTCTGGGTGGTAAAGCCTGCTTGCTACCTCCCTGCTGACTCAGAGCGTGTACTGGATTCCCAGATCTTCAGCCATGAGCCATGTCACTCCCTGTCTGATTCTTCCTCCCACACAGCAAGGACCTGGGGCGCTGCACCTGAGCTGGGGTGGGTGGAGTCTGCATGCCAAGACTGGGTGTAGTAGCTGGGTAAGGAGTTGCCCCTGGGCTATGATGCTTGGAGACAAGGGAACCCAGCAAGAGAAAACATCTTATGTAGAAACCAAAGTTAAAAACTATGCAGTCCTCCCAAAGAAGAGGTGGGACTAAAGAGACTAAAGAAGACTAAAGAAGACAGGCACAAGGGGGAAATTTAGGTTTGAGGCAACTGGACAGAAGAATGGCAAGGAGAAGAACTTGGAGAAAATCCTTGAGCCATGAGAATACATCCAAGGCCAGCCTTTTGAGTACTGAGTTATGATGTAAATTGCAATTCCTACTGTGAGTCTTGGTTGAGAAAACAGGGCTCTAGTTATGTGCAGCTGTGTGCTGGAAAATTTCTGTGTAAGCAGCTCCACTGAATAGGTTCCAGCTAATAGTGTGTCCACAAGAAGTAACCCAAGTCCCCCCCCAGCACAGCATACCACACAGACCAAGAGGTCAGGAGCTGTTTCTTGGTTGTTGGCTGTGCCACCTCTTGCATCTCAAAGAGCATTTTTCTAGGTTAGGCCTGGCCTGAACAAAATGTGCTTAGCCCCAGACCAGCTATGCCCCATATCCCATTGCTATTTTCCCTCTACACTACTTGACAGAGGTTGCTCCTGTGCCTGGCACTGACTACAGGACCATATCACATGTCCCTGTAAGATTACCTTTTTTTTTACACAGTTACAGGGAAAACAGAGTTTATGGAAAAACTGCAGCTCTATTATCCCTGGCAAATTTACCCTGACTTATTCTTTCAAACTCTTTTTCCACAGGTTTTAAAATTTGCAGAATCTTGGCCAGGTGTGGTGGCTCACGCCTGTAATCCTAGCACTTTGGGAGGCCGAGGCAGGCGGATCACGAGGTCGGGAAATCGAGACCATCCTGGCTAACACGGTGAAACCCCGTCTCTACTAAAAACATAAAAAATTAACTGGGCGTGGTGGCGGGTGCCTGTAGTCCCAGCTACTCGGGAGGCTGAGGCAGGAGAATGGCGTGAACCTGGGAGGCAGAGCTTGCAGTGAGCCAAGATCGGGCCACTGCATTCCAGCCTGGAAGACAGAGCGAGACTCTGTCTCAAAAAAAAAAAAAAAAAATTGCAGAATCTCAGGATGGAAGAAATCCTAAAAGTGTTCTACATAGTGTCCACCTTTTGTAGGTTTTCTAAGTCCCAACCCAGTGCTTTTTTGTAATGTGCAATGAAAGTCCTAAATGCTTTTAACGAGTGAAGAGCTTTTCATTCCAGAAGTACACATAAAGTCTGAAATGTAAACACAATGAGAGAGGTAACATATGATTTAATTTCACTCTAAGATAATAATAATGGCCATGAACAATATATTCTGGAAAAAAATGATAGTGAGGAAGCAGTCTGGGAGGTTGGGAAAAGAAGGCTGAAAGACAGTAAATGATGTGGCAAAAAGAGACCCTGGGTGCCCCAGAAAGGTCCTTGATGGCAAAGAAGGCAGGATCAGGGCTGGAGAAGAGAAGCCTCCTAACCTCTTCCTGGGTCACAAGCCTGTCTGCCTTGCTGAGGCCCCTCTGGGTAACTGTGTTTTGTGTCACCTGGACTGCAGTGTGGGGTACCCAGATTAACTGTGACTTCTGTAAGGGTGTTTCCAGGGGATTAGCATCTGAAGCAGATGGCCCTCCCCAATGTGTGTGGGCCTCATTCAATCCCTTGACAGCCTGAAGGCAGAGGAAGGAAGAACCTGTCCCTTTTCCTTCTTGCCTCACTTCTGGAGCTGAAATGTCTCATCTTTCCAGCCCTCAACTGTTATTTACACCATCAGCTCTCCTGGGTCTCCAGCCTTTGGCTCCTGTTGAATTACCACTGGGTTTCCTCGGCCTCCTGCTTATATACAACAGATTATGGGACTTCTCAGCCTCCATAGTCATAGGAGCCAATTCCTCATTTTATAGACACCATTGGCTCTGTTTCTCTGGAGGACCTTGATTAAGATAGTAGCTTGTTGTGAAAAATATCCTTTTAATTTACTTTATGTTACTTCGGCACACAGAGGTTGCAAGATTTTGTCAACTGAAGAATGATTAGGCTCATACATCTGGAAAGGAGAACTTCATTTCTCATAAAGGGCAGTGTGCTGGTGGCCAGTCTGATAGGCTGGGAATCGTAGCCTCTAGCCAGAAGCCAGAAACAGATACTCAGAGGGAGGGGCAAAGGGTGCAAGAATGTATACGGAATGGTGTGGCCAAGTATACATATTTAACAATCTCTAGGAGGAGTTGTGGATATTTATGGGAGGAGAAACATGCACACGCACAACTGAGCTTCATGCCTTTCCATGGGGACCCAGGTCCAAAAACAGTGGCATTAGCATGACATGAGGGTGGAGACTTTAGCCCTCTGATGTCAAAAGGTGAAGCAAAGGAAAAGAAAAAAAAAAACCCTCTCTGTGGATCCTCTGTAGACTGGCCAAAACCACACTGTGGTCAGTGGTAGTCTTATCAGGAAGGAATGCTGGTCAGTTGTTTTGAAACTGCAAAAGGGATGGGCACTGTCATGCAGTTGGTTGATATCAGGTGTGGAGTAGTCTTTCCAAAGGGCTGGTTTCTGTTCAGCCCCCAGTGAAGAAAAGCTAATGGGGCCAGCAAACGAGGGGGGATAGTGAAACATGTCTGAGTTCCCATCCTATCATGGCCAGAACTCAGTTTTTAGGGGTTCTCTGGGGTCCTCTTGGCCAAGTGGGGGTCTATTCAGTTTGTTGGAGGGCTTAGGATTTCAGTTTTGTTTCTCAGTTCAAAGCTCTGAATTAGGCACTGTGAGGGGTACAGAAATAACTAAAAGGCCATCCCTTAACTTATACAGCTTACGGTCTGTCAGAGAAGACACACTTGCAAATATTAAACTGTAATCTGAAACAGAAATATACTGAAATGAGCCAAGCACTGCAGAAAGTTATAGGAAGGTGTCATTGTACCTAGCCAAAGGGAAGCTGGGGAGGGCTTTGTGAAGGAGGAGACATCCGACCAGGGATTAAAGGGTAAGTAGGATTCTCATGGTCTAAAAAGGGTTAGAAGTCGAGAGCTGCATAATTGCCTAATGGGTTCTTCTTGCCTGCTGCACAGACAAAACCAGTTCACTGAGACTACGGTATTGCAGTGAAGAAAGTTAATTGCTGCCAGGCTAGGCATGTGGAAGGCCTAGTTTTCACTCAAATCCAGTCTCTCTGAAGGCTTGGAGGTTAGGGTTTTTCAAGGAAAGTTTGGCAAGGCAGGGAATGGGGAATGTTGATTGGTTGGGGATGAAATCATAGGGGTGTGGAAAACAGTCCTTGTGGGCTGAGTCAATCTCTGGTAGGAGCCACAGGAACAGTTGAGTCATGAGTTGTTGGTCCAGGTGGAGTCAGCCAATCATCAGAAATGCAAAAGTCTCAAAAAACATCTCAAAAGGCCAATCATAGTATCTACGATAGTGATGTTATCTACAGGAGTAATTGGAGAAGTCACAAACCTTGTGACCTCCTCAACAATAGCTGGTTATTGTTTACGCCTACCTCTTAGCAGAATTTAGGTCCCTGTCATAATCCTAAGCTTGTGGCCTTTCGTTAGTTTTACAAAGGCAGTTTGGTGTTGAGAAGGGGTATTATCATCATTTCTTGAAGCTTAAACTCTAAACTAAATTCCTCCCAAAGTTAGCTTGGCCTACACCCAGGAGTGACTAACAATAGCTTGGAGGTTAGAAGCATGATGGAGTCAACTACATCGAATTTATCTTACTGTCACAGATGGAGTCAACTATGTTGGATTTATCTAACTGTCATAATCTTTGCAGAGTTAGTTTCAGTCCCAATCCCACAGGATTGGGAAAGCCTGCAGGGTGCTTGGGAAATGAGGTGCTGTATTTCTCACCTATTGCCACTGTAATAAGCCATCTGTTTGCTATAGCTAGTTTGATAGCAGATATTGCACTATTTGTTGTCTATTGCAGCTCTCACAGATTACCACCAATTCCCAGGCTATCAGAATGGCCACCACCAATTTCGTGATTTAAAACAATACAAATTTATTATCTTACAGGTCTGGAGATCAGAAGTCCAAAAAATGGGTCTCACTGAGCTACAATCAAGGTGTCAACAGGCTGTGTCCTTTCCTGGAGGCTCTGGGAGAGAATCGGTATCCTTGCTCTTTTCCCACTTCGAGAGGCTGCCACATTCCTTGGCTGGTGGCTCCTTCCTCCATCTTCAAAGCCAGCGACAGATGGTGAATGGAGTCCTTTCACGTGGCTCACTCTGCCCTTGTTCCTGCTGTCACATCCCCCCTTCTCTGTCTGACTTTTCTGTCCCCTTCCTCCACTCTTGTCATTACCTTGGGCCCATCTGAAAATCCTGGATCGTCCCCCTAATTAAAGTCAGTGGACTAGCAACTTTAATTCCATCTGCAACCTTAGTTCCCTTCTGTCATGTAGCCTAACCTCATCACGAGTGTCAGGGATTTGCACGTGGACATCCTCAGGGACCCCATCGTGAGTGGTTGGGGGGATGTGGCCAGAAAGAAGGCAGTGGCAGAATGCCCAAGAACTCTGCAGCTGCGCTGAGGCATCTGAGAGCCAAGGAGGAAACCTTCTTTGTGGTTAAGTAAGAATGAACTAATATCCATCTGGCATTTGGCATTTTACACTGCACTTTTTGTACATTATCTCATTGGATCTTAAAAACAGCTCATTGTGAGATGTGTTAATATTATTCTTATTTTAAGGTGGGGAAACCGAAATCAAACAATGTAGGTGACTTTTTTCAAGATCACCCAGTGAGTGATTCAGGACTTGGCCCAGGCTTTCTGGTCTACACTCACAGCCTTTCCTTCATCCACAGAGGCAAGATCTAGCAATTGAATTAGGTTGCCTGAATACCAACCTTTGTAACCTCCTATTGTTGGCTTATTTTCCTTATGGTTTTGGAAAAGAATCTTTCAAAACAAGTCAATTTTATTACCTAAAAGTTACTTTGCTTTTAAAAACTGTTCCTTGAATTAATCCACATATTGTGTCTTCCTCAGAATGATAAGCATAAAGGTAGTTACATTTCGTTCTCATCCTTACACCGAAACATGGGGAATTAACAACACCCCTTCTCTGCCGTCAAGTGTATGTGCAGGTTAGGGAGCATCTTGAGAGTTTGGTCCCACCAGCTTCCAGAGCCTGCAGTCTGGCTTCCCATGTGGCTTGAGGCTCCCAGTGCAGGCAGCCCTCAGTGTCTAGGTGCTGGGCTTCCGTCTCACAGTCCCTGGCCAGCTTCCCTCAACACATCCCTCTAATGACCCCGGGGCCTCACCCAATCTTTTCTCCTGACATATTGGGAAGTGAGGGGCAGCAAGGCCCTTTGGCCCAGCAAGGGTCCCCTGCAGGGCTCCCCACTTGAAGGGGCCTGTGCTTTGGCCCCATGCACTGACCCACTCCTTGCAGGTGCCCAGAGCAGCTGAGGGACCTGTGCCTGTGGAGTCATGTGGGTCGTGGGTGGGCTCTGGCTCCAGGGGGCAGCCCAGCATGGCCGTCACTCCCACTCACTGCCACCGGAGATCGTTTGGGATCTGGCCATCAGAGTGGTGCTGACAGCCTGGTTAAGGTGACCATGGTCCTTGAGTCTCAGCCTGTGTGCAATTCCACACATGGGCTCCTCCCCTCTGTGTTCTGGCTGTGACGCCCTCTAGCTCATAGCACCGGATGGTGCTGTAGGTGCCAACATGTGTCCCTCATGGTGCACAGCACCCACTGACCAGCCGCCCTCCACAGACTCTGCACATGTGTCTTGCTATGTTTTGGAGGTGGTCAAATCCATTTCTCCTGATGAAACTTCCCATCAATGTGGCCACACTGCTCTGTTGGGTCATTCTGAAGCCATCACTAGCAAGGACAGCCCATCTTGTATGGATGGGCTCCCTGTCCTTGTTCTGCTGCAGCCCTCTCACCTGGCCTCCTGCTGGTGCGGCGTGGAAGGCAGATGTTGTCCATGGGGAAAGAGACCCCATTCATTATAGGCATGCCATGATGTCAGCCTAAAGAAGTTAAGGGATGGCTGGGTGCAGTGGCTCATGCCTGTAATCCCAGGGCCCAATGCCTGTAAGCACTTTGGGAGGCTGAGGTGGGTGGATCACGAGGTTAGGAGTTCGAGACCAGCCTGACCAACATGGTGAAACACTGTCTCTACTAAAAATAAAAATTAGCTGGGCATGGTGGCGCACACCTGTAATCCCAGCTACTCAGGAGGCCGAGGCAGGAAAATCACTTGAACCCAGGAGGTGGAGGTTGCAGTGAGCCGAGATCGCGCCATTGCACTCCAGCCTGGGCGACAGAGGGAGACTCCATCTCAAAAAAAAAAAAAGAAGTCAAGGGATGACGCCGTGGATGATGGGTTATTCCACATTCATGCTACATAACTCAAAATACCACATGACCAGAAAATAAATCTTCATTTGCATTTTCCTGAATCATCTGGGTAATCCTGGCATTGGTGGTCCATGTCAGCAAAGCACATAAACCACTTTGAGAGTCAGCAGAAGCCATGCCTGGTCGTGACACTGCAGCCTCACAGGTGATGTGACCAGTGGTGCATGAACGGTCCCAGGTCTACATTGTTTCAGTACAAACAGGTCCCTGAGACCCATGGCAGTGAGTGATGACAGCTTTGCTACCTTTTCTTCCTAGAGATATGACCTTGACCAGGAATGCTGCCTTTGACAATAAAGAAAAAGAAGAGATGATGCCTGGACACCACAAACATCACGTGCACTGGCTGGATGATAGAAAAATACAGCGGTTCCTCTTCTCCACCCACTATCGCAAATCCCCATTGATAAATCACTATACCCCACGTGGACCCATGAATTTTGTAACATATTTTACAATCAAATTGTGTAGACAGGAGCCTTACAAAAATTAGTTGCCCACAGCCCCGCAAACCCTAAAACCTGCCCTGGTGAGGAGGATGGTCACCTGATATTGTTTTAAATCCTCCTTGGTGTCCTCCTTCAAATTATGCCTATTGTGCCAGCTCAGTGCCCAACATACAGTCAATCTCTAATAAATATTTCCTGGAGGAGAGAGAGAGAAGAAGTTGGTGACACTAGTCATGCCCCTAATGTTTTATTTTTGCTCTTCTAAAAAGCAGTGCATAAGAAAGTTACCATATGCAGTGAAATAAAAATGCTGAATTTACGTCTTTTGCTTCCAGAAGGAGGTGAATGTGAAGGTCAGATTTTAGGCAGACTTCAAATTGAAGCTCAGTTTTAGATAAAACATTCTCAGTGCAGAGGCTCAGAGATGACGCAGTGGGGCGGAGGGTGCCGGAGGGAGGGAGGGAGGCAGGAAAACTCAAGCCCTCTCTCTGATCTCCATGGATGGCCAGATTAGGAAATGCATGTGGAACCACAGGAAGAGCCACACGGGCCAGAAGCGACATGCTTTTGAGTGGTAAACCCACAAATGAACATACAAGTTCAGAATTCATAAATGTCCCAGAGAAGACAGCAAGCTTTAGAAGCAGCATGCATTTCATTACCAAGCAAATTTACTGATTTGTTTCAGTTTTATGTCTTTGGACAAATATAGATTGGCAGGATTTTCATATTCAGCTCACTTCATGCTGCTGCTTTTGATTTTTTCCTTCCTTAGTTGTGACCTCTTGCAGAATTCCTGACACTGAGCTACGATGTTCTCAAGCATGTTGCAATGTCAAGTTCAGGCACTTAAGAATCATTAAATCCAAAATTTCTCTCATCTCTGTTGTTTTTGGAATTGGGGTTGAAAATGGGTTTGAGGGCAAAGTATTCTTTCTAAGCAGAGACCTAGCAAGCACTGGCTTAAAATGCTGAAATGGTTGTTCTGTCTAAAAATCTACATTTATAAACATGTGTGGTAAAATAAATAAATAAATAAATAAGAGCCACAGCCACATGCTCCCTTGCAGTGCAAGCATTCCTGATGATGCCATCTCCCCCTTCTCTCAAACCCTGGGAAGTCCTTAGTTTCTCAAAACTAAAGGATTGAATATCTCTTATTAGACACAATTTCTTCCCCAATTAGGAACATGGCAATGCAGGCAATTGGATTTTCCAGGTGAGGAAACTGCAACAGAAAACCTTCCTGGTACCTGCTGGCCCCATGCCTGCAGCCCCCACTGGCCCCTGTGCATTGAGACCCCAAATATTCATTGCTTCAAACCTGCTGGCAGACACCATTTGGGGCATCTTTGCTCATGACGACCACTGTAGTCCGCAGTCATCTATCTCTGAACATTTCCCTTTACTATGACTACAGCGGGGAGCTGATGGATATAATCATTATCCTTTGCTGCTTTCATTTGTACATTCATTCATCCAACATTTTTTGGATGAACAAAAAATGTTGGATGAATGAATAAAAAATGTTGGCTGCACAAATACACAAAGGAAGGCAGCAATGGCTAATGCTATGTCCTAGGGGCAGCCTTATGAACATTTATCATTATACAACATGCTGGGTTACTCAGAAGAGAATAGAAGGTGAGGTGGGGAAGGAAGCCACAGAGGTAAGGAAGACCAAAATGCAGCTGCCTTCATCAGGCCCTACTTCCAGAGATGCACGGGTGGATGGAGCTTTTCCCTCTGACCCAGTCCTTCAACTGCATGTGATGCTTTTGGGACCCACGCATTCCATCCTTTCTGCCCTGTCCTTCTCCTGGATGTCATACATTGGGATCCAGGTGTTCAGTTTTCTCTGCCTTGTTCTTGCTCTGCATGTGATGATTTAGGGACCCAGGTGTCCAGTCCTCTCTGCCCCATCCTTCTCGTGTACGTGATACCTTTGGTAATTCGGGTAACCAGTCTCCATTTCCATAAGAGGTAGCCAGATGCTCTTTTCAATCAGGGATGTCAGGGATGTTTCCCAAAAAATGATTCACCCCCTGGTGTAGAAACCTGGTAACTAGACAAGAGGCAGTCACAGCACCACAAGTTTTCCAAACGGGTGAAAAAGGAGAGGTCCCTTTGTGGCCCAGTACCATTTCAGCTTTGCCTGGAAACTGTGGTCTTATAAAAGCCAAAGAATTACAGACTCTGAACTGGAAGAGTTTTGTGGATCATCTAGTCCAATATTCAGTCAACTCAGGAATTCTCTCTATAAGATAGCTGGCAGGATCTGCTTTTCAAGCATGAGGACTCTCCAGCTGAAGACGTGTATAGGGCAATGCCACACAGAGCTTTCGCAAATGCAGTCTGGCACACCACTTGCAGCTCCTACTTGCTTAGGACACGCCATGTGCTATACATCACGCTAAGTGCTGTGAGTTCATGCTCAGTTCTCATTACAACGTTAATAGATAGGAACTATTAATACCCCCTTTTTACAGATGGGGAACCTGAGGGTTAGACACACTAAATAACTTGTCCTTGGTAATTCAACCAATAACTGACACAGCCAGCATTCAAAATCAGGTTCGTCTGACTTCACAGCTAATTAGACAGCAGAAACCCTACTTCTACTGTGGCCTTGGAGGCCATGTAACACAGGGTCAACTTAAGAGATGCTTCCGAAGGCTTGGAGAGCAAGGATACACTTCCTTTTGAGATGTTTCAGAATGCCAAGAAACCTCCCCAAATAGGACACTCAAAACTCCCCATTCTTCCACATCTATGCCACACTGTGGAACCATTACATCCCTTCTTTAAGAGATACTCGTAACCTAACTCATTAGTAATCTGCTGTAGAGTTTTGCCATCAACTTCTCTCCCCTGTTTTGGAAGGTGAGGTCATATTTTCACCTTTCCAAACTTTTGGCACTTCCCATCTGTTTTTGTGGAACATTACCAGTGATGATGTCAAAATTCTATCTTCAATTCTTAGGTCTTAAGAACAGTGTTATTAGAATCATGAAAAATGGTGGATTTTCTTCCTCCCTCAGACGTTTATGATGACATTTCTAGTAGATTTTTAACAAACTTCCCATCATGTCAATAAATAAGGGCAGGTAAATTGCATGAACCATTCTTTTTCAGTTAAATATTTTTAAACATATTTTACTAAAAATCCTACTCAGGAAATGTATCATAGACCAATTTCATTTCTGTCAACTTGGTTTTGCCAGCATCTTAGAATGTATTTACAGTTTCAGGAGACCATGACAATGACCCATACTTTTTATCCCAAGGTCAATCCCTCCATCTATGCAGGTCTGCCTACCTCTTGTCTACAGCATAGTGCAGAATGGCTGATATTTGGAGGTCATTATTAATTCTCAGGTGTCAGGACTTACTTACAATTCATGCTCCAAGTAGGCTGTCAGTGAATATCCGTTATAATTAACTGAGCCACCAAAACTAGATGAAAAAAGTTTCCTCTGATGAATAGGTGAAGCACAGAACATTTTACGGCAGAGAGACTATTCTGTATGACACTGTAATGGCAGACACATGGCATACATTTCTCCAAGCCCACAGAACCTACACCACAAGAGTGAACCCTAGTGTAAAAGATGGATTTAGTTAATAATAATGCGTCAGTACTGGTTCATCAATGTAACAAATGTAGCATACTAATGCAAGATGTTAAAAATAGGAGACGTTGGTGGAGGGGTGGATTGTGAGGGGTTGTATGAGAACTCTGTACTTTCTGCTCAATTTTTTTAATAAACTTAAAACTGCTCAAAAATGCAAGATACATTTTTTTAATTTTTATTTTTGAGAAGGAGTCTCGCTCTGTCTCCCAGGCTGGAGTGCAGTGGTGTGATCTCAGCTTATTGCAACCTCCACCTCTCAGATTCAAGCAATTCTCCTGCCTCAGCCTCCCAAGTAGCTGGGATTATAGATGTGCACCACCATGCCCGGCTAATTTTTTGTTTGTTTGTTTTTTGTAGTTTTAGTAGAGACAGGGTTTCACTACATTGGCCAGGCTGGTCTCGAACTCCTGGCCTCAAGTGATCCACCTGCCTTGGCCTCCCAAAGTGCTGGGATTACAGGCGTGAGCCACCGTGCATGGCCAGGAAAATACATTTTATTAATCAAGGAAAAGAAACCCTTCTCTTGGCTGGTATGCAAATCTGCAACAACAAAATTATGAGAATAAAAAAAAAGAAAGAAGTAAAAAGAAAAGAGAAGAAAGAGAAAGAAAGGAAGCAAGAAGCATTATGTGACGACAAAGAGCCCAATTAAGAAGACATAACTTAGGACATGGAAGAAATTTGAATACAACTTGAGAAAAAGAAGATGATCCCTAAGTGTTTCGGACTATAGAATTTTGAAAATACATGTTAATAAATGACTATAGTGAGGCTGAGATTTAATCAAGAGAAGTGTAAAATAATGCCAAGTCCAACAAGGCAGTCAGGAAGGTAATTGACTCTATCATGTCACAAAATAAATTGGCAGCAGCAGGAGCAGGGCACAGGATTCCATCTCTCCCAGTCGGGATTAACTCCTGCCGCAGAGCAGGACTGGAAACACGAACACTGAGCATATGATGCACTAGCCTGTGAAATGAAATCTCCCTAAAAGTGAGGGTTGGGGCTTTTCTGCTGCCCTAAAAGCCAGCACTGATTATCAGACAGGTTCAGCACATTCATCCATGGCTTGGAGTCACCATTAGCACTTGACCACTATAAGGCGTTTATGTACAAATTAGAAACAGGCACAGCTATAGGAGAGTATGCTGATGAACAAAAAGATGCTTTTCTGGCTGTACCAGTTAGATAAAAGCAACCCCTCTGGGCAGAGCAGTTCGTACGAGTGTCCTTTTTCCAGTTGTGTCTTGGCAAAAGTGCAGGCTGGATTTTAGCTCCCACAATGCCCTCTTGCAGATATCATTGTGTAAGGCACAATCTGCACAACTGCTCCTGACATCTTTACTCAGGTGGAATAATTCTGCAAGAGTGTAGCCTCTGGTTCCTGAATCCTTGGCTCAGATCCCTGGTTGATAAGCAACTGCACTGATGCCTGGAATTTTTGGCCCAAGAAACCTTTGTCAAGTTAAGAAGGTAAAATTACTCCTCTTTGTTAGATGTGGAAATGTATAAGAACACAGAATTTGAAAAAATGAATATGGAGGCAAAATAATTCAAACACAAGATTATTTGTATCAAATTCGTATTTGTAAAACAGTAAGAGTTGTGGGTTAAACCTGAACTCTTAAAATTAGATTTTAAGATTTGTGGCTGGGCGCGATGGATCCCAGCACTTTGGGTGGCTGAGGCGGGTGGGTCACCTGAGGTCAAGAGTTCGAGACCAGCCTGGCCAACATGGTGAAACTCCGTCTCTACTAAAAAATACAAAAAAAAAAAATTACCCGGGCAGGGTGGCGGGCACCTGTAGTCCCAGCTACTCAGGAGGCTGAGGCGGAGAATCGCTTGAACCCAGGAGGCGGAGGTTGCAGTGAGCCAAGATTGCACCACTGCACTCCAGCCTGGGCAACAGAGTGAGACTCTGTCTCAAAAAAAAAAAAAAAAAAAAAAAAAGATTTGCAAGTTAATCAGGTAAACTTAAATTAAACCAAATAAGCCATAAATAATCCTTTCTGCACATAAAATCACCGATCTAATGTTAACAAGAACTCCATAAAACAAGAGGCAAAATAGTATCTGGGAAAAACACAGATTGAGGTGAATTGTAGAGCTGAGGAAATAAATTGAGCATTGAAATAATACCATTACAGAACCAGTAAATAGATTGGAAACAGCAAGAAACAAAATATATAGTTAAGGTTAGAAATCAATTATTGGCCGGGCGTGGTGGCTCATGCCTGTAATCCCAGCACTTTGGGAGGCCTAAGCGGGCGGATCACTTGAGGTCAGGAGTTCGAGACCAGCCTGGCCAACATGGTGAAACCCATCTCTACTAAAACTACAAAAATTAGCTAGGTGCAGTGGCGCATGCCTATAATCCTAGCTACTCAGGAGGCTGACAGAAGAATCGTTTGAACCCAGGAGGCAGAGGTTACAGTGAACTGAAATCAGGCCACTGCACTCCAGCCTGGGCAACAGAGTGAGACTCTGTCACACACACACACACACACACACAAAAAAGTCGAGTACTAACATAAAAGAATAATTTAAAATAATCAGAGTAAATACAAAGGAAAAAGATTAATTCCTTATAACAAAGAGAACCTAATAGATATAAAGCTAGTGTCCTTAAAAAAAAAAAAAAGCCAGCAACTGAAAACCTAAAAGTATACAAAGACATATCAGGAAAGACATTTTTCTGAAATGAAGGAAGAAGCAGCCTTCCAGATCATAGAGGTGTATTTTCCAGAAAATAGATTTTAAACTGACGGCTCTAAAGACTTATCCTGGTTGTCATTAACCTTCAGGGGAAACATCAAGAATTCTTCAGTTGTCCAAATAGAGAAACTCCTGGGGCCTGGTTGGCTGGCCTTAGACTTGTGCATAACAATCGTCACAGCCAAAATACATTGGAGCAACGTTATAAGGGAAAGAAACTCTGATCTAAGCATGTCACACCCAACCAAGATGTCATTCAAGTACAAAGACAAAAGGTCAAAGGTCCTGAACATGAAAGAACTCAGGAAATATAGCACCCTTGAGTCCTTTCTGCAAAACTACGTATTGATGACATGAAGCTCACCAGGGGCTACATGGAGAAACTGAGGACTAACATTTCATGCCAGAAGATAGGCCAGCAAAGTTTACAAGGTTCTAAGGGAAAGTGATCCAGGAATTTGAGATCCAGCCAAGTTTTCCTTTCAAGCTTTTAAGAATGAAATCCAGCCAACCAAGTGATAAATCAAAATAAAGAAATAAAGAATGGAACAGCCACAGTAAAAGAATAAATGGTAGGGCGTCACTTACAAGTAGAGCTAAGGCTAAACAACCTGTGGCTATAAATGAAATAAATGTGTTATGAAACTTATTAGGAAAAATCATAATAAAGCATAAGAGAAGTGTCAGGAAGAATAGAAGTACTCAAATGTCCCACTGTTCACGATAGGAGTGAATCTAGCCTATCTAATACTGAAACGTGTTGTAAAACAGCCAGTGATTTCTACCACTTATTGTTTTCCCAATCATTTTTGTTAACCATAGAAGGATATCTAGGCTGGGCACAGTGGCTCATGCCTGTAATCCTAGCACTTTGGGGGGCTGAGGTGGGCAGATCACCTGAGGTCAAGGACTGTATTTTCCTTTCTTCTTTGGATTTTCTGCATTGCTTAAATTTTCATAATAATTATGAATTGTTTCTTCAAAAATAATGAAGTAGTTATTATTAAAGGAAAATAAGCGTGGTCCCAGGTAGTGAAAAGTTGGGTGGGGAGGGAGAGAGCTGTACACCCCAATAGTCAGTTTAAACAGCTCTCCTACAGACACAGAGCTAATCTGAAAGGCAGAGAAGCCACTTCCTGACTTTGTGTGATTTGAAGGCACAAGAAGGTTATCAGTCCATCCAAAATGATCATTCCTTCAAATGATTAACTATGAGCACGTCAAGGTGAACTCATTGAAAAAAATCCCCTTCCAACCTGTTAGTGGCTGAAAGACTGCAAAGAATGCAAACAGGGGCAAGGCAAACTGTTACCTTTCGGCTAGGGCAGACCAGTTTACAACTGAGAAGCAGGTGAGGGTCTTTGCTGGGTGTGCAGGGTGACCAGCATGGATAGATCCCCTCACCCTGATCTGTAGAACCCTCACTTTTGATCTATAGGAGGCTGGCCCCTTGCCACCTGAACATACCTTTTGCATCAGTTCTTCCACACCTTTGCCTTGGCTTATTACAAAGGGTGTGTCCTACAGTTTCAACAGGGGTAAGACCAGCTGGATATGGAGGAAAGTGTGAAGATGTCAGGTTGACTTTGGGGGCTCACCCATCACCCATCTCTTCACACACACTTTTCAAGGCTATGCTTTGCCCCCTCCCAGTGAAGACTCAGATATTGCCTGCTACTCCCAGGCTACAACTGGGACTCCATCGGAGTTAGCCCACTTGGCTCATGCCTGATATTTAACGTTGTCATTGCACCCTTCAGGCACCAAAATTGGAGAGTTGAGCCTATAATGTGAGCCAGGGTCCTGCCAAAGACGAAGCTGGCAAACAACTCTTGCCCAGGAAACTCTCTTAAAGGAGCCCATCTGAACCTTTATTCTTCCACCTTATCTTCCCTTGGCTCTTAACTGACTTTGGTTCTCAGACTGACCTCTGTGCTGTATGCAGTCTTTGGCTCTCTGGGTTGCTGTTTCTTGGCCAATTTTTCTTCTGCCTACTATCTTGGCTTGTTTCCATCCTCATCCTCCCTGTGCCACAGGCCTCTCGCCGTCAGCTGACCCTGGGATTGCTTTTCCTAACTCAGTCAGGGTACCAATTACAGCTGTCATGGATCAGGATGAGGAAATCTATCCATGCTGGTCACTCTGCACACCCAGCAAAGACCCTCACCTGCTTCTCAGTTGTAAACTGGTCTGCCCTAGCCGAAAGGTAACAGTTTGCCCAGCCCCTGTTTGCACAGCAGTAGAATGGAAATTGCGCTGAGTCCTGTGAAGCTGGCTGACTCACGCTGAAACTCGAGATTTATTTCCAATTAGTGCGATGTGTAGTAGAAGGTGCTCCTCAAGCAGCCTTGCAACACTCCCATTGTGTCCACAGAGTTCTCAAAGATTGTGTTTGGCAGCACCACGACACAGTGGGCCAAAAAGGGAGAAGGGATTAATATCAAGCAATAGAAATTCATTTAAAAGCCAATATTAGTCACTCAAGTGTACATCCGAAGACTACAAAAGCCAAGTATGCATACTGCTTCACTAATGTGAAACTTGGAACAAAGATGAGAAAAACCAGGCATGCACAGGGTCAGACTAGGAATAAAGAGCCACCTGTGAAATGTAATAAGTGGTGGTCTCCTTCTGAAAAAGAGGCACGATGCTTCCATTAAAGGAAGTCGAGGACTAAAGAGATGCTCTGAGCACAGCTTGTCATCACCACTTGTAAAGACCACTGGACAAACACTGTGCCAACCTACCTAACAGGTGTATGTAGAAAGCACCATGGAGATATGATTAGCAGGTGGAAGAGAGCGAGTACTGTGGCAGGAATGTTCTGAGCATGGATGTGCATCACACACAGCTCCTCCACTCACGGATGCTGTGGCCTTGGCCAATCACACAAACTCTCAGGGTCTCAGTGTTTGTCTGTAAAATGCGTGTTCGGTCAGCACCATTCACTTGGCCCCAGGCCACAGGCCTTGGAGTCCTCCTACATTCTTCCATGGGTCACTAAGTCCAGTGCACTCAGGCTTCCAGCATAGTTTGCCTCTTTTCCTCCTCATCCATGTGCTGCCCCCAAACACCTGCCTCAGGTCATGGCGTCTCCCACCCAGGTCACCTCCGGAGCTTCCTCCCTGCCTGAGTCTCACCCTCTTCTAATCAGTCATTCATACGACTTTCAAAGTGATTTTTTAAAAACAAAAACCTTGTGCGGGGCACAGTGGCTCATGCCTGTAATCCCAGCACTTCAGGAGGCTGAGGCTGGCAGATTGCCTGAGCTCAGGAGTACAAGACCAGCCTGGGCAACAGGGTGAAACCCCATCTCTATTAAAATACAAAAAATTAGCTGAGCATGGTGGTGGGTGCCTGTAATCCCAGCTACTTGGGAGGCTGAGGCAGGAGAATTGCTTGAACCCAGGAGGCGGAGGTTGCAGTGAGCTGAGATCACGCCACTGCACTCCAACCTGGGTGACAGAGCAAGACTCTGTCTCCTCACCGCCACCACCCCCCCCAACCCACAGCAAAAAAAAAAAACACCTTGTGATTCTCCCATGTTTACCGCCCTTTTTATGACTCCCAGTGGCTTTCCAGTTAAAGCCCCTTGACCTGGCCCAGGACAATCAGGGTGTGAATTATGCCCACCTGTCTGGTCTCATCCTCTTGCTGTTCCCAGGTGGCCAACTGTCCAAGTTTGCCCAGGACTGTCCTGGTTTTTGTCCTGCGTTGGGGAACCTCTCAGCCCCTGGCAAGCCAGGGAAATTGGTCTCCTCACCTGGGCCCTTCCCTACAGCCCTAAGACTTCCCCAAAGTCTTCCTACCTGGGGCTTCCCCCTTGGCATTTACAAAAGTATGCCTAGGATGGTCCTCTCCTTTTATTCCTCCTGCAAAACCCACCCAGCATCTCCTCCTCTAGGACAGTGGTTCTCCAAGGGTAGGCTCCCAACCACCAACAGCAGCAGCCCCTGGGGGACTTTCTAGGACTTTCTTGGGCCTCACCCCAGATCTATTGAATCAAACTGTAAGAGTGGGGCCCAGCAATCCTCCAGGGGGTTCTGGGGCATGCTGAAGTATGAGAAGTTTGGGAGCAGTGACCTGCTTCCCAAAGCAGACTTGCCTAGTCCCCTCCACACATTACCATGGGCCTGGTTCCTATTTTTATTATTGTACCCATCCCACTAAATTGCAATTATCTGCTAACATGTCTATCTCCCCAACCCAACTACAATTTCTTTGCAGTGTTGCCACTTTCTGTTGCTTTCCAGGTAATATCAGTCTATGTTTATATATCCTTGGCAGTTTTATTAGCTCTTTTATTAAGAGAACATGCTTCTTAAGTTATATTTAGTCTCCTAAGTCAAACCATGTCGGAGAGAAATATGTAATCCTAGTGAGAGGATTGTCAGAAAATGAAGAGGAGCAGGTGCTTATATGCTTCCTTGAAGTATCTGTATGGGTAAATATTGCCCTAATTCTCAATAAAAGTCACAGATCTTGGATACTGTCATTTAATACTGGAACAATAGACAGCTTTTCTCCTGCTCTAAGGATTGCCACCACTTTTCAAACTATCTTATCCCTTGAACTCTAAGGCTGTACACTGAACTTTCAGGCACTTTAAAAAATAAAAAACAAAACAAAGCCTCTGACTTCTCCCAATCACTCCTGAGCATTTCACAGTCTGAGTTTGCACTGTCTTTGTACTAGGAAGAACCCTCACTTTTGATCTCAATTAAAAACACTACCACATGTCTGCTATTAATAATGACAGCAATTTACTTCTGTTGAAATTGAAAGGCTTCGATTCACTTTGAAAATCCTAAATGCATTTCACATGGTTTACAGTCATATTTCAAAGCTTTCTTCTCCTTTATAGGTTTTTCTTTCCTTTGTGTTTTTAAAATAGGCTTAATCTTCAAAGTTTATGGTGGCCATTTGGTGTCTGAAGATGTAGATCTAGGCATACACATATGTATGCATATGTGTGTATGTTTATATTGATTTTATATTGATGTTGATATTTATATGTTGTGGTCAAACAAACCGTTCTGCCTTCTGGGCCAGCTTGTTATTGTTCATGTGAATATAATTTAACTGGTTTTGTTTCCAGAATTTTTACTTGACATGTTGAAAGTCAGTGAATCTAATGAAAAAGAAAAGGAAAAAAAACCTTGCAATGAGGAAACATGATTGTTTTCAGCAAACCACATGTGACATTTCAGATGTATGTTTTATATGGTATTGTCTTGAAAGAGCATACAATTGGCATGATTTTTAAAAGTAAATCATTAGGAGAAAACCTAAAACAACTAATTAACATTCATCAAATACATAAGAAGAAATGTGATTTTGACCACATCAAATGGCCAATCTTCATGCGCTGAACATTTGAAAAACAGATCCTGATTCAAAAGGATTTTTTCTCCCCCAAACAAGTGCTAATGTTCTGGAAGGGCTAGATGGGTCCGGAAAGGACACCTGGAAGCAGTTAGGGTAAGACTTCCCAATATTCAGTAGGAAGCAAATCCTATGCCAGGGCCTTGGCTTGCCGAAGGACTCAGAAAACAGGTTCAAAACTAGGTAAATGGTTTGTAAGGTTATAACTTGGAAGATTCACTTTTAAAGTTGTCTTAAAGCCATTAACAACAAAGTTTGGGTTTTTGACTGGAATTCATTCAATCGAGTAGCTTAGCTGTCCCATTTTTGCTGAATGGACACAAAATAAGCCCACGTGCAATCATGCAATTAACTACAATATAGTTAATCCAGGAAATGTTGTATCTTTATGATGGAACAGCTGAGCATTTTAATTTATTCATTAATTTATTTGTTCATTACTGAAATAATGATTGGGTCCATTAGATGCTCTACAAATTAAATCTTTTTGCACTTGTTCAGTAACTATTGTGAATTCCTAACAGATAGCATATTTTATTATATTGCCTTTTTAACTTAAGTTTGTGCCCAAGAGTTGAACAGACCAAATATTTTAGGATTATATATTCATGGAGCCATAAAGTGAAAGGCGTAGATAGATGTTGGAGTGGTGATTAACGAGAAACTAGATGGAAGTGACAATATATTGGTGAATCAAAAGTAGGCAGGTAAACAAACTGAAAATTCAAATGCTGCTGTATTATTATCTCCACAGGAGTATGCAATTAAAATCAATTAAATATTAATCATAAAGAACTCAGTTAAAATAACCAGATTTCAGTGAACATACAGAATATGCAAATCTTTGCAATGAAGTTAACATGGCATACACTATCCTGAACAGACTAATGCAGGAAAAGAAAACCAAACACTGCATGTTCTCACTAATAAGTGGGAACTAAACATTGAGTACACAAGGACACAAAGCGGGGAACAGCAGACAGTGAGGCCTACTTAAGAGTGGAGGGTGGAGAGGATCAAAAAACTACCTGCTGGGAACTATGCGTATTATGTGGGTGTTGAAATAATCTGTACACCAAACCCACAAGACATGCAATTTACCTATATAACAAATCTGCACATGTATTCCTAAACTTAAAATCAAAGGTTTTTTATTTAAAGTTAATGTGGCATAAACATTCACCAAAATTCCACTTTACAGCATATCATTTATATGAGCCCTTTAAAAAAAAACTGGTATTATTTAGTAAACCAATTATTCAAAATGTATCAAAATTAGAGGCTGGAAATAGCCTTTTAAGACAAATGCAATTAAATTAAACAGGTTACTATAGTCAAGTGGTCAACAATTTCTGTATGATTTTTCATGTACTGCTATCAGCTATTTTTGACCCTTGCTTATTAATATAATGTTAAAAATCTCATAGTCAATATGTTTATAAATAGTTAAACATTTAAAATTATACACACTTTCTCAGGTTAATACTCTTTGTCCTTCACTTCTTATTTGAGACATGAAATTAGCAAATTTCAGTAATCTCCTTGAAGTTTTAAATTTAGCTTTAAATTTTATATAGTGCAATTAAAGCGCCTTCTAACTTTAGAAGAAAGTTCAGTGGAGAAGAGATCATCTTCCATTTGCCTCACCTGAAGGAAAGAAATCAAATTTCTCCAAATTTATAAAACATTTAGAGCCGAGGTCTATTATCACTATTTTTTTTTTACCACATTAGTCCTATTGATTAAAGAAAAAAAAAGTGTCACACTGCTATTTCCTTAAGGAGACATATAGGAAGACTAAGATTTTTAAAATGATGAGATGAAGGTAAACCAAGCAATATTTTAAAGGTTATCAATGATACATAAATCTTGTTCCTTCATGGTTGACTATGCTTTTTTGAAAATCTTGCCTTAGCACTTTGTGATAAAGTGATTTAAATATCTGGCTCTCAGCTCATTTATCTGATTCTTTGCTGTAGTGGCTCTGGTGGCTGAAGATGGCAAGACTCACATTACATAGCTACAAATGGAAGAAACTCTATTGGCTGGGCATCCTAAATCACACCACTTATTTTTCAATCCCATCCACCAATTTCATCAGTGTTTTAGAAATTTACATAAAAAGTTTTCATTTCCTTACCTCAATCAAGATTTTGCAGTGTTCTGTTTCTTTGCAAACTAATCAGAAAGTTTTGCACTTTAATTTTTGGACATTAAATTGGACATTTGAGAGAATTTTCTTTCCAACTGTTTGAAAAGAGTTTGGAAGAGTTTGGAAGAGTAGAGATATGAAGGTTTTTGTATTATTTTAGTAACAAAATCATATAATGATTGAAATAATCACAAACATCTATTTTCATCTTTTTCTACAGCAAGTGTTTCTTTTGAAACCCTTCCTTCCTTCCTTCCTCCCCCCCCTTCCCTCCTTCCTTCTTTTTTAAGTCACTTTTAAGTCACTTTTACTATTATTTATTTTTGAGGCTTGCTTCTCTAGGAGATAGCTTCCCACCGACCACCCAACAAAAACCCTGCTAGGTAGCTCTCCACTGACATGGAATGAATTTTTGTTATAGAAAAGGTCAGAATTTCTAAAACATGTTGCCTTTTATTAATAAGAAATAATGCACTACTTATTTGTATATTAGACAACTTTTCTAAGAACTTTACCATAAAATAGCAGTAAACTTCAGTGTGGTAGAAAAGATTTTCATGTTAACTCAGAATCTCATTACAAAATATTGTAAGTATTTCCATTTAAAATTCTTAGTGAGGCCAGGCATGGTAGCTCATGCCTATAATCCCAGCACTTTTGGAGGCTAAGGCAGGTAGATCACTTGAGGTCGGGAGATCAAGACAAGCCAGGCCAACATGGCGAAACCCCATCTCTACTAAAAATACAAAAATTAGCTGGGCATGGTGGTGTATGCCTGTGGGAGGCTGAGGCAGGAGAATTGCTTGAACCTGAGAGGCAGAAGTTGCAGTGAGCCGAGATCACACCATTGCCCTCCAGCTTGGCCAACAGAAGGAGACTCCATGTTAAAAAAAAAAAAAAAAAAAAAAAAAAAAAAAAAAAAAAAAAAAAAAGATTATTAGTGAATATTAGTGAAAGATCCAGTGGCTGACACCCTAGGCAGATGACATGCCACCTGTCATGGACTGGAAGGGAACAGGGAGAAAAGGTGCCTCCTTCTGTGTGGGGGTCCCCATGGGCACACGGCATTTGATGTGTGATTCAAGACTTCCTGACATACAGACCAACTGAGGATCATGGGCCAGCCTATGAATTAAAAATTAGGGAATCTTCAGTATTTCTTATTTTTAACATAAGAATAACAATAAGGCAAAGTACTACTATTTCCTTCCTGTCCCAACTAAGGCAGGAGGCACACACACACCACTTTGGAAACCTCCTCCCTGGCTTTCCCAGTCATGCCCTGTGTTTCTATCCTCCAGTCTCCAACCTACTTTCTGCCTGGGAAGAGGCAAAGCTATAGCTGCATTGAATGATGTAACATCAACACGTGCCAGTAATACCCTAAAAAGCTCTAGCTAAGTCTATGTTCTCCCTAGAAAACCTCTACCTACTAGGGGTTAGGGAAAGCTTTGATGATGTTCCATGAACTTTGCTGGCAGGGCTTACCTAGGAGTAAAAGCTCTCTGAGCACAGGGAGGGGCATGGGGAGTTTCTTCAACCTCTCTCAGTACACAGGGTTGGGACTCCAATAGCCCAGGCCTGAGCCTGTGACAATGAATATGACACGCTGAGCTCACCTCCCGGCAACCCAGGCATCCCCGACTTCTCAGGACCACAGTCCCAGGTGTCGGAGATTTGAGTCAGCTCTCCTGTCTGACCTCTCATCTCAACGTCCAGCGTCGTCCTCCATCTTCACGTCTCAACACGTTACTTTCTATTCCCAATTTGTTTTCCCTGGCTTCATCTCCTAGATACCTTCTATAAGGAGGCCTGCCAGTTTCCTCCTTCTGAGCTTTAGAGAAGATGGAGGGAATTTCAAGTGGGTTGAGTCAAAGGAAAACACGTGGGCCTGCAGAGCCCAGGATCAGCCAGTCCTCAAACCTGGCTTCCTCTTGACACAGTCGCAGGGGCCGGAATCCACTCAGGAGCTCCAGTGCAGAATCAGGCAGCCCCATGGGGCAGCCATGCAGAAAGCCTGAGTAACTTCAAGGGGCCCCAAGGCAGAAAGCCCCCAGGAACACAAAGGGAGTCCTCCTATGCCTAATGCAGTTAGTAAGAAAGGAACTCTCATTTCTGTGTCTTGTGAGGTGGTCACACAGACCCAGCCCCTGCCTAAGCCCCATTGCCTCTCGGTTCGTGTCCCCATACCTGGACTCTATGCCTTCTCTGTCTTTTCCTCCTATCCTTGACCTCTTTCCTGGTTCAGGACACAGCTTTTCTCATGATCAAAGAAAACTTGGATTCTGTTGGAGACAGGAAGCCCAAACCCAGAGCATGAGGCTCCCGTAAGGGATTTTTCTTCAAGCGTGCTAAGAAGTACAAGAAGAGGCCATGGGGAGAGGAATCTTAAGGACCCTCCGACAACACAGGCATGATTCTAACCATCATCTCAGGAGGTAATCAAAGCTCAAAGACCAAACCATCTGAGGGCACTGAATGCCGACTATGTCCCAGGGACTGTCGTAAACGTCATGTAATTTATTCTTACAGTTCCCTTAGATAGTTATGATGATGATGCTCATTTTTCAGATACAGCGACTGGCATCCAGAGATCTGCTGTAATGACCCCACAAAGCTAGTAATTTCACAAAGCTAGTAAGTGATAGCCCGGGTTGCACCAGGTCTCCTGACTCTGTCCAGTCCTCTTTCCGCCATCCACAGTCTGTCTCAACTGTCAGGTATGTAGAAGGTCTTTAAACATGCGAGCTCACTTCCCACTTCTGAGGCTGTGAGGAAATGGTACTCCCTTCACTTTGGGCATAAAAGCAATGAACATAATCCAGGATATGAGAGAAAATTTTCTGCCTTGTCAAATACTCCAAACATCAGTCTATCATTGGCCTCTAGGGAATCAGTTCATTATTACAAGCTGAGTGTGCAGACAGTAAGTAGACAATTACAGGAAACCCTAGGGACATCTGTCAGGGTCTTGTAGTAGACATTTTTCATTTTTTCTGGCCTCCCAACTAGGGAACTCCATGGACGTGATTAGTGGAGGAGCCCACCTCCCACAGAAAAGCTAAAAATGCCTGCCCCCTCACAGGTAGGGGGTTCAGGTATGAGATCTAGGTATTGCCAAACAGCCCATCCACCCTAAGTTTGGATCATAAGCTTGTGGTGATAAGACGGGTTCTCTAGGAATCCTTTCTGCTATGGGTGGGGGCAGCAGGGGCAGCCAGCCACCATTTCAGAGGGGACAGGGCCATAGTTCTAGTGGCTATTTCCAGAGCCCAATGTCAGTGGTGTCTGTGAGGCAATCTGCACTGTCCGGTCTGATGGTGCAGTGACTATGTCTTTACAAGGCCAGCTCTATGCTTTGTGATTAAATTAACCAAACTTAGCTTCTGCTGCTCTACAACTGAAGGCCCTCCTAGCTTGTGCAATCTGATAAGTGGATCCAGGGCTGTCTGGAGTACTGCAGTCTGCTCTCATAATTGGCTGTGGACATGGTCCCAGGCAAAGGCCAGCACCGGGAGGAGCTCACCTGCTCAGCTTCTCTCTGGGCTGCTCACCCGTCACCACTATTGAACTTTCCATGGTCATCTCATCGAATCTTCACAGCAGCCATCAGAGATCAGCTCTGCTGCTGCCACCACTTTACAAAGGAGAAAGTGGGTGTTCAAGAGATCCAGTGATAGTGCTGGGTGTGGTGGCTCATGCTTGTAATTTCAGCACTTTGGGAGGCTGAGGTGGGCAGATCCCTTGAGGTTAGGAGTTCGAGACCTGACTGGCCAACATGGTGAAACCCCATCTCCACTAAAAATATGAAAACTAGCCAGGCGTGGTGGCACGCACCTGTAATCCCAGCTGCTCAGGAGGCTAAACCTCCTGCTCTTGAACCCAGGAGGTGGAGGTTGTAATCACCCGAGATCGCACCGCTGCACTCCAGCCTGGGAGACAGAGGGAAAGTCTGTCTCAAAAAAAAAAAAAAAAACAACAGAGAGAGAGAGAGAGATCCAGCGATGCATCAGAGTCACACCGATACAGTGAAAACCTCGTTGCAGCGCATCAGACACCAACGTCCGCACTTCTACATGCTACAGCACTCCAGCCTCACCAGCCATTCCTCCCAGACTCAGAGCTATTTATTACCACACAGATCAGCAACTCGTTGCTAACCCTGACAGGGGTCTCACCTTTGATCCAGCATGAACTGATTTTAAAATGGGGAACAGGTTTCAACCTAGACATTCAGACCTCTGCTGCCAATAGCACAAGTTTGAGACACACCTCAAACAGCCAATTCAAGTCATGTCAAATGCAGCTGTGACCTTCAATGCGACTGAAAAAATGTTTGCCTAAAAAACTGTTGAGTACTTAGCCTTAAGGAACAGAATAGAAAGTGCTCTTCCACCATTAGGCAGTCTGTGGCACTCTCTCCTGGGAGCCTGCTGCAATGTCCTGCCTTAGAGGACAAACACCCTATCACTGATAACACAGTCTAGTGGTTTTACGTTGCCAGACCATGAAACACTATCAGAATCCTCCCTGTGCCTCTGATCAGCTGCCTCTCTGCCTTGGCCCTGTGGGTCCTAACTACCGTGGTGCTACATCGTTAAAAATCTCTTTTGTCATCTGTGTTGAGGCTGGGGGAGGCCATCATGGAGTTGGGACAATAGAAAATCAGTGCTCTGAATGCTCATTCAATGCAGATACAAGGCCCAATAATGCCTCCTTGTGCATGGGTCTTTTTGAACAGACGGTTTGTTTTAGTGTTACAAAGCCATGTTGTCTAATCTAGTGACACGTCTCCACTTTATGTAAAAGGAGTGGGTTCTGGACTTTATGGTTTTAATATTGTCTTTTTTGTATGAATGTTCATGTTAAAATGCTCAAAGAAGATTGTAAACTGGCTGGCAGTATTAACTTTGTCCAATTCTGCTTTGTTTTTCTCTAACTTATTCAGTTTATTCATATTACCATGTGTATTTTGTAAATGTATGAAGTGGGCACCACACACACGTGCACACACACACAAAGCTTGATTGTTTAACAGCTGCCTAAAGATGGCTTCATTTGGGTAATAATATACAATGTCCTTTAATACCATTTTTTTGTGTGTGTAAATTCAGGCTGTATTTTAGTCATTATGCATATTTTATGAACTTTAAATTAAATTGCACCCCAAAAAGAAAATGAAAGCTAAACCATCCCATTTCTGCTTTTGTAACAGAAGTTTTGTAAAAACTTCATAAGAACTTGTATCTCCACTTGAAATGAAATTAACTTAATGGGTCGAAGACACCACATCTTCATAGTGCTAGAAAAAGTTGTTCTACTTCTAAAGAAGAAAATAAACAAAGGGGAAATTTCAAATAAACATGGACAGTACACCTCTCAGTAGGACTAAAAGAAACTTCTCTTTGCATTTCCCATGTCTTTTAAAGAGTCATGAGGCTTACTGCAGTCCAGAGAAATGTTTTTAGGTTTTTTGTTTGTTTTTGTCTTTTTGTTTCTATTTATTTTAACTTCAAAGAGTTTTGTATCTAAATGGAATAGAAAGTGCAAAAAATTGCATGGGAAGTCTGGTAAGAACATATCTTTGCTTTCATCTGCAAGATTGGCAAACCTCTAGCAATCCTCCGGTGTCTGTCAAGGTCTGTACCACTTATTTATTTAAGCCAGGTACACTAATTTTTATAATGAGCTATAAATAAGCTTGTTATGGCAGACATTTATGAGATTAAGGTCCCAAACATAAAGATAGACTACTTATCTTTTCCTTAGATAATAGTGAAATACCAGAGTAATTTGTTTGGGTCTTGGGCCAGCCATCACTCACTCCACCCAGCCCCAGGCCACTGTCGCCAATTTTGGAGCCTTTGACACATCTTGAGATCCATCTAGAGCCTGCAAAATCCATCCTGACACAGCCTGCTACTTGCAGGTATCCTCAGCCTTTTCCATCTCACAGTGTTCTTGGACAATACGGAGGATCATCACCATATTCAATGCCAGCTCTTGCCAGGTGTGGAATGCATCAACTGCTCATCTATTGGAAAGGACCTCAGGAGTGGGGCCACAGGCCAGCAGGGACGAGCACTAGAAATCACAGATCCCCAGCTTGCTAGTGATGGAGAAATCACCACTAGGAAATGGAAGAGAGTGATCAAGACAAAGTGTGAGATAAAAAGTTGGTAGTCTTTGGTTACTGCCCTGCATGTGAAGTCTTTCTCAGTAATACCTTATATCCCCTCTCTCCCAGGGGAGAGTGAGGAGAAGGGAGGGAAAGGAAGGGGAAAGAAAGGGAGAGTGAGGGAGGGAACTGTATGTGAGAAGCAGACAATCCTAAAAATCCAACTAACAGGTGTGGTGGCGATCTGTAGACAAGTCCCACTCTTCCTTTTTGCTTTCACGTGGGAAAGAGAAAGGTTTTGCAACCTGATTAATGGCTCAGATAATTGAGATCCTGGATCTACATTACATAAAGTGGAAAACAGAATAGAACTAGATAACATTTACAAGTTAGAACAGAACCAAAAGACAACACTCAGTGACGTTACCAAATTCCCCACCCCCGGCTAAAATCAATAAATAAAACGACCACAGCTATAATGTAAATGAAAGAGAAATCTGGCTGGCCCAGGGCTCAAGATAAACACAGCAAAGCCAAGTCTCCACCACTCCCTCCAAACTCACACCCCAAGAGGGGGAGGGCGGTCTCTGAAACACAGGTCAGTGGTTCACCGGTGGTAAAGGTGACAGCGACACATCGTGAGTGCCATGGAATTCCACCTTTCCAGGTCTCTTCTGGCTCAGGGCTTCACTTGCAGTTTAAATGCAAAAATCCAGATAAAGGCTAATGCTTTTGAACTTACAAATTATTTATATTTTAGCATGAATGCATTTATAAGATCAATTCTTATTCTGTTAAGAAAGAAAGACAGAGGACATAAGAATACTCTGGTATCTTTTGGGAGGATGAGGGCAGAAAAAAGAAGCCCAAAGAGATGAATGTTGAGCCCTGCAAAGCAGAGCACAGCGCAGGGGACCTGGGAGTGAGAGAAGCTGGGAAGTATTTCTCACTGAGAGTCTTTCGTCTAGTCTGGAAGCCTTCTGTTCCTTCCTAATGAAAGTAGTGGTGCACTTAAGAACATGGTGTCTGAAATACAGTGGATGCTAAGTAAATATTCATTGAATGTATGAGTGACTCAAAGTAGACATGGAAAGCACATGTCCACGTTCCAAGCAATAGTCATAATAGGTGGCATAGAATGTGGGAGGACTTAAACGGAGGCAATCGGAGCTGCAGCCCCTTGGGCCACCCCACTTGACCATGGATGAAGCACATTCAGGAATCAGGCAGTGCATTAAGTACTTTCCATCATCCGCTTCCCTAACCCACCATAGACTCTAAGCAGCAACTCACATCGCTCTTAGGACCACTGGCTTGCACAAGGAGTCACAAGTGGCAAGTGATAGAATCAGAATTTTCATCCTGTTCCGACAAACCCCAAAGCCTGTACTCTTAACCACAGGTGATGCTGCCTCCCTTCTTATGGAAAAAGTGAAAATATATTATGATTCCTTCAACTCTTATCACCAGTGTTTGGCAAGACCTTAGAGATAACTCAGTAGATTCTCTTGGGAAATTCTAGAAAACCACTGGTTTTCAAATGAAGAGTGTATCTGCCGGCAGTAGTTCCCACACACATGTGACTAGACTTGTCACTGTAGAGATCTTAATTTTCAAAAATATACATGTGTAAGAGGAAGAATAAGATTTGGTTCTCAGTAAAGCTTTGTGGAACAAAAAAAGGTCTGACATGCTTCTCTCCTTACTGCTTGGCTCTCTGTATACGGCATTCTTCAAGGATTGTGCTGCAACAATTCTTTTCCTTATTCTTCTTTATTCTCAGATCTACCTATTCTCTGGCTGGTTGGAGAGAGATAATTTTGTTTTCAAATTATTTTGGTAATAGATGATTTCAGTTTTTGCTTCTCTAGAAGTCTCTGGCCACAGCCGTGCTTAACCAGCCACCTATCTCTTGGAGCTAACCTGGCCAGCAGCAGATAGAATACAGCATATTTGTCAGCATCACTTATTATCCAAGGTGAGGATTTAGGTCTTGGAGCTGGACAACACATAGGTGGATGTGTCCTCTGGTGGTAGTTGTAGTAACTCCTGACTGGAAGCACTTTATAGTTCCTCCATTCCAGCATCTTCTACACCCCAGGGGTCAGACCTGCATGAATGAATGCTTGGGTTCCATGGCAGGGATTTCTTTCTGGCACAGTGGGAGGTGAATGTGTGGGAGGGGGTAGGGGAGGGTCTTTAAAGCAAAGTTTTGTGCAGGTGATTGGTCAAGATTTAAAACCCAAGCTATTGAATTCAGTACAATAGGCTGGGTCAGCCGTCTTCAGATGGCTTTATAACAAGACGACCCACCTTGAAGAGTGTTTGCTTTCATGAGGTCTGTCTGCCACAGTGGCTTCCATGGAATTGGTGACAATGTGCACCAAGTTAATTTCAGCTTGGGGTGGGAATGGCTTCGTCTCTTTTCCATAAAGCATGAACAACTGCTGCCCTTATCGTCCCCTCCCTGTATTCTTGGAGGGCCACTAGTCTTAGCATACTCTGCACATCCAGCTATGCAGTGGCAAAGAACGTTTTCTGTACTTTGTTCTGCATTAAAATACAGGAAAGGCAGTTTGAGGACCTATAAAGTATGGCAGATTGCACACGGGAATGTGGCCTCTGATGTCTCTGCTTGTCTGTCACTCTCCCAGACAATCCAGGCCTGCTCTGCAACAAGAATAGATTCTTCTGGAATGTTTTCCCCATGGCTCACCCTCATGGAAGCACAAAGGCCATCCCACAGAGGGGCACAAAGGAAACAGCTATGACGAGCAAGGCCAACACAACACAAAACAACACCCACAAGTACCACAGGTAAGACTGACATTGCTTAGTTTACTGTGTTAAAAGACTGTATAATGGTTAGAAACCAGGGGCTTGTGGTGAAGTAGAAAATACTTGGATACCAGAACAGGAAAGCCTAACATATCTTTAGAAGCAGCAAAGGTGGAATTGATGCAATGAAGAAAGGAATTTGTGATGTGGTATACACATTTAACAGGAATCTGGCATACAATTAATTGAATACACATAATGTTTCATAAGGCCCTTGCTTTCCAAGTTTTTAACCATTATGAGAGATAAAATATGACCTTGAAGCACAGGAAGTGGAAGTGGAGGTGGAAGAGGCCCTAAAATGAGATGAGGAGACCTGGAATCTAAATAAGAGTTCATACTCAGGAGAAGGTCTGACTTCAAGGGGTCTCGGTTTCCTCGTAGCCCTAAACCCTCCGCTGAGACTCAAGGCTCTCTTCCACCCATCACGGGTGGACATCACCTCCGCAAGATGAAGAGTTCCACCTAAGTGCTGCTTGCATCTACTTCTACTGATGATTTTGGAGTTGCTCAACCCTCGAGTTCCAAGAGAAAAGCACAAAGGTCTGGTCTAAATGCCAGCAGTACAGCTTTACAGTTTACCACCTGCTGCATCTCTGGGGCACCCTGTGGACACCACATCTGATGGAGACTGTGCTCATCCAGCTATCTCACAGGGGGAGATGTTTTGCGCCCACCGCTGTATGGCCGTCCCCACTGACATAAGATCAGCCAACTGATTGACCTCTTATGCCCAGAGACTCCTGCCTAAACCTGCTGTCCTGTAGCTCATTCTGGATGAGCTCATAGCCATGTTGATCTTTTGTTCTATAAATTCTCCAGACTTTGGTTGGTGTCCTTGACCCTGCTTCAAGAAATTTTCCTTGCCACTGCAGAGCAACGTGTGCTGAGTACGCAGACTTAGAGGCTCTCCAAGAATACAGGGATTGGGAGTAGAAGCAGCAGATAGTTCATGCTTTACACAAGTAAGGCTAAGCCATTCCCAGACCAAGCTGAACTTAACGTGGTGCACATTATGATGCTAGTCTCTTCTCCAGTATGATTTGCCACCATATTTGCTGTTGTTCATTTAACTCGAATGGGTCTGCTGGAGTAAAACATTTGGTTTCATCTAATCAATCAAGAGTCTATGAAGAGTTACTAATTTAGGCACTGGGCTAAAGCCTATGAAAAATTTAGAGACACAGTGTAAGACAATAAACTATACAAGCATGTAAGGTTTTCTTAGGTTTATAGGGTTAATTTATTTTTGACTCTGGGGCATTTTTTTTTTTTTCTTTTAGAGACAAGATCTCTGTCTGTCGCCCAGGCTGGAGTGCAGTGGTGCAATCATAGCTCACTGTAGCCTTGACCTCCTGGGCTCAAGCGATCCTCCCACCTCAGCCTCTCAAGTTGCTGGGACTAGAGGCATGTGCGACCATGCCTGGCTGATTAAAAAAAAATTGTAGAAACAGGGTCTTGCAGTGTTTCCCATGATGGTCTCGAACTCCTGATCTCAAGCAATCCTCCAGCCTTGGGTTTGTGTCTGTTTGTAGAAGTTTTCTCTTTTTGTAAGGACAGAAGCATCAAAGTCACCAACTTCTGTATGTGAAAATAAAACACATTCTAAGTTAGCACCTGGTATGCTCTCGCAGAACAGAAGGTACATAAACCCTCAGCGCCTGTAGAGGCATCTCAAAACTCTCTGAACTTCAAGTTTGCGTCTTTACATTAAACAGCCTTGGCTGTCCTCTGACCCTCAAAAAAAATGGCATGGTGATCAAAGGAGACCATGTATTTGAAAAATCTTTTGAGCATTTCAAAGTTTTATACAACTATGGAGATTAGGCATCGTGTGAACTTTGTGATGTTGAATTTGGTGGCCCAGAGGACTGTTCTGTTTTCGCTTAGCTCTGCTTTAGAGACCTAAGTTTCAGCTAGATGAAATGTGATTTCATATGGCTCCTCTCCCTGAATATGCACAATCCAAAACACACACACACAAATGTGTACATTCTAAAAGGACTAGTCAAGTCCTAATACTGAAAATTTCAGAGATTCATGGCAGTGGGCAGCATTTTAGTAGTTAGCTGGTCCACTTGCCTATCTTACAGCGTGCAATAATCTGTTTTAAACACTAAAACGTTTGAATATTTTATGCATGAAATAATGAACTATAGTACCAGATACCAACTGCAATAAATGTCCAAATAGCCTATGTAACATTCCTACCTTTCCCCTTTAGCTTGAATGTCTCAAAACACATCTAAATCAATTTTTCTACTTTCTACTTTTTTTTTCTGTCTAGTCTTAGAGCTGCAAATAGCACCTTACTGAGAGCCAGAAAACCCAGTGACTCTGCCCCTTTAAAGTTGTGACTTTTAGGCAAACCACTCTTTGGCCTCAGTTTTCCCATCTGCAAAGAGAGACTAGTAATAGCTGAATTATCTCAATGAAAGATAACACTGAATGTAATGTTACAATGATGTAATCAGATGGTAGATTGCCACCCCAGATGGTCAGTTGAAGTAAAACATATTTGGTTTCATATAATCAAAACATAGTGAATTAAAGGAACAAAGTTATTAAAATGTTTGATACATGACTAATTGTAATACGACTAATCTTATAATTTTTCATCTTGTACAATGTTTCTCGAACTTCCTTTTTATTATTGCCCCTGAAGGAAGCTTTTTAAACATTTTTTTTTTACTCATCCCATTAGATTGTAAGTACCATGGATACACTTTACATCTGTTTAAGTACTGCCTTTTTGGAGGGCTATAAATCATTGTAATATCTAAGTTTTTTCACCTCCCCCTCTAAGAACCAATTTTTGCTCCCTTGGGGGCAATTTTGCTATTGGTGAGAATGTATGGTCTAGTCTAAGCTCATTATTGTCAGTGAATTATTATTTAGGGTGCACTTATGTAACACTTAACTATGTGCAGGTATATGCTGCTATTATCCCCATGTTATAGATGGGGAAACTGGGGCACAGCCAGATTAAGTAACTTGCCCAGGGTCATAGAGCTGAGAGATTGTGCCCAGAGAATCTGGCTCCTTAGCAATTGTGCCAGGCTGCCTCTTATTTGTTGTATTTGTTTGAGTGTTGCTATGTGTGCCATAACAACCTCGGGTATGCTCGGAGTGAATACCAGAGTTTTTGTATCTTCCTGTTTCTGTAGTTGGGTGCCGAAGTGGCTTAGGGTGGTGGTGGCTCATAAAGACTATTTTTTGATGCTCTGATCTTATCCTGCCTCATTTACGAGTCCAACAAATGCCCATTATGGAAGGACTTGTGAAGGGGCTGGGGGAGGAGACACACACATAATACCCGATTTTCTTCCTGCCTTCAAAGGGCCAAATAATTTAGTTGCGCAGATAAAGCAGTTAGACATAGAAGGCAATCAGCACTAAAAGGAAGAATCGTCTCTAAGTCACATGAAGGTACAGACAAAAATGCTATTGAGGTCCTTGAGTGTCTCCTGTCCCTGAGGTCATCTCATATTTTCTTCCAGTGGGAAGGTCCATAGTCTTCTCATCAGTCCCCCAAACAGACTCGTGACAGAGGGTAAATGAACAATTAAGCCAAATCCCCTTCATACATACCTGTTCCTAATTTCAGGTGGTTGTACATATGTATCTGATACTCACCAGTTGGTCAAAACATGAATGAATGCTTGCTAAGCTCACAAACATTTTATTTGTTTTCTCTGATAAACGCCAGGAGTATAAAATGGAATGTAACATTTAATTTCTTAACCTCAGAGGCTGTGTTGCTCAGGGATATATCTAAACTGCATTTTATTTTCAAAATAGAGCTTGTTCTAGTTAACGTGTTTAAAAAATATAACTCCAAAATATGCCCCCTTCTAAGGGCCCCTCAGGATAATTTCGTTGTCTTTGCCTCTGAGGGAGCTGTGTAGGATTTTTGAAATTTTATATCTACCATTTCTCAAAGTCCTGCTGTGGGCAAAAGACTGGAAATACTGGCTTAGGTGCTAAAAGGGGAATGGTGATGACTCAACCACTCCTGGCCTTTGGATGCTTCCAGTCTGTGGGAATTTAATGTAACCTCACAAGCTTGGAACTGATATCTGACAAGTTTCAAGAAAAGTCTATTCCTGGTGACATTTTGTAGGCTCTGAGGACTCAGAGGGTAGTCAAATGCTTTCGACCATACTCATAGTTGACTGTGTTCTAGAATCCATGTTTTAAATACCCTGGCCCTTCTTAGAACCAAAAGGCCTAGAATCTCAGAAATTCCAAATGACTAAATGACTTGCATGATGGCCCAACTTTATACCAATTTTCACAATGACTGCGTTAGAAAACCAAACTGTAGCCCAGGTTTTAAGGGGCATTGGTCCTTGTGCCTCCCAGGACAACAATGAAATAGAGCGTTCTACTACTCTGTACTCACTAAAAATCAAGACACCCTCCTAAGAAAATCAAGCTAAGGCGATCACCCAAGCTCTACATCCCAGGAAATTTACTCATGATTGAGCGTTCCTAGGGAAAAGCAAAGGACTGGTTCTGACTCAAAGACAGGCGATTATAGAAGCTCATAGGGCAACTGCGTTTGTGGAAAAAAAACCGCTTGGTAGACACGTGACAGGCCTCGTGAGTTGGTAACTGAACAAATCACAGGCGTTCCAAGAGGCGATGTGTTGTGTGGCTGGGAACTTAGCTCCTTTGAGTTTCCTCTTCTCCATCAGCATGGCCAGGGTTATTTATGAACAGCTCCAGATATTCTAACACACTTGTTGATGCTCTTAAGGGGATCCTGTCCAGCTGTCCCTGCCAAAGACACTCCCATTATCACCAGGACCTGGGCTCCACATGTTCCTGCTTGAGGCTTGGGTTCTCGTAAGTGGTTTGGGGAATTCCCTGTGCTTATTTCAGGGGTCCCGATTCTGTGCTGGATTTAACAGCCACTTATTACCTCCCTAGCAATGCTTGCTTCCCAGTTCTATTACTCTAAACATATATCCACAAATAACCTCTCTAAGACAAATTTACATGTCTTCCTTTTCCTTTCATTATTCTTCTCCAGAAAGAGGTACATTAACAGCAGAAGTGAAAAGTAATGCAGAAAATGAACTTATCCTCGGACAAATCTAGATCTTCTCGACTGTTGGACGTTGCGGGGACATTTTCAGGCAGTAGTAACTCTGGCAGGATGTTATGTTGAGGGTCGAGTATTTAAATCTATGACACTACATGGGGAAAATAAACTGGCAAAACAAATTTGAAACTGCTGACTTCATTCTGGCTACGTTTATACCACACCAGTAAAACCAGTTGGAAAAACAAAAATTGAAGCAACTTGACTGTCAAAATGACACCAAATTACAGCTGACCTGTTGGTTTTATCCTTTTTTTAATAACAAAATCAAAAAATTAAGCACATACATGACCTAACTGTTCTTCTAATATGTGATGAATAACCTAAACATTTTTCCATTGCTGTCAACCTATTTGCTTATACAAAAATGCACCACCCCTAACACTCTCTTAGCCATTTGCTTGTTTCAAATATTCTTTGATGGACTAAAAGGCATCAAATGACTAAAAGACATTGAAAAACTAAACACCACTTCATATGTGTTCTTGGTGACAAGGCTTTTGTTCTGCATAACCAACCAAGTATGCTGTTTACATCGTTTCCAACTGCCCAACATTCGTGAAGAAGTCAAATTCTTGGTTTAAAATGAAAATTTGATTGGCCCTTGGCAAACATTCAAATCTTACAAATCATAGTCTGCTACCCAAGCCTAGCAACTGGGATGAGAGAACGATCAGGTACAAAGTCAGGCTCAGAAAGATGTGGCAGAGCAAGACTAACACAAAATAATGCCTGCGCTCATAGGCATCGTTTTCATGATCTTCTTTTTGCCCACACAGGTATTCTTTCATCTTCAAGATTTGCAAACAGGAGCACATTAATCTTCACAACATCCGTGTGAGCTGAGCAGCTGGTACATCTTATGATCCTCTGTATTAATGATGGAAAGATGATAATGATGGTGATAAAAATTAAGACACATCAAACAGCGTCAGCACTATCACATCAAAACACCCATGGATTTCTCAGGTTAAAAAAAAAAAAAGAAAAGTGGAAACTGTCAAATGTATTCTCATCTATTTTACTATTATACCGTTGCTAAGATCCAACTACTTTTGAAAGTCTAACACATAAGGAGTTGAATTATTGCATTGTTCAAAGGGGCAGAGAATTCTCTTGGGAAATCAGGCATTTATTTTAATCTTTTTTTTAAATGAAAAACACTAACGGTTGCGTCAAGAAATGTTCTCTAGACTCCACTGGGTCTCCTGTCTGCTCTTTATCCTAGTGTGGAGAAGAGGTGACATTAACCTTAGGAGGGGGAAAACTGCTGGAAGAGGGGAAGGGCTCAAGCAGGCCCTTGGCAGAGGAGGGACCTTCCAGGTAAATCAGATGGCCACTGCCTTGTACCCGCATTGGAGAACGAAGGACCCCAGGGGAAACTCTTCCTGCCTTTGGGTCTCAAACGCCCATGTAGTCCCCCCTCCCCCACAAGACCGCGAACACAAATAAAATCAGCTTTGATTGTGGTGATTCAATTTGCTCTGGAAGAGAAGAGGACTCGGCGAAGGGGCCTAAGTGCACGTTCTTAGACTGACAGGGAGCGTTTCTCGGAGATTTCTCCCGTTTCAACAAGTCATTTGCCTAGTGGAAGGGGGAGGAAAAAGTGAACGGGCTCCTGCCTCCTACACCGTGCCCTTCCCAGGTTGGGGCCTATGACAAGGTTCTCCGTGCTCCCCAGAGGAGCCAGGCACTGGGCCGGGGTAGGCGATTTGTAGTGAAGACCTGCACCGCACCCACGAGGGGGCCCAGCACTGACGCATCCTCACCCCCAGCAACCCTCCAGGACTCTCTCTTTGGTCTCCCCTCTCTCCCATGGCTGCGCGCTGGCACACACCCCGGCTCAGCAGGCCGCTTTGCTTGGATCCCACGCCAGGCCTCCAGCCTCGCCGCCCGCACCCCCTTTGAACACCTTTCCCCAGGGGAGTGGGCGGAGGCGGAAGGGTGACCCGCGCATTCTCTTTCCTTGCGGGCGGGGTGCGGGGCCAAAGGCTCCCACCCCCTCCAAGGAGGAAGCGCGCCCGGAATGGGGGACGGGGAGGAGAGAAAGGGGTGCGCAGAGCCAGAGGGAGGCAGAGGGGCCTGGAGGGAGGAGAGGAGGAGGGGAGGATGGAAGGGGTAGGAAGCTGGAAGAGGAGGGGTAGGCGAGAGAGGGGAAGGAGGGAAGCGGGAGGGGAGCGGGGGGAGGAGGGGCGCCCGGAGTGGGAGGAGGGGAGGCGTTGCCCGACGCGCCCTTTCAAGTCTCCGCGCTCCCCCCCGGCGGCGGCTGCCCGGGGGCGGTGGCTCGGCGTCGCCTCCCCCGACCGCCCCCTCCAGGGCCCCTCCTCCGTGCCGCGGCCAGGCTGCCCGGCCGGCGGCGCGCTGGAAATATGAAGAGACGCTGCAGCTGCGGTGGCGGTGGCGGCCACTGCAGCTCAGAGCGGCGCACGCGGCGGCCGGGGCGGGACGCGGGGCCGGGCGCGGAGAAGTCGGGGCGGGCGGCAGAGAGGCCGGGACGCGGACCGGGCCGGGGCGCCCACAGCCGCCCGACGGCGCCCAGAGAGCGCGCGCCCCGCAGCCCCGCGCCTAGCCCGCCGGGCATGGGGCGCGCGGCAGCCGCCTGAAGCCCCGGCCTGGCCCGGCCGCACCCGGCCGGAGGCGGAGGGCAGAGCGCGCGCCCAGTTGCCCGGGCACCAAATCGGAGCGCGGCGTGCGGGAGGCCCCAGAGCAGGACTGGAAATGTCCTGGCCGCGCCGCCTCCTGCTCAGATACCTGTTCCCGGCCCTCCTGCTTCACGGTGAGTTCCCGAGGGCCACTCGAGCGCTCCCAGCCGGCGGAGGCAGCCCGGGCGCCGCGGAGCCCGCGGAGGCGTCGGGTCTGGATCGCGGCACGGCCTACACTGTCCCCTTGGCGGGGCGGGTCCGAGGGGAGCCCCGCGCCTGCCGTCTCAGCCCTGGGAGAGGGGGCTCTGCCCACTTTCCGAGGCTTGGGACCGCTCTCCCCCAGGGCGCCCGGAGCTCTTTGCTGCGGGACTGTTCTTTTTGGAAGGGTGGAAGCTCTCCCACGCAGACACCTTTTATGTCCAGAATCCGTTGCATCCAGTCCGAGGGAAACTTTCGTCCGCTCTGCTGGATTTTCCAACTGTACACTGCCATGAAATCGCCGGCTCTGCGAGCCTTTTTCCAAAATGCCAGAATGCAGCAGGCTCTTGATGTGTTCCAAGCGTTTAGGAGAGTGGAAAGAGAAACTGATCATTTGGGAAAGACACGTCTGTCTGCCTTCTGAAAACTAGTGTTTGTTGTCTGCCTGCACTTTGCCTCGCGATTGAGGCGGGGTTGTGGGGTTTTCTCCCAAGTGGACTGTTGCGTTCTCTGGGTGTAATTTTAAGAAACAGGGGACCCCTATTAGCCAAGATTTAATCATTATTACCAGTCTCCCAATGTGCACCCCAACTTGACGTCCCATTTCCTGGGCTTCCAGTGCCACTTTTCCCCAGGGGTTCTAGTAAACCTTTAGCTAGAGAACATCAGCCCTTTCAGCGGGTTCCAGAAATTGCGCTGAAAACACCAAGACAGAATTTCTTTGGGGTGGACAAGGCAGGTTTTATGGCGCGTCGGGTTCATAATCCTGACAAGCCGTGGCAGATCACGTCGTGTTGATGTGGATGTCCTGAGCAAACTGTCCCTAATGGTCAGACACCTGACGTTTCAACAGCATGACTTCACGGCTCTCCTTCCTCAACACCCACCACAGCCACCCCAAACCTGTAGCGGGCTCCGGCTTCAGAATGCATGGTAGCCAGGACTGAAAGTCAGGCTGAGGACCTTCCCTCCGGAGGATCAAGGAAAGGGAAGAATTGTTAACCCACAAGCCACCGGGATGCTGTTTTCTTTGTAGTCCTGCCCCAGGTGGATGGCTCGCATAGCTCCACAGGCTTTGTGAACTTGTCTGGCTGGGCCAGACCTGTCCAGTTGCCAAGGTGTACTCAGAGCCCCAGTGATCCCAGAATTTTAACAGTCGGGATGGAAGGCTTGCAGAGGGCAAAAAGAGAGAAGGTATAATTATAGGGTTGGACTCCTAGGCCCATCTGCTTAGAATTACAGAGCAGTTTTAATCTTTGGCTGAAACATGAAACAAATCAGAGCCAATGAACAGATCAAACAGCAGCTGCCACACACACAAGAAACAAAAGAGAGAGATGAAACAGGAAACATTGTCCCCCTTAAAAAAATTGTTGTAATATCTGTGAAGAAAAAAGATAGTATGGTCAAATGATTTTAAAATTTAAAAAATTACTTAAAAAGTTGGCATGAACAGCATTTTTTGGGGTAAAATCATTGCCTTTTAAACTACAAAAGTGATCCTCAGAGATGCAACCTTGTACACAAGGTAACTCTGAACATGTTCTCCCTATTTTGAGAGGTAGGGGTTGTAATTATACTTCCTATTTAGCAGTCCAAGCTGGGGTAGTAATGGCTGACAGGTAACAAGAGCCCAAGTATATCCTCAATGAAGACAGGAGCTCCAAATCTCCTGAGTTTGAGAATTTGAGTCTGGAATCTTCCATAACTCCGGGGATCTGAGGGAGGAGGGCTCCCCAGACCCCATGGTGTTGGGAGGGGGATTGGGGAGCAAGGAAATAACTGGGAAGGGCAGTCTGAGCTATAAATGGGAGCACAGTGGAGACAGACCGTGTGCGTGCTGGTATGTGTGTATGCATTTGTGTGTACACATATGTGCATATGTATATATGAAGATAAGATAAAAAGGGAGGTTTGCAAAGTTGAGTTGGGTTACATGGATAAACCGATAAAAAGTTATCCAATTTCAGAAAGAATCTGCAATGGCACAATTATTAAAACTAATGTTGCTCAAAGGTCTACTTAGATCCAGCAGAGAGTATCAGACTCTAGTGCAGAAAATAAACAGAGGAAATCATTGTTCAAGTTATAAATCCTCAGGATTTAAGAAAGGTTTGCCATAATTAGCAAGGATAATGTAAAGCACCAGAAAAGAATGGGATATTCTTCCTTTCCCCTTTCCCCCATGACATCTACTTGATTGAAGTACTTTTAACAGCAAATGGGTATTACTCAACCTAACCAAGGGAATGGTTTGCTGAATATGTCGTACTCAACTGATAGGCGCTTTGCAGGCATTTAAGAATTCTGTAGTAACAGATGGAGTGTGATCATATATTTAAATAGAAGTTATAAATCTGAAGGCAATTCTTGAAATCTTCTAAGGAATTAGTGATTTTTTTTCCTGATAAATAGGCATTTTATTTTGCTAACCATAGGATACCATTTGTCTATTTATGGGTCAACTTAGTAGATAAAAGCATTTGTTCTATGGTGTTGGATGTTCCTGTGATAAACTTTAATAAATTTAGTTTCACACATCATTTAGAGATTTATTTGTTACACCACCAAGTCAGGTTAAGAAGTGCAAGAAGTGCATCCTGTGTGAGGATGCAGTAGATAACCATTATGTTTGGCATCCAGTCTTTGTTCGGTTTTGTGGCTACTTCTATTTCAATTCATTGCAACTTATAAATCACCCCTAAATCCTATCAGTGAGTAAATGAGGCTCTGGCAAGACTTGAGCCTGTTGTTTATTTAAGACTGCAAATGTGGTGCGAGACCCAAGTTCAAAATTTGATGGCATAAAAGTATACATGTCAGTTTTACTTTCCTCCTCTTCAAATTCTGAAAACAATTGCAGTACTTAATCCAAATAAAGCCTATTTAATGTCATGAAGGTATGCAGCTGGAAGATGTCCATTATCACTGTTTTCTTTGCTTAGATAAAAGCCACAAAAGTTTCAGATGTCAAATTCTAGAAACCATTCAGCTCCAAAACACAGATTAGCATGAGGTATCCAGAATAAGTGTGACTGTAATGCCGCAGTGGAGTGCCTGATTCTCTTTGCTAATGGAAACATTTGATTTTGAGTTTTGGAGCTGATGTTGGGAGAGATGTTCTATTCCCACACCCTGTTTACTTTTGTAGAATTCGTTGACTTTTCTGAGAGGTGAAGGCTCTTTCAGCTCTCTCCTTTCATTAAAGCTTATTCTGTCAAGACTTTTAAAAACTTTGCAGATTACCAAATGAGAGTTTAACCGACATAATGTGAGGAAACGTTTATACAGGGTAAAATAGAAATCTTTGAAAAACTATTTTACTAAGGACAGTTTTTGTGACCAAGAAAACATTCTTTCCTGCACTTTTTTCCCTCCTCTTAGTCATAAAAAGAAAATGAAGTCTTGAAAAGAAGCATGACTCACCTGTACCCAACAGGGGCAAGGGTCTCAGACAGATGTTAAATATCCTCTGTTAAAGAGATTGACAAGCCAATTTCATTCTTTTATACTAGCTGAGTTCATTCTTTTTCCCCTTAAATGAGAAAAGAACTAAATATAGGTGGGTGATATGTCTGTGTAATTACATACTACTATTTAGGGACAGACTGATGACAATATAATCAATCAAAGGGAGGCATAAAACATTTCAGACCAGAAATAGAAGATGATGTGTTAGTGATTGTCTACATCGGTTGAAAGATACACAGCAAGGCATGTCTTCAGTAGACTCTTCCCCTGGAGTTGAAGTGATCGCAGGGAAAACCAGGAAAAAATCCGCTACCATCCTGGACGTATGAGTTCTTAATGGGTTGGTTTTGTGTACATAGGCCATTGCTTAGTCCTCTCCAGTTTGGGAATAAAATTATTGTGGAAAGTCATGTGATAGGTATGTACATCTCAAGGTTGGAGAAAGGATATGGTATCATCCTAAAATTATTAAGGATATTCTGTTCTGCAAGGGTTTTCCGGTTTCATTCATTCAGCTAACCATTTATTCAGAAAGTTCATCTATGAGGGCCTACTATGTGCCAAGTGCCACCACTTGCCAGGTCCACTGGCCGAAAGGTAGCATTCTCCCTTCCTTGAGGATTCTTGAAGAATATCTAGGTGAGAGAAGGGAAGAAATACTGATTGTAGAGCCCCAGAGCTGAGTGGATGGCACACTGCAGTTGATTGCACTATTTTCCCTGCTGGGAATCCCACAAGCGTGCACACACACACACACACACACACAGACCACAACTGTGTTGAAGAGGGTGGATGTGGCTAGTCAGCTGCAGATCCAACATGCAAACTTTGCAACCTCTGGTTCAGCTCCAGTGTCCACCCTGAGGACTATGGCACTATAAAGTGGCACAGAAAAGTAACTTGTTTTCAACTAAAGTCAAGTGGAGCCAGGAATTTGAAAACTTGACCTTATTATATTGCTCATAAAGAGAGACGACTTTTAGATATGAAGATTTTAAGATGGGCAAAAGCAGCAAGCTTACTGCAAAAAAAATGGTAATAAAAACAAGAACTTGATAAGCAGAAGTACCACAATGGTGGTAAAATTCAGTACAGTCTGCAATACATACATGCTTTTATTTCAAAAAAATGGAAACCTGTGCTGGAGTTTATCTACCAGCACCCACTTCAAAGCACACATTTACAGTAATGACTGCTTATTTAATTGGGCAGGCAATTTCATGGCTAAGTAATTACTTGCACTTAATCTAATCAGTCACATTTTATGTATCACAACAATTCTAACGAGAACACTTTTCTCAGTCTGATTATTAAAGTATACAGGGCACATTATATAAAGTACAGAAACTTGCAAAATGAACAGAAAAGAATCATTTTAAGCTCTCCATAATGGTTGATATTTTGACATTATACTTAGTCCTTTTCAAGTTCAGGTTTTTTCCCTTAAGCCTTAGAGTACATGTATAGAGATTAACCTGATCAAAGATTAGTTTAGCCCCACGTGTGCTTGAAAATTATCGTTTCCTTCCCAAATAATTTTACATTTTATTATGTGTAAAATAGATCAGAACTTTTGATTTCTCAGTCAATATAGATCGGCAGGTGAAAAACCGTGGAATATATTCATCTAGATAATTCAGATTGTTAAAACTTTGTTGAGGACGGGCACGGTGGCTCACGCCTGTAATCCCAGGCCAAGGGCCTCCTTTGGGAGGCCAAGGCGGGCAGATCACCTGCGGTCAGGAGTTGGAGACCAGCCTGGCCAACGCGGCGAAACCCCGTCTCTACTAAAAAATAAATGCAAAAATATCACCTGGGTGTGGTGGCGCATGCCTGTAATTCCAGCTTCTCGGGAGGGTGAGGCAGGAATATCGCTTGAACCCAGGAGGCGGAGGTTGCAGTGAGCCGAGATCGTGCCACTGCCCTCCAGTCTGGGTGACAGAGCAAGACTCTGTCTCAAAAAAAAAAAAACAAAAAACAAACAAGCAAAAAAAACTTTATTGAAAAATCAAGGACTTGTACATGGAGTATACTGTCCTATTTCACTTTTTCCTGTATATGTCGCAATGATTCAAGCCTAAGAGATACCTGAGCACATAGTAGGCACTCAACCATTTGTTGAATGAATGAATATTGACTTGCAAAAGTCCAGCAGGCACCCCACCCTTTTTCTTCTCTCACTGTCTACAAAGGCTCTGTTTGGTTTCCGGGTACACTGGCGTGCTTCCTTAGCACACCATGGGTTTAGGAATGAGATCTGCTGTGGATGGCTCTAGCAGAAGTACTGTGTGTGTTCCCTTTGGAAACTATGCCAAGGACTGCTTTCTATGTGCATGATCTGGTGAATTCAGGGGATGTGAACAGTTAACCTGACACACAGGCCTTTTATTTAGGGCATAAACCTCCATGTCAATGGTCAACCCTGTGCTTCCTTTCATTTAGGTAACTCTGTTTTTAAAATGTGATATCTTTGGGAATTTTCACTCTCTGGTAGCCTATGGTGATTATGATTGTAGTTTACAATCATTGTGCAGTCATTTAGGATTACTATCATGGGGTAATGTATTCCTTGGGAGTAAATCACTAGTGCACACACGCAGGTGCACACACTTACATACCACCGAGCCCTCCAGAGCTCCAGGATCTCATTTAGTGCTCTGGATATGGTTGTCTATAAAATTATGTCCTAAAGCACACAGGGCTTAATTTGTTTCTAACAGATGAACCATTCCTTCCAGAATCTACTTTATTCTCTGACATTCATTTGGAAGAAACTACTCCCTTTGCCATAATAATTTTATCAGGGCCCAGACCATTGGACCCCCAATGTTTGAGACCATTTTATGGTGGAATCATTTGGATAACGTTATTCAGAATTCCTCTGGACTGGGAACAGTCCCTGGAGAGCTTCAAGTTTAGACAGTACCATGGACTGACTTTACACATTCTCAATCAAGAGTGCCTCTGTACCTGTATAGTAGCTAGCATTTGATCAAATGAGATGATATATACATAAAGTGAATTGTCGAGTGTAATGCAAACATTAGTCATTATCATCATGATCATTATGTTTAATTTATAGAGGAAAAAGAAAGGCATATATTAGATGACTTACCCAAAACCACTTTGAAGACCAAAAACTCACAGCCATTTTCTTAATATTTGTTTAATCCTTTCAGATAACTCTTTTTTGCAGATTCACTCGCAACAAAATCTTAGTGAATGGGAACTCCATTCCCTAGTCCCCTTAATTAACATCTAGAATCTTCAACTAATCAAAATGTTGACATTATTTGTGTGTGTACTCTCACATATAGTATATGGTTTCTAACTCTTGTTTTATCTGTAAAATAAGAGGAAAAAACTCCGTAGTCTACACAGTGTTGTTACGTGTTCATTCCAATACCTTTCTATCCACAGCCCCATTCTACAGGCACGGTAGTGCCTTAAGGCACTTCTAAGAACCTGAATCGTCAAAGAAAGATCATAAGGTCAAACTGCACTTGGCATACAATGGCAGAAGTTTCAACAACTGAATATTGTGATTAACCAACACTTCCAATTACACAAGTAATCCAATTAAGTGGGGGGGGCTTAAAAACTTAGCATTATATATAATAAGCACATTTATTATTATAAATAATAGGTGTACTCACACGGGAATGGTTATTATTAGTGCGGTCCTTGAACTTTGCATTGCTAAACACTGGGATGATTGATTTATGCAATTTAAAATGTATTAAAGGAGGCTGTATATATATTTTACAAAAGTTCCTTTTCAGATGCAGATGTACTGCTAAATTACTTGCTTCCTTCCTTCCTTCCTGTCTTCTTTCCTTCCTTCCTTCCTTTCCCCCTTGCTCCCTCTCTCCTTTCCTCCCTCCCTCCCTCCCTCCTTCCTTCCTTCCTGTGACCCTCCCTTCCTTCCTTCCTTCCTTCCTTCCTTCCTGTGACCCTCCCTTCCTCCCTTCCTTCCTTCCTGTGACCCTCCCTTCCTTCCTTCCTTCCTTCCCTCCCTCCTTCCTTCCTTCCTTCCTTCCTTCCTTCCTTCCCTCCTTCCTTCCCTCCCTCCTTCCTTCCTTCCTTCCTTCCTTCCTTCCTTCCTTCCTTCCCTCCTTCCTTCCTTTTTTAATATAACTTTTTGGTAATTCTTTCCCCCACAAGATGCAAGAGATGGTCATTGCCTCTCCAACACTACACAAAAGATTTACTGTAGTTTGTTGGGAGCTGTTCCCTTCTTTTATCTTTCTCATTTATCCAGTCAATAAATCATACAAGACTGAACCATTGCAGTAGCCTTATCATCGATCTTCCTGCTTTCAATCTGTCCCCCATGTCCCTCCAAAAAAACCAGAAAAGTGATTTTTCCAAAATAAAATTCTTACCATACCACGACATTGCAGAAAATCTTTTGGTGGCCCCCCCTTCACCTTTCCAGTGAAGTCCCCACTCTGCGTTAACAGATGTGTGGTGCTCTCAACTGTGGCCCTGCCTCCCTCTGCCCCTTGTCCTAGGTCACCCCGTGCCCCCTTCTCTTAGAGCCTCCTATGCGAATCTCTCACTCCTGCCCCCCATGCTTGAGTGTGCTCAAGCACACTCCACCTAGACCACTTCTGTTCCATATTCAAGACAGAGATGCCTCTCCATGAGCCCTCAAGGAAGAATTCAGACCCTGCCCCCTCTGTCTAGAGTCCTCTACAACCCTACAGTTTCTTGCCCAACCGAGACTCCCTGGGGCAAAATGTTTGTAGATGCTATGTCCAGAACAGTGCCTGGCCCTTCAGAGCCTTACTGATTGGATGAATGAATGATTCGCTAGTTCTAGTCCCGAATTTGGAATTGACTTACTTCAGGCGATGCAACAAACACAGGAGCTCCTTAGTTGACCAGAAATCTGAGACAAGTGTCCCTGGAGGGCACACCATGACTGATTCTTGAGAAGGAAGCTTTGGGGTTTACCGGTCTAACTTTTATGCTTGGCCTCTGCTGCAGCTGAAATTGGTGCTTCAAATGACTTTTTAATTCCCAGCCATTTAACAGAAGTAGTACTCACAGGAAAGTCATCCACATTTGCCACATCAGATGAGCCAAGTAAATACTGGATACCACTTGCAGTGGTGAACTGAAGCCCTAAGAGTCAGTTTCTCCTGCCTTACTGCAACTTCTTTCACTTGACCCATTTAATTTTGCTCCTTAAGAGTAATGAAGATGTTGGGTACTTTGAAGGGAAAAGATAAAAATGGAATAAATACCAACCCCATTTTTCCATCTTAGAAATAGAATATCACCCTAGAGTGTGAGCCTGAAATCACTGTGTTCTTGGGGAGCTGTGCCAGCCTTGGGGTTCTCCATCTGGCCGCTCACATGGGTGCCCTGGCTGCACTGCCAGCCTCGCTGGGTTTCCGAGCTGTGCTCATTGTCAAATGTGAGCAATAGCAAAATGGATATTGATCTTTAGAAACCCTGGGCTATTTAATGTCTTTTTTTTCCTGCTTTCCAATGATTTGCATATTGGAGGTTCTTAGATTGTATTTCTTCCATCACTGGTTAAAAACGTAACTGTAGGCCTCCTTTCCCGTGTGACTCTAGTCTTATGAATGACCCATACAAATGCTAACCACCACTCCCTCTCTCTCTGCCTTTGAACTCCCTAACTTCCTTCCCAGAACCTCCTTCATCATTTTGACCCTTGTTCTTTGACATCCAGGCCAGTGAGACCTTAAAAGCTTCAAAGTAAACACACACACACACACACACACACACACACACAGACACACACACACAAAAACATCTTTGTTAGTCTTTATGTTTCTGGCTCCTAAAGTATAGCAAATAAAGGTTTATAGTGTTTTATTTGTTTATTTTAGAGACAGGGTCTCACTCTGTCACCCAGGCTGGAGTGCAGTGGTGCGATCATAGCTCACTGCAGCCTTGAACTTCTGGGCTCATGTGATCCTCCCGCCTCAGCCTCCTGAGTAGCTGGGACTACAGGCATGTGCCACTGTGCCTGGCTATTTTTATTTTCTTGTAGAGATGGGGTCTTGTTACCTTGCCCATGCTGGTCTCAAACTCCTAGCTTCAAGCTGTCCTTCCACCTCAGCCTCCCAGGGTGTTGGGATTACAGGCATGAGCCACTGTGCCCAGCCTCCTTGATAGGTATTTGTTAAACTGAGTAGAACTTAGCAGCAACTGCAGAGCTTGGCACTTTGGGCCTCACTCTCTTCTACATTGAGGGTCATCATTTAACTTTGCCTGGAGGCCCTATGTCCTTATACTTTGTCCTCCTCAGAGCTCAGAGTGAGCCTGGCTCCTCCATGTGACTTTACCATGATTTTAACTGTTCTGTTAGTTAGAGGGGACTTTTTGAGGGTGGTCTGAGAGCCGTATCATTATTTGAAATAATACCAACCAACATGGAATGAAAGGCAGGGTGCTAAACTGAAACCAACCTTAAGAAGTGGGTGATGTTTTTATCCCTTCATAACTGACGAGTAGACAGAGGCTTGGAGAGTTAAGTGATTTGTTTAAGGTCACTGCGCTAATACTGTGTTTTAGTGACTGCAAGATACCCATCTTTTTCGTACTTTAAGATCTCTGCAGGCCGTGTGCATCTCACAATCAGTGGGGGCCCCAGTCTCCGTTGGCCTCCAGGCAGCAGCCATGAGGGGTGACATTCCCTTTGCCTGTGTGAACCAGAACACAGATGCTCATACTGTCCCCACATCACCTTTATGTCCATCCTTGGGACTCATCTGGAGATTCATTGCAAATAGGCTGATTTTGAACATCAAGAGAGTACACATCTGAGTCAGCATGCTTGGTTTTTTTCTTCCCTCACTCATAAATTACACTCTCAGCACTGAAAAGAAAAACCACAGTGAAAATCAGACAGATCTTCTAATAGAGCAGTGGAGTGTTAATTTGACATTAGTGAAGCAAATATTTATTGCTGGAAGAATAACTGCAACTCCATATTTTCTCACACAGCATCAATCAACTACTTGGAAAGGAGAATGCCCAAAAAATATAAGGCATTGTTTTTGTTTTGTTATTGAGACACGTGCAGAGCAAACAGATTATCTGTCACACGTGCAGCAGTGCCACCAAATGCAAGAGAAATTGCCAGATGTCTTTGACTAGATACAGAAATGTCAGTGCCATCGGAGGCTGCTGCAAGTGATTCACGGGTATCTCGTGACTGTTGTTAAGGCATCATATCATTGTGTAAATGTGCGTGTTTTGTCACTGATAATAAAATAATGATACATCTTAACACTGCTTGATGTCTTGGATTCAATGCAATCCTTCAAGTGGCAGATCTAGTTTCAGACTTGAGCAGCCGAGCTATAGAGATTTTAATCCACATCCACTACACTCCTGGCTTTTATTATCTTCATGGGAAAATACTTGCAGGGTGTAGAGGTTTACAAATCAAGTTTTAGAAGATAGCTTGGTTGATACTGAGATGATGGCTTCTTTACTGAATGCTTAGTAGCATATTTATAGCAGAATCTTCCCCAACTCCCAATACCTTGTAACTTTAGCTAAAATCTATTTTAAGTTAGCCACATCAAAATCGATCATACTGTTGACCCACCAGACAGCAAGTTATACTGGTTTCATTCCTTGACTGCCTAGCAGGGACACTGAGGAAATGTTGACAGTTACCAAGATAACTACAACTGTTGAGGCTGGCAGAGGTCCAGTAAGCAGTCCCCTCTCCCCTACTCTGGTTCAGAACTAAGGGGGCGTTCAACACGAGGGTGAGGCACTTGGGGATTAAAACGTTAGTGTAGTGATAAATACTTAATCAAAAGACACAGTGTAGATGGGTGCCCATGATAGGAGTGCTCATAGTTCCCCCCGAATGTTTCAGACTTCCCATCTGGCCCAGTGCCACAGCTGAACAACTAAAGGGACATGGTCCTCACCCCCTGGGGGAGCTGATCAAAATGCATGTGCTTTGTAAATAGGCTGGTTTTGAAAAGAGAAAAATGACTGAATCAAGCATGCTTGCTTCCACTTCCATAACTCATGTGACTTCACCAGGGGAGGGCAGAATGAGGGAGGGGGAGGGAATGCCCAGGAGTACCACTCTAGTGGAGATGCCTTGCCTCAATGGAACTTGAGGCCTCAGGAAAGGAAGCCCTGGCTTAATAACCATGACCATGAATAATAACAACACTAGGCAGAGTTTTCATGTTTAGAGTTTGCCCCATTCTAGCTCAGGCAAGAATCAGGGGACTTGGCTAAACAGGGCTGAGTGAGGTTGCCTTTAATTTGAACATGGCACTCTCCTCTTTTGTCTAGAATCTCTTTTCACAATTTTCATTTAGTTGAGTAATACCCTTAGGTATATTTGTCTCACTGACATTCATTGCATGTAAAATCTGTAAGAACGATCAGAAGCTGTCTTTCCATCTCAAAGCCAGAATTCTACTTAGAGGGAAAATCTGGGAGTTCAGATACGGAAAATTCTGTCTTCTCAACACCAAGACTTTCCATCAAAAACTAGTTTAGTCTTTTGAATGTTTTGTCCACATGATGGTAAATATCTGAATATTTAACAGATATCTGAAGTTACCATCCTGCAGGTCTCAGTTTATCCAGGTAGATTTTCGTCATGTTGCTGTAAGTGACTATATTCTGAATCTAACTTCTCATTTTCAAATCATCTCTCAGAAACCGTGCCTTCTCTATGAAGCTATTTATGTGTTGATTAAAAAATATAATTGCTTCCTCACCAGTAGCATTCAAACAGGTACATTTTATTTATTTTGTATATTTAAAAAAAGTTTGTACAGTTGTCTAACTAGTGTCTTTTCTGCTAACACAGGGCTAAATACGTAGTAGGTCCGCCATAAATGCCTGTTGATTTGTTAATCACTTCAGGAGTGAATATCAGAGGAGACCGTGGCTTTCAGATAATAATTCCACCAGTTTTAATTGCTTTATTCTGAACATTAGGCTGGTGGTAGTTTTGCATGGGTAGATTGTGGCCAACCTGCATGACTCGTTCTGAAGATAAGTTTACTGCTAGTATGTCTTTACCCCTGGGAAATAAACATATGTAATCTTCTTGCCATTATTCTTAATTTAAAGCCCTGTATTGTATGTTTAGGTTATTTCTGGCCTTGTGAGGGTGAGGGGCTGGACTTGGAAGATAATTGGGGGGGAAATGTCACACCACGTCCCTATTGTAGGAGGGTGCAAGGTTCACACCACGTGGTGAGCAGCCCTGTAGAGGGCATCCACTTGAAGACAGAGAACCAGAAGATGCATGGCTTGGTGTAAGCAGATGGAGCCAAGCCAGCAAGCACATCCCAGCTGGGAATCTTCCTAGTCTCCTGGGCCTTCTCCTTCCATCACTGCCCAGGCTGCAGTTTCATTGAGGCTGGTCTCCTTGTTCTTTCCTTTCCTCACCTAAATCTGTCATTGTGTAAATTCACCCTTATTGATGACACCTCTTTCACCTCTCCCCACCTCCTCCACTTTGGTGACTCCAGAACATGTTCATTTCTCTCTGCTACAGTGCCAGTCACCTTCCCTTGGCCGCCTTGCACAAACACTCCTCAGATGCACAACCTTCATTGTTGCTTCATAGATGCATGGATTTGATCTCTGGCTTTGCCAGGAACTAGCTAAGTGACCTCAAGCAAGTTATGTTGGTGATCTCCAAGGACCTCAGTTTTCTCACCAGGGAATTGATCTACAATGACACTTGCCACTTTGGAATGTGCATCATACACGAGAGCACGCACTGTGATGACACCTTGTAGAATAAACAATCATTTCCCACCTTCAGCCACTGTCTGCTGCAGAGGTGGTTGTTTGGCCTGATTCATGTCTGCTGCTACTTCTTCTTTTGGCTAACTTTCCACCTTTATTTTTCAGGGCTGGGAGAGGGTTCTGCCCTCCTTCATCCAGACAGCAGGTCTCATCCTAGGTCCTTAGAGAAAAGTGCCTGGAGGGCTTTTAAGGAGTCACAGTGCCATCACATGCTCAAACATCTCCACAATGGTGCAAGGATCACAGTGCAGATGCCACCTACAATCGAGGGCCACTGGGTCTCCACAGGGTAAGAGGACAGGTGGGGTCTGGGAGAGGCCAGAGAGCACACCACTATGGAAGACCCTTCTTATGGGTTCTCAGATGCAGAGACTTTATATCATTTACAATGATTTAGGTGTTGTCCAAGTTCTAATGAAGAACCAAACCACTCTTTGAAATTATGGTTGGTTAAGAAAAAGAGCTAAGTACTGTAGAAATCTTATGCTAAAGCAGAGATTATATTGTACTCCTGTTAACCACACAGTGTGAGTGAATAGATCCTTGTTTACTGAACTCTATGGGACCACTTGTGTATAAAAAGAAACCATTAGCAAGTGAAATTAAGAGACTGTGTTTCACCAAGCCTGAAACATGACTTGCAAGCTCCGGATGGTCTAAATATTCTAGCCATATTCTGGTAATTTAATATATGGCTTCAGGGTTCTAAGAGTAAGTTAAAAGCTACCTCTACTAGCCAGGGTGCAGTTCTTGGATTCTTTTCCATGCTATGAAGCTGAGATTTATCCCAGTTTGAGCTCTGGCTTATCTTCCATTAGAGCTTTTAAAAATAGCCGAGAGGCAGATCTGCGATTTTTTTTTTCTACCCATTAGATTGCTGAGAATTAACAAGACTAACTCTGGGATCTGATCACTTCTCCCTGTGCGCTGTTCCCGGGATATGGATAGCAGCCTTCAAGTTCCTTGGGGAGGGATCAGATGAATATGGAGAAGAGAAAAAAAGAAATTGTATAAGATGATGAAGACCCAGAATTTTATTTCATAAAAATGAGGTCTCTCCAAATAACCACGATAAACAATTTGTATAAACAACCTTCATGTTACATACTTTTAAAATATTTATCATTTTATTCAACAAATATTTATTGAGTGCCTACCATATGCCAAACACTATTTTAAGTTTTGTTTATATAGCAGTGAACAAAACAGACCTGGTCCCTGTCTTCAAGGGTTTTATAAGTAAATACACAAGAAGTACTATGAAAGTGGAGGGGTTGGGGCAGCAACAGGTGCTAAAAGAGAATACCAGGGGGCCCCATTTTAAAATCAGGGCGGAGTTCAGAAAGCCTACCAAAGAAGGGGACCCTTGAGCTGAGACATTGTTGGCTGTGCAAAGACTGTGGGAAGAGCTTTGTATTTAAAGAACCAGATGCCAGGCTAGATGCAGAGTGAGCAAGAGGCTGGCTAGATTGGAGGACCTGCTGGCTGAGAACCCTGTGGCTGGGATGCAGTAAACCAGGGCAGACAGCCTCACATGAGGCTGCTGGGGAGGGTAGGCCAGCTCTAAGGCATCTTGCAGACCAGATCTTCTAACCTAAGAGAACTGAAAAGTCATTGAAGAGCTTTCAGCAGGGGCCATGCTTAAAATATGATTCAGCTTTTTGAAAGAGCATTCTGGCTGCTGTTTGGCAAATGGACGGGAGAAAAAGTGATTTGGGGGTGACCAGTTAAAAGACCTTTGCAGCCGTTCTGGTTAGAGAGCACAGAGGCTTAGGTAAGAGGAGCTGCAGGAGCAACTGAGAAGTGAGTGGGCCTGAGATCCACTGTACGTGGCAGGCAGAATCAACAGACTGTTGATGCTTAGATTAAAAAATTAAACAAAAGGGATCTTCTTTTCTAAACCTCATCTAACATGAATCACTGCTTACACTAAACTTCTCTTTCCTTGTGGGAGAAATCTGGGGTGTTTGCTCTCTCCTTTTTCTAAGATTACAGATACCCCAGGTACTGTTGAGTGCTTTATGTCCATAGGATGTTACTCGACATCAGTTGTCAAACGTTACATAGCAACGGTACCCCTGTCTAAATAATGCTTATCTTTCACCAGTCCATCAATGAGCAAATTAAAATGTTAGCAATTTTGAAAACCACTTGTGTTTGGCATTTTAGCCTGACTGCTTGATTTAGCAGCGCTTCGTCAGTTCAAACCAGAATCTGTGTTAGCATCATAGATGAGAGCAGAGTGGGAAGGCCAGAATTGATGAGCTGAAAGTCATGGCGTAACTGAGACTAGGAGCTAACAAAAGGCTAAGGCCAGGTCATTTGGCCAGGGCTTTAAGTACCTCCCCGTACCCCCATTGCAGCCTCAGCTAGTATATGTGAATGGCTGACAGAGCCGTTTGTGAAATCCCTCAATTCCATCCCGCTGCTGTTATGCTCTGTAGATTCTGTCTCAGTGCTTCTGGCTCAGGAACCTAGCATTCATCTAAGGCCACACTGGCAACCATCATAAACAAAAGGAACCCTTATTTCTGTTGTGCCAGCTTTGCTTTTAGTTAATTGCCCCCTTTACTTTTCTACTAGAGAGAAAATTAATTCTGAATGGACAAGAAGATGCTAGATGACTAGATTCTGTCTCAGGATGACAGACATTTTGCACCTGCCTGCTGTAGACAAGGTCCATAAAATAAAAGTGTTCAGGAAGTCGACCGTTTTTGAACTAGCGTAAGGGAACTTCTTTTATAGGCCAGCACAGCACTCATCCTCCTTATCCAGAAAGAAATGCCTGCACAGGGCAGCAGGTGTTTGCCCTCCTGGCCTGCTCGTGAAGCGAGTGGAAGGCTGGCTGAGGCAGAGTGATTAGGAGCACAGCATCAGAGCCAGGCTGCCTGGATTCATGGACTGGCTCTGATACTTGCTGGTCATGTGCTCTTGGGCATGTTCCCTAACCTCAGTTTCCCCACCTGTAAAACCTGGGTGATGATAATACCTAACTCCTAGGTTGTTGTGAGGAGTCAATGAGTTGGTATCTATAAAGGGCTGACAACAGAGTCTGGCCCATCGTCAGCACTTTATTATTATTTCTGTAATTTCTTAATACTATAATGAATCTCTTTCCCATACCTTCAGGCTTACAAAGGTCTCTTCTTCCCCTTTTCTTGCCCAGCTGTGAAGTAAGGTCAGGCCCAGAGTTCATCACAAGGTCCTACAGATTCTACCACAATAACACCTTCAAGGCCTACCAATTTTATTATGGCAGCAACCGGTGCACAAATCCCACTTATACTCTCATCATCCGGGGCAAGATCCGCCTCCGCCAGGCCTCCTGGATCATCCGAGGGGGCACGGAAGCCGACTACCAGCTGCACAACGTCCAGGTGATCTGCCACACAGAGGCGGTGGCCGAGAAGCTCGGCCAGCAGGTGAACCGCACATGCCCGGGCTTCCTCGCAGACGGGGGTCCCTGGGTGCAGGACGTGGCCTATGACCTCTGGCGAGAGGAGAACGGCTGTGAGTGCACCAAGGCCGTGAACTTTGCCATGCATGAACTTCAGCTCATCCGGGTGGAGAAGCAGTACCTTCACCACAACCTCGACCACCTGGTCGAGGAGCTCTTCCTTGGTGACATTCACACTGATGCCACCCAGAGGATGTTCTACCGGCCCTCCAGTTACCAGCCCCCTCTGCAGAATGCCAAGGTACCTCAGAGCTCTGTGTTCTCCTCTTTATTGAGTAAAGTGGGTGATCCTTCTTAAAGGCTTGCCATGGGGGCTCTAGGGCACCCTTGAAAGGGGGAATTCTGCATCATGGCGGGGCAGGCCAAGGTGGGGCTGCTGCGAGGTGGGAGGAGATGGGAAAGGCTGGGGCTGAGGGTGCTTTAGCCAGTCAGGAGACCTGGGTCTGCCACCAACTTGCTCTGTGACTTGGAACCTCGGTTATCCTACTGAAGTGGGTGGTGGCATGGGATGATGGTTCTAGAAAATTCCTAAGGCTCCTTTCAGCTCTCCCATCCCAGGAACCTCTTCAGTGATTCCAAGAGGACAGTGTGAAGGCGATGTCATAACCACACCTGGAAAAGATACTAAACAATAGCAGCTACCCAGGCCCTGGAGGAGGCGGGGAGGGACAGAAAGGGGAGGTGACAGTGGGATTTGTGTGGGGTGTTAGACTCCACGGAGACTGTCCACCAGAGTCACCCTGGTGAGTCCCGACACTCTTAGGCAGAACAGCCTGCTGAGGTCCCAGGGGTTATGGCTCCTGCCCAGGCCACGCGGCTACTGAGTTTTCCTGCTGGACCATGAGTCCAAAGGTCCTTCCTCCATACCCCACGTTCTTTTCATTTCACTAAGGAAAATGTAAAGTCACCATAATCAGAAGAGGGGACTAAGGAGAGCAGGAAACAATTAAACCTTATAATGTCTTTTCCTTGAATGATATTCTAGTAATTATATTTGGAATTCACAAGGCATTTCCTTCCCACAAGCTTAGAGTACACGTCCATGTGTAACTCGATCACCTCCACCATCTCCCCGCAGAGCCTGTGAAGTCCCAGGCAGGAGGGGAGTGGGCTTCTGCCCAGTGCGTAGTGTGAACGTGCAGACCCGGGCCTGCTGCGGGTGGGCGGTGGGCAGGTCTCTGTGGAGTATCTCCCCGGCCGTCCCCATTGACTTCGTGGAACACTCTCTAGCACGGTGGCTCTGTAACTGTGGAGCCCTGCTTAACTTTTGTTTGGTGGTTTCTTCATTTTTTAAAAATCTTTTTTCTTATTAGTCCTCCAAGACTACTCATAACCAATAGAGGTATCACAGGGCACTTCTGCCAAAGACTGCTCCGTGTTATCTTTTTTTAATCTATGTTATTGTGAGCTTGTGCAATGCAAGTGGCTCTTATTATAATAATGAAATAGCTACTGAGAAAGCCCACCTGGTGGAGGCTGCTTCCTCTGGATGAATCTTTTCATGGCTGTGTCCCCGCGTGTGAGATGAAGCCCTGTGCTCAGCCCATGTGCCCAGGCCCAGCATTCCTGCCGGCTCAGGATGCCCTTGGGGGTTTGTTCCAACACAGATCAGGAGCCAGGCTCATTTCATTCTGCCTTGTAAGTTTCAAATGCACTGAAGAGGCCAACATGAATTAGGGCAGAGAGGGAGGGCAGCCTCTGATGCCGGCTCCATTGCTGCAGCTGTCAGGGGGTCCCAGAGGTTTTCCTAGAATGGGACACAGGGAAAGGAGACCAAAACTCTGCCCTTCAACATGTTGATTCCCCTGGGCAGGTATCAGAAGGAGAATCGGCTCATAGGGTGATACCTGGACTGGGGTGTGCTTTCTGGGTCAGGGTTGAGTGGGTGTCTTGGGAAAATGGGTAAGAATAATGGGCTTCGAATTATACTTTGGGGCCTTTCTGGTTGGCAGCACTGCCCAAAGGCGGCACTGGACACTGTAGCTGCATAGCATTTCTCTTGTTTTATACTGGCCAGGTCCACTTGGTTTGAGATAGTAGCAGGAGAAGGGGCTTCATACCTACCTTTGGCTCGCTCTGAGTATAGTCTAGCCACCTTTCTGGGATTTTTTTTTTTTTTTTTTTACGGAGTTTTGCTCTTGTCACCCAGGCTGGAGTGCAGTGGCACCATCTTGGCTCACTGCAAGCTCCGCCTCCCGGGTTCAAGTGATTCTCCTGCCTCAGCCTCCAAGTAGCTGGAACTACAGGCTCCCACGACCATGCCCAGCTAATTTTTGTATTTTTAGTGGAGATGGGGTTTCACCATGTTGGCCAGGATGGTCTCCAACTCCCGACCTCCAGTGATCCGCCCGCCTTGGCCTCCCAAAGTGCTGGGATTACAGGCGTGAGCCACCGTCCGCCCGGCCGCCATCTTTCAAATGATCTCAGGTAACGGGAGGAAGGTGTGAATGTCATGAATTAAAACGGCCCACAGATAATCCAGAAACCTGGGGTTAGCCAGGAGCATCCCCGCAACCCGCCGTTCCCTCGGGGCCTTTGTGAAGGTCTGCTGAATAGGAAAAGCCTGCCCACTTTCTAGCAGAGACACCAAAGAGCCTCAAAACACCAAAAAGCACGGGGAGCCTTGAGTGCGAGGTCTGAGTGAGGAGGCAGGTGCGGCTGGGGAACTTGCTGGGCGGGCGTGGGCCGGGCTGTGGGCTCCGAACCCGACCTTGGACTAGTCCTTTGCACCCACTCAGGTTCTGGTTCCTTTTCCTCACCTTCATGCGCCTGCACGGGCTCTGATCTCTTCTGCTCTTTTTAGTACTGGGGGAAAAATTAACCATCATCACGTTTATTTTCTTACCTGCCTCTCTACCCCGTTGCACTCCTGGGTGTGGCTCCGCAGATGGAGTCTGAAAGCCCAGTCAGCATTGTTAAGGCTGGCGCCCAGGGGTACTCCAGGAGGGGACACTTCATTCCCGTCAATGTCCCTCTGCAGACCTGTCTGTGGCTCCTGGAGGGAAAATGCCCCACAAGTGAAAATTATTAAATATTGGCATGGCAATTAAAGACAGCAATTGTAAAGCTGACCTTTTTAGAATTTAACACCTTTTGGACAAATTGGCAAGTATGTGGACTTCAGAAACGGTAGCCAATCCTGGAAGCCAGTTCTGCTGTCATCAGCCGTGTGGCATTGGTAGTTATCTGACCTACTGGAGACTTCATTTTCCTTTTCTGTAAAATGGCAAAAATATAAGAATCAATAGGGTTAATGTGCAGAATCCTGTGGGCATCAGGATAGGGCCTGAATGCAAAGCTCCATCTCTCTTAACCTAGAGTAAGTCGCCCTTCTGGGCCAATGGCTCAGAGAGGAATGAAAATGACAATGTCGACTGACCAGGGAACATCAAAGTGTTTCATGATGCCTAGCCATAAAACACTTCCTCCCATTTTCTCCTCCCTGCTCTGCTAAGGCAGTTGTGGGAACATTTACCCAGATTCTTAAGAAATAGACTCTTTAAATCCCAGGCCTGATTCCTTGATGACAGAAAATTAAGGTGGAAAGAGCTTTAGGACCTTAGATACTACACGAGACATATTGTTAAGTAGGAAAAAAGGAAGTTATAAAATAGCGTGAATAATATGATACCATCTGCATAAAACTAATAATGAAAGGAGAAGAAGAGGGACTCTTTGCAAAGGAATCAGATATTTATGGAGGAAATTAATGACTGCCTCAGAGGAAGTGACAGAGTTGTCTATCTGGGATTGTCGGACAGAGACTTCACTTTTGGTACCTGTTGCATTTTGTGCTGTGATCTTCTATTACCTAAGCACAGTCATCACAGAAAATTTAGATTAAAAAAAAAAAAAAGCAAGCAAACACTCCCAGACCCAGAGGAATGCTGTGGCCACAGATGCAGGTGGCAGCCCAGCTGGAAGGAGGACCCAGGCTTCCTGAGCCAGCCTAGCTGCCTCGCAAGATGGCTGAGGGGGGGGGGGGTCAGTGGAAGGCCGAGTGGCTCTGGTAGCTGAAAGGGTCCATTCTTCTCTTGTCTCTCGCCTTGTACCTCTTGGCCTGCAGTGTGCAGCGGAGTCTTCAGGAAGTTTTCAGATCCTTCCCCAGGACAGCTCTGAGAAGGAACAAAATGGACTCAGCCATTGGTGTCTTTCCAGACCCGGGCACCAGAAAGACTGGGCACTGTGTGCCCACGCGGGCCCAGCCACAGCAGGTTGTCCGAGCTGTCTGTGGCCGCCAGCGGAGACAGGAAGAAAGGCTGGGAGAACGTCTTCAAAGACCGTACACGCCTGCCCAGGAGAGGCTGGAACCTCCTCCTTTGAACTCTTCTACTTCCCTAATTGCTGGTCCATAGAGACCAAGCTGAAAATTAGTTTAAATGCTAAATTGAGTTTCAAACCACGAGCCTCAGCCCCTCTAGAAACAGGACACCGTGTAAAAATAGAAACTTTAAGTCAACTTGTTTTTCTAAGCTTTATACAGCTTTGCTGTGAGGTCCAGAGTCCTTTGGCAAATAAGTGACGTTTGAAGAGATTCAGGTGTGCTGGGAGGGTTCATTCAGGATGGAACTGGCTACTCTTCATTATAAAAAAGTCAAGACAGCGTAAAGTAACCCTGAAAGAAGATGCTTTGCCTGAATCAAGTTTAGCGTCAGAGCAGCCATAATCCTCTGCCGAGATTCTTCAGAACTATGCAGTTGGAGGGGTAGAAGCCAGGCTCATTCTTTCAGGGATGGAATCAAATGGTAATTAAAAGCAAATGATTGCCAAGGTCGTTAGAGATGCCAGAGCCTCAGGATCAGACTCGTAAGCAAATGGAATTGGTCTTTCTCCAAAATCCTGCACTGATTTAACCACAGGATCGTAAATCAAAGGGGCTGTCTGAAAACCAGACAGCCTTCCCCAGGCTGTGCATCTGAAATACTCGATCCCAGCACATGTACAGCAGGGGAGCTACACACGGGAGGGAGAAAAGCACCGGGCTTTGGGAGTACCTGAGAACTGCAGAAAAAGAGCATGCTGTGCTTTCTCTCTCAAATTCTTTAGGAGCCGCTAGGCTGGAGCCAGCATATGTTTTTGAGGTAGCTTGCCTCTCAGAGGCTTTTTAGAGGATGTGTGACCTGTGCAGCTTCCTGATGTCAGTGACACCATGGGGATGTTGAGTCAGGTGGTCTTGGAGCCTGGACTTTTCAGCCTAGCTGCAGGAGCCAGCATGGAGGGACGTCTCCTGAGCATGTGCTTGGTGTGGCTCCTGGGTGGGTGGGCGGCTGCGTCTCTGGGGTATAGAAGGAGCCAGGTGCTTGTGGAAGAATTCCATACCACTTTTCTTTCTGCTAGTGTGGATTTGCAGAGGTGATGGGAGATGGACGAGGTGGTGGACAACCAGAAGTTCAAGAAGTCATGACCTAAGACAGTTTCAAGAACTAGTCTTACAGGAAGGAGAACCCTAGAAGAAAACTGTGACTGCTCCCTGGAGCCAGGTGTTTCCTATAAGGCAGCAAATGTTGCACAATTCTATGAAAAAACAGAGCTGGCAATTGGGATAGGTTGAGGGGGTCTTGACCCTGAAGGGGTTGCTTTTGTGGACCTTTTATCTGGGCCGAGGTGTGCAGTGTCACAATCACTGGGCTACAAGGCTGCTGATAGACACTTCTATTGCAGAAACAGCTCATTATATTTCTTGACTCCAGAGTATTTCAGCAGATAAACAGGCATGCAAGGTTGCTTTATTTAAGGAGTTAGGGGACCAGGAAATATTTGTTGTCAGGGACAATGCAAGTGGTAAATATTTTATCCCTTAAAAGGCAAGAAAGCTCAGAGGACATGAGGAAACCCTGCAAAAGCAGGAAATTGGCCATTTAAAAAGTACGCATGAGGTCCCTACTCCAGGGAGTGTTTGCTGAGCCCCAGGGGAGAAAGGAAGAGGATGGGCCAGCCAGGAGTGCCCAGTGGATTTACAGCAGATTTAATAAGTCTACTTTAATTATTTAAATGAATCAAAATGCATAGGAGTGGAAGAAAGAAACAAGTAAAAAGAAATAAAAATTCTTTTCGGAAACCATTCTTAAAGTCTTTTCTCTTAAAGAACCATCTTCTTAGGGTCCTTTTTCTCCAGTTGCTGGGTGAGGCAAAATGGTCTTTTTTATTATTCTAATGTTAACTAAAACAAAAAAAGGCCTTTGTGAGCTCACTTCTCAGATTCTAAGCTGCCTTGGAAGTCCATTTCCAGAAGGCTAATGTTGCTCTTAAGGACCTACCAGCTGCCCCTGCTGAACTCCAGGGTGCAGAAGTGTTTGGTTGAGTTTTGCTCCCCTCTGCTTCATAGCCAACTACAGACTCAGGAATTAGCAGCCTGGTTTCTCCTTTTCTCCCTCATCCTCCTGGCCCAGGCCCCTTCCTGGACAGTGGTAACAGGCCCGAGGTGGCTGTGCAGCCTCCCTGAGGCTCTCTGAGTACCCCTGGCACCACAGAGGTGCCTGCATCCTGGCAGGGATGACGCAGCTGCACGGGGTCTGTACACTGAGGGGCTGCCCTCACCTGTGGAGAGTGGGTGCTGGGCAGCAGGTGCCTCAGTCCATCCAGGCTGCCATAGCAAAGCAGCATGGACTGGGGACAGCCACTCACTTCTCACAGTTCTGGACGTTGGAGAGCCAAGATCAAGGCACCAGCATGGTGGGAGGCTGGAATCCTGGTCAGGGCTCTCTCCCAGGTTGCAGACTGCTGACCTCCCTCTGTATCCTCATGTGGCAGCAAGACAGCTGGAGAACTCTCAGGCCTCTTTTATAAGGGCACTAATCCCCTTCTTAAGGGCTGTACCCTCATGACCTAGTCACCCCCCACAGGCCCCACCTCCTAATTTCCTCACATTCGTGGTAAGGATTTTAACATGGATTTTGAGGCGACACAAACATTCAGTGTGTTGGATAGACAGCAAGCCTGCCTGGGCAGTCTGTACCTAAAGCCACAGCTCTTCACCCACTTCCTTCTGAAAGTGGCATCATCATGCTCCCTTTAGATGATCAAAATGAGCCCCAATTCACAAGCTCCTAGAATCCCAGATAGGAAAAGCACCCCGAGTTCCCTCCCACAAGGCAGGTGGGCGCCCATCATTTGTGATGAATGCTAGCTACTCCATTTAATTCTTTACATGTCCAATGCCAGCTTTCTCTCCGTTTGCCTGTTAGCCGAGAACCCTGTGCAACTCTCTCCTGGATGTCATGGGAAATATGACAAAGAGAGAACACTTGGTCTTGGCCTCAAAGGACTCGTAATACAGAAGACCCGAGAAGGATGTACCTGCAGGGTTATCTACAGCAGAAATTTAATCAAATACTTGGCACATCGCAGTTACAAAGAAAGTTTTCAACGTGGGCCATTGGCCACTGCAGGTTTCTTTGTGAGAAACATTTGTGTGTTTTTTATCCGAGGGAACAAAACCCTAGGAAAGGAAGTTTCCATCATCTACTCCCATTTTTCCTCCTTCTTGAACAAAACTTTTAGCTCAAGGAACACTGCTTTTGAAGGCTTGTGTTTCATGCAGCCTGCTTCCTTAGTTGATCTGTTCACAAGATCACATCAAGTAATTTCTTCCATTCTGGGAAGATGGCGAAAACAAACAGATACTGTCAGCAGATGTTGATGAACCACCTTTCCAGAAATAAACAGTGGCAGGGAACAGAGAAAGCCTGGAGAATCCCCATCAGTCATCAGCCGGAGAAGACCTTTTCCTGGGCTGGAGTCCTTGCTGGGGAAACGTCTGTTCTCTGCAGCCTGAGGCAGCTCTGGCCAGGAGGCAGCACTCAGCAAGTCCTAAGACCAAATTACCATCCTGGCTCCACTTTGGGTTTGTAAAGTCATCTGACTTTTTCTCTCCAGGTGCCTTAGTTGCCTCGTCTGTAAAATGTACCCATGGTCTCCTGGGAGGTTGTAAAGTCTAAGGAGATGCTGTACTTGAGCCTCCGAGACTCGAATATCCTGTAAATGCAAGCTGTAGCTATTTAACTTGTTACCTGGAGCTAAGCAGGAATCAGAGAGCAGAGTAGGCAGAACCCCACTCTTTGCCTAGAACATTGCTCATTTATAAAGTATAAGTTTCTTTCTCATTTTTAGAACAAGTTTAATTTTTTTTCCAGAGATTATTTGCATGGGATCCTTTTTCTCCCTTCCCCTTTCTGATGAAAGCTTTTTATAGTGTGTGTAAAGAATAGCAACAAGGAAACACTTTCTGGTTCCTCTGCTTTAACCTTCAAATCTTCTGGGTACAGAAGCTCTGGCTTTAAATAGCCCTTTCTAAGATTCGGGGAAAGGGGATGCCGTGGAAGCCAAGTTGGTGAGCCTGGGAGAGGACACTTCTCAAATGAGAGTCATGTCTTGGAACATGGATCCCCAAAAAAGAGGGAATAATTTTACGGAGCAAATGATACTCCACAGTACCAATCACTCATCATGTTTAAAAACTGCATATCTAATTCTCTTTCCATGTATCCATCTTGGAAGAATACTGTTTCCGAAAAACATCTCAGAAAAGAGAAACTTTAGAATGAATACAATATACAGGCTTTAATTTCTGCTTCTCTGTAGTTGTGCCTGTAGGTCTCTAATTTTTATTCAGGCCAAAGATTATGAGAATTAGCATAAATGATATTTTTAAAATTTGTTACAATACAGAGGTGTCTCCTTATTCAACGGTAGCTAAAATTGTCCCCTCGTTGACAGTATCCACAGAGGCCAGAAACAACTCTGCTTGTTATGATAACTTTGGCTTCTTCATGACTGCTAAAGAGTTGTCCCAGCACTTGGGGAGGCTGAGGCAGGCAGATTGCCCTGAGCTCAGAAGTTTGAGACCAGCCTGGGCAACATGGTGAAACCCCGTCTCTACAAAAAATACAAAAAAAAAATTTATCCAGTCATGGTGGTGCACACCTGTAGTCCCAGCTACTTGGGAGGCTGAGGTGGGAGGATTGCTTGAGCCTGGGAGGTGGAGGTTGCAGTGATCTGAGATCACATCACTGCACTCCAACCTGGGCAACCCCCAGACTTTCTCTTTCCCACCTCCAACAGTGAGACCCTGTCTCAAAAAAAGAAAAAAAAAAGGTAACTAGTCAACAACCAAAAAAAATAAAAAATAAAAAAAATTGGCAAAGAAAAATGTAAATTAAGACCACAATGAGCTATCAGTTTACCCAGTAGGATGGCTATTACAAAATACAAAACGATCAAAACTAGAAAATATCCAGTATTGGGAAGGATGTGGAGAAATTGGAACCTTATACATTGCTGATGGAAATGTAAAATGATTGAGCCACTCCAGAAAATGGTACGGTGGTTCCCCCCAAAAATTAAACATAGAATTACCAAATTGATCCACCTATTCTCCTTCTGGGTACATACCCAAAAGAATTAAAAGCAAGGACTTGAACAAACATGGTCCTAGCAGCATCAATCACAGTAGCCAAGAGGTGGAAGCAACCTAAATGTCCATCGACAGATGAATAAATCAACAAAATGTGGAATAGTCATACAATGAATATCAGCCTTAAAAGGATGGAAATTCTGACACATTTTACAACATCGATAAAACTTGAGGAGCTTATAGTAAGTGAAACAGGCCAGATACAAAAAGACAAATAGTGATAGTTCCCCTCAGATGAGGCACCTAGAATAGTCAAATCCACAGAGACAGAAAGGAGAATGGAGGTTTCCAGGGGCAGGAGAGAGAATGAGGCGTTAGTGTTTAGTGGGTGCAGATTTTCAGCTGGGGAAGATGAAGAGGTTCCAGGGGTAGCCGCACAACAGTGTGAATATACTTTAAAATGGCTAAGATGGCAAATTCTATGTTAGGTATTTTTTTAAACACAGTAATAAAAAAAAAAAAGCATCTAGTTTAGGGATTTGGCAAGACCAATACCCAAGAGCCAGGTTTCTCCCACTCCCTGCACCCTCCCTAAATTCTCAGGCCCACCTGATGGAAAACAAGCCTCCCTGCGCCTGTGCTCTCCACAAGACAAAAAAAACAAACAAAAACACAAAAACCGTGCCTGGCCTGCTTTTCTCTGCTATGGAACAGCAACACTTCAGCCAGGACCATCAACCTCCTGAAGTGACCAAGTCCCACTGGGTCCTCGTCTCGGAGCTCAGGACCCCGGCCTCATTATTGCTAAAGGAAAGCACCTCTGAAAACACTCATTCTGGAACAGCCCAGGCGACAGCAGTGCCCCCTCCCCTCCCCCGAGCCTTTGCCTTGTCTGAGCCAAACAGCAGTTGCTCCTCGACGTCATCCCAGAAGCATCTCTTGCAAGAACTAACGTCCCTTATTTCATTTCTCTCTCCCACCCCCACCTTAGAAGCTCTCTGAGCTCTTCCTGAATTGATCCTGGTATTTGACAAATTAAATCTTTTCAGGAATTGAGACTCTCACCTCCTTAGAATGACCAGAAATGAAGGAGTTGCAACTGATGTTTTTAAATTCCCAAATTACAGATGGCAAACCAAGTTGTGGGGAATGGCGCAGAGGGGAGCTGAAGGCTGGGGTTGGGGAAGCGGGGCTGCCAGCTAGGCTTTGGGGACCTGCCCAGGCGGAGGGGGTAGCCACTACCAGCGATGAGCTGCAAATGGTAGGAGTGCGCAGCTCCTCCTGGCTGACGGGAAGATCTGACTCCGCGCTTCTTGTTACCCTGATGGTACGAGTGCTTCATGTGGCCTCTCTTATTTCAGCATGTGCTGGGCTCACCTGTAGGTGGTGCTGAGCCAGGGGCCGGCTCCTGCACAGCTTGTGTCTGATAACAGGCATCACAAGAGAACACCACCTTCCTGGCTGTGAAGTTTTCGTGATTTGAATCCAAGTTCCCAGCCAGTGTCAGAGGGGGTGTCACTGGTCCCCACACCAGGACCACAGGCCTGATTTCAATGGTGACTGTTCCAGCAGTTATGCAGGAGCCCTGGGCTGGGCACACTATGTCATACTAACTTTCCATCCTGTGTTTTGAATATCAGAACTCTTGTTAAGGTGAAAACTCTGGAACCTTTACCCCATAGTAGTTGACCAAGGAAACGTAAAGGCAAAGCTACCGTACTCAGTGATGCTTTCTTTTAACTCAGTTTGTATTTTCTTCACCTTAAGGTGCATTTGAAAGATAGTGGCACATAGGGTGTCAGAAAGGCCTTTATTTAATGTTCACACCAAGTGGGTGCACTGAGTGGGAACCACCTTAATCTGCTGTTCATTTCTTGCAGCAGTTATGCAAGTAAGTATAATGATCACCATTGTAAAAATGAGGAAGTTGAAATGGAGAGAAATAAATAGCTTGCCCAAAATCACCAGCTGTGAAGCGGCCGGGGCTGGCCTTGGCCCCCAGGAACTGGCCGGAGACATCTTTCCGTGACGTAATTAAGCTCTGGCCTAATGGGCCTCATGCAGGAGCTCATCTCCATTTCTCCTGTAACTTGCAGAGGGCAGCTCACTGCTGAGCACAGGTTGCAGGCAGTTTCTCCGTGTGCCCCTAAGCCCTCTGTAGGAAACTGCAGGCCAAAAAATGCACGTAGAGCTTGGGGACGCCCAGGACTTGGCCTTCATCTCAATGCTGCAGCTCTTTGATCCAATTGTCTACAAGCCACAAACCATGTTAGCAAAGGAAACATTATCTCGCCTGAAGTGCAACTCTATGCCCATCTAATGCACACAGCAGCAGCGCAAGTTAGTGAGCAGCAGCTGGGAAGCCCACAGCTCTTCCTGCCCTCTCTGGGAAACCAAACAGCGACCACAACGAAATCACATGTTGAGTGAGGGCTGTAAACCCAAAGACCCTGGTGACTGAGATCTCCAACTTTAGAGAACTGCTAGAGAACAAGTGTGTGCCTGCCCAGTCAGTGGGTGCCCCTCAGCCTTGGCCACAGGACAGATGTGAGGCCATGAACTGATGGCATGGGAGCACGGGGCTGGGGTGGCCCAGCCGTCCCCAGAACACTGAGCTACCAACTTCTACCTCCCTACCACAGCCTGATCCGATCGGCACGTGCTGCTAGTGGTCAGCGTTCTGCTAGCCTACCAGCTTTGCACCCCCTGGGTGGAAGGAGAATAGCGGAGGGATGACCCAGGTGCAGGAGGAGGCAGCCCGGGCTCAGAGGTGTCTGAAGACCTTGGTCAGACAGCGAGGCACTGGCACTGTGTTCAAGCACCCTGTGCCCTGACTTCCAGCATCTCTGACGTGTGCACCTCTCACCAGAGAGGCCTTTCTGTGCCACAAACCTAGACAGCCCTTGTTCCCTGCTGTGTCCGTGTTATAAAATAGACCAGGCAAGAGAGGGTCTTCTGGAAGGTCAGAGCTGTGGCCGTCTTGCTTAAAGCTGAGAAAGCAGGAAGCAGATGAGGAACGCAGAAACCTTCTGAACCTGGAGGCGGGCAGACCGGGACAGAGGGCAGTGTGCGCGTGTGCTTGCTGCTCCGCAGCTTCCAGCTCTCCCTTCTTGCGGGCCGCCTCCTCCATTCCCTCTTCTAAAGGACCTTGCGTTTCCTACACAACTCCATTTCATCCACAGCCAGTGGAGCGCTGGCCTTTTTATTTTTCTTTGTGTCTCCTAACTTTTTTTATTAAAATAAATTTTAATTGTGGTAAAATACACATAATGTAAAATGTATCGTTTAACCAGTTTTAAGTGTGCAGTTCTGTGGCACTGATCGCATTCATGTTATTATACAACCATCACCACCATCCACTTTTTCATCTTCCCAGACTGAACCTCTAGTCCCATTAAACCACTCCTTGTCCCCCCCTTCCAGCTCCTGCAACCACCATTCCACTTTCTGTCTCTATGAATTTGATCACTCTAGGAACCTCATATAAGTGACATCATACAGTGTCCTTTTGTGTTTGGCTTATTTCACTTACCAGGGTGTCCCCAAGGTTCATCCCTATTGTAGCGGGTGTCAGAACTTCCTGCCTTCCTAAGGCTGAAGAGTATTTCATTGTATGGATAGACCGCATTTTGTTGATCCATCCATCTGTCAGTGGACACTTGGGTTGCTTCTACCTTTTGGTTATTGTAAATAACCCTGATGTGAACATGGGTGTGCAAATATCTATTCAAGTCCCTGCTTTCAACTCTTTTGGGTACATACCCAGAAGTGAGATTGCTGGGTCATATGGTAATTCTGTTTTGTTGTTTTTTGTTTTGTTTTGTTTTGTTTTTTGAGGAACCACCTTACTGTTTTCCATAGTGGCTGGACCATTGTATATTCTCATCAGCTGTGTTTAAGGGTTCCAATTTCTTCACATCCTTGCCAACTTGTGATTTTTTGATAGCATTTTTTGATAGTAGCCATCCTAATGGGTGTGAGGTGCTGCCATCATTTCTTTTTGAAATCAAGTGTCCAGTGCATGTGGTCTGAAAACTTAATAGGATTCTAAAGTGTCCACATCACACCTGAAATGTTTGCATAGGTCTGTACTGTCAGGCAAACGTGTGCACTCACACATCACTCTCACCTCTGTCTGTGCCCGGAGCATGATTCCAGTTGGTTCTTGGTGTCGAGGTTGTCAGTGATGGTGATCTGGTGCCTGGTGAGACCCCATTTGCCGGAAGCATGTGTGCACTGCTCCCTTGGGAAGATAGAGGCCTCTGAATGTGTTTGTTTCTTGGCTTCAGAACCACGACCATGCCTGCATCGCCTGTCGGATCATCTATCGGTCAGACGAGCACCACCCTCCCATCCTGCCCCCAAAGGCAGACCTGACCATCGGCCTGCACGGGGAGTGGGTGAGCCAGCGCTGTGAGGTGCGCCCCGAAGTCCTCTTCCTCACCCGCCACTTCATCTTCCATGACAACAACAACACCTGGGAGGGCCACTACTACCACTACTCAGACCCGGTGTGCAAGCACCCCACCTTCTCCATCTACGCCCGGGGCCGCTACAGCCGCGGCGTCCTCTCGTCCAGGGTCATGGGAGGCACCGAGTTCGTGTTCAAAGGTAGGATTCCCATCTCAAGTCCCAGTATCACAGCCAATAAACAGCCCTGTGACATTTTTGTGGAGGCAGAGCTGAGGGAAAGGACCTCTTTTCTGCCTGAGTTCCCAGGAAAGAAATTGGGGAGTCATTTCTGCCTCAGTCCTTCCCAACGCCCTCTGAGTTTCTCCCTGCTCAAAATGGATCAGGTGGACAGCCTCCACTTGCAGGCCTGAATGCGAGAGGAGTCCACGCCACTGCCTGTGGGAAGTTGCCAGCCAGGGAGGATGTTACTGGGAATGAAATCTCTGGCCAGGTGCGGAGGCTCATGCCTGTAATCCCAACACTTTGGGAAACCAAGGCAGGAGGATCTCATGAGGCCAGAAGTTTGAAACCAGCCTGGGCAACATAGTGAGGCCCTAACTCTATAAAAAAATAAAATAAATTAGCTGGATGTGGTGGCATGTGCCTGTAGTCCCAGCTGTTCTGGAGGCTGAGCTAGGAGGATCGCTTGAGCCCAGGAAGTTGAGGCTACAGTAAGATATGATCATGCCACTGTACTCCAGCCTGGGCAACAGAGAAAGACCCTGTCTCTAAAAAACAAAAAAAGAAATCTCAAGTCTGCACTTTGTGTTCTTTATACACAACTCTGGCAGATTCCATGCTGCCCCTCTAATAACACTGCGTTTGCTTGCATGCCACAGTGCTTTCCTGAGTGAGCAATAAAGAGGTGTTAGTGACACCTCAGGTGCTCAGAGCTGTCCTTTCCAACCCTGAGCTTGTCGTGTAATTGAGAGGTTGTCACCTGCTTGGAGGTGGGAGCATCTGTGGGAAGGTTCAGGCTGTGTCCTTATCACTAAACGAGGAGGGGAGGAAGGAGCTGCACCAGGCTGCTAGCAACAAAGCAGGGCTTGTGGTTGCTATTTTTAAAAGGTTGCTTTTTTTTTCCCCCTAAGTTTGAGCATCTTTGTAAAATGGTGTCAGCCCTATCATACCAAATAAAGAGGGATAGCCTCGATCCCAGGTGACTCCTCCAGGATGGCGTTCCAGGGTTCAGTCCCATTACTATAAAAATGTTTCTGTTAACCCAGAAAGTCCTGGAAGACTTTAGCCCTCCTTTTGGGTAGCAAGGTTTGCTCCAGGAATACAGGCCCTTTGAGAAACTTAATTGAAAGCAAGCAATCTTTACTTGACTCCACCCTGAAGCTCATCGTGTTATACACGGAAGTGGCCCCCTGGAGGGACCTTCAGAAGCAATTCTCCACAAAAGCTGGGATTTGTATTTAATTTATTCACTCACATTTTTCTTGCTTGCAGCCTAACTTATTTTAGATGCCTGATGTATGGGCCCATAGGAATGTGTGAGAATGCCAACCAGAATAGGTGTTTGACACCAAAACTTTTAGAAACCCGAAAACCTTTTGATAAAAGCAAAATTCCAGCCTTTGTTGAATATTTTTCTTTCAATCCCAACGAGTCAGCATCACCAAATAAAACTCCTTAGGAGCACTCCGAGCTGTAGTTTTATTTGTTGCCTGCAGGCACTCCCAGCTGTATTCTGGGCTCAGTGTTTCTACACCAGATGGTCTGTGTTGCATGGCCACACCTGCAGCATATCGGTGTGACTGCCACCCAGATCAACAGGTTGAACTCTTCTCCGCCTGACAGTGCTTTGATGACTACTGCTGTCAGATGGGTGGGTCTGTAGGTGGGATTGTTTTTGGAAAAGAAAGCCTTGTCTAGTTAGAGTGTGGCCAGTGTTTTCTGGGTGGGTTTCTGGATCCCACGCCTACTCCCTGGAGTCATGGAACTCTCCTTTCTCCTTTGCAGTGAATCACATGAAGGTCACCCCCATGGATGCGGCCACAGCCTCACTGCTCAACGTCTTCAACGGGAATGAGTGCGGGGCCGAGGGCTCCTGGCAGGTGGGCATCCAGCAGGATGTGACCCACACCAATGGCTGCGTGGCCCTGGGCATCAAACTACCTCACACGGAGTACGAGATCTTCAAAATGGAACAGGATGCCCGGGGGCGCTATCTGCTGTTCAACGGTCAGAGGCCCAGCGACGGGTCCAGCCCAGACAGGCCAGAGAAGAGAGCCACGTCCTACCAGATGCCCTTGGTCCAGTGTGCCTCCTCTTCGCCGAGGGCAGAGGACCTCGCAGAAGACAGTGGAAGCAGCCTGTATGGCCGGGCCCCTGGGAGGCACACCTGGTCCCTGCTGCTGGCTGCACTTGCCTGCCTTGTCCCTCTGCTGCATTGGAACATCCGCAGATAGAAGTTTTAGAAAGTTCTATTTTTCCAAACCAGGATTCCTTACTATTGACAGATTTGCTTTACCAAAAGAAAAGACATTTATTCTTTTGATGCACTTGAATGCCAGAGAACTGTCCTTCTTTTTCTCCTCTCCCTCCCTCCCAGCCCCTGAGTCATGAACAGCAAGGAGTGTTTGAAGTTTCTGCTTTGAACTCCGTCCAGCCTGATCCCTGGCCTGAGCAACTTCACAACAGTAATTGCACTTTAAGACAGCCTAGAGTTCTGGACGAGCGTGTTTGGTAGCAGGGATGAAAGCTAGGGCCTCTTATTTTTTTCTCTTAATTATTATTATATTTCTGAGTTAAACTTAGAAGAAACAACTATCAAGCTACAACTTTTCCTGCCATTTTCCTGTGGTTGCAGCCTGTCTTCCTTTGAAATTGTTTTACTCTCTGAGTTTTATATGCTGGAATCCAATGCAGAGTTGGTTTGGGACTGTGATCAAGACACCTTTTATTAATAAAGAAGAGACACAGGTGTAGATATGTATATACAAAAAGATGTACGGTCTGGCCAAACCACCTTCCCAGCCTTTATGCAAAAAAAGGGGAGAATCAAAGCTTTCATTTCAGAAATGTTGCGTGGAAAAGTATCTGTAATTAAAGTTTCGAAGTAATTTAACCTATTTTTACATCATTTGTCTTACCTTGTTGAGAGAGGAGACTGGCTTGTTGGCTTCTGGTTGTTGCAGGAGGCATGTGGCTTCCTGCCTTCTCAGTAGACAGGATCATTAGGAAAATAGCAACATCAATCCTGTTACACAGGAGCAGTGACACGGGTGGCTGCAGTGTGGTACATGCCACACAAATGATAGAGAAAGTGCCCGTTCATTGCAGTTTCCTCTTCCTGGGGGACCTGAGCCCTGACTCACTGTCTTATTAGGGGCAGGCGGAAGAAGCTGCACTCTGGCATCCATGCCACCTTCTAAGATGAACATGCAGAGACAGAACTTCAGCTGCTCAGAGAGAGTGCAGTGGGCATGGTCTGCCCTGGGGGCTTGCTCCATTACACCCTGACTTGGCATGCAACCGAGTCTTTGTGTAAAGCCATCCTGTCATTGCACATACTGGCTCACTCAGTGTCTTTCCTGCTGCTGATGTGGCTCTGTGCTGGCAGTTTCAGGGTCAGTGTGCTGCTTTCCTAGGGACATTAGAAGGGCGCAGGAGTGCATGTCTGCCCATTCCTTTGGAGTATCGCAGATGATGCTATACGATACCAAGTGTTACCGCTCACAGAGACTGGGAAAGGGAAATGGGAGTAACCGAAAGCCAGATGGAACGAAAGCAAACATGGAAACCATGATCACGGCAAAGAGCCATCCTTGTATTTAAGAAGTAACTTTGGCCAGGTGTGATGGCTCACGCCGTAACCCCAGCACTTTGGGAGACCAAGGAGGGTGGATCACGAGGTCAGGAGATCAAGACCATCCTGGCTAACACTGTGAAATGCTGTCTCTACTAAAAATACAAAAAATTAGCCAGGCGTGGTGGTGGGCACCTGTAGTCCCAGCTACTCGGGAGGCTGAGGCAGGAGAATGGCATGAACCTGGGAGGTGGAGCTTGCAGTGAGCCGAGATTGTGCCACTGCGCTCGAGCCTGGGCAACAGAGCGAGACTCCATCTCAAAAAAAAAAAAAAGTAACTTTATGAAATGCCACAGCATTCAGTGTGGCATTAAGTTACAACGACCACATAGAGTACCAAAGTGCTTCAGGTTATATTTTAAGTTGTGGTGCAGACTGAGGGGGCTTATTCAAAATGAAAATACTAACTTAAATGGCCACCAAGTTCAATAAACAAAGATGTCAAAATACTCTCAGAAATACAACTGATACTATCTTTAAAAGACGTAATAAAATCATGTGAAAAACTGTATTCACTGCTGAAGAATACCTCAGTGATTTACCACAATGCAGTTCACAAGCACTCCCCTAGACTCAGCTATTTGTGCTTCTTAAAAATATGCTACATATACACACATACACGTATACCCAAATATATAGATATTAACGTGTATACAATGTATGTATATGTATATATTTATTAGGGATGATATGAAATTCCTGTGGTCTTACCACTTTCTGATACAATATAAATCCTTACCAACAAGAAACAATAGAATTTACTCACGGATCTCTGGCACCTTAGCTTTCTGCCTGTTGCCATCTCACCCACATACACTCCAACTTATCTTGGTTGTGTCATGTTAGCACAAATAAGACTCTAAATTCCCCAGTGTCCCATGATGATCTCCACGTTACGGTATTTCCCATCACCTCCAAGAAACAGTGATTGATCTCTAAGAGCCATTCAAGTTTGAGTGTCAGAAATTTTAACTCGAGACCACGTTGCTCTATCTGAGGAAGGCATGTCTGGCCCTTAAATATTCCATCACAAGCTTAAAGTACACAGCATGCAATCAGTGCTGGCCAGCCTCCCACTCAGTTAGGAGCAGGTCGTTCTACGTGGGAATACCAGATTCAGGGAAGGTGGTGAAGAGCGAAGAAGACCTGCTGGGAACAGCCTTCCTCCGCTGGGGAGCAGGCTGAGGAGGGCCAGGTCAGAAAGCTGTTCTTTGGGCAATAGCAAAATCTGGGTGTCACTTAGACTTCTACTTCATACAATCCAAGTTGACCTGGGGCTCAAAAGGAAATTCCTGGCCTCCTGACTCTAGCTGGTACAGAACTAAAGGTCAGTTTCCTCAGACATGACAAGTTCCTGTGTCAGAGAGCAGGATCACGCTTCACACTCAGGTCTGCCACCTCCGGGTGACATCGTCATAACAGTCTGCAGCAGTAGTCTGATCCCGTGGTGGCATGCTAGGGTAACTCAGCAGCGCCACCACAAAGGGCCCGTCAGGGAGGCTGGCAGCCCAGCACATCCCTGATAGGGACCACACGCACCTGTGAGAATGACTTGACTGTCAGGCTCTTGTGGTTTCTGGGTGAAGGAAGAGCTTTACTGACAACAAACCGGCCATTTTCTACTCCACTAGCTCTTAAAATACATTCTGAAAACAAAGATGATCTTCACAACAGTGTTGTGTTTTAACATTGCAATGTTTTGTCTTAACATGGTACACCCAATCCTTGTAAGACAAACTAGGAACACAGCGATGGGATACCAAAGCCAACAGACAGCATCTAATTAGGCATTGCAGAACACTGTCCTCAAAGGAAAATGCCAAAGAGCCTGGGGATAGGGAGAGAATGGGTCCACTCACAAGCAGAGAGCTTCCCTACCCCACACAGCCTTCTCTGGCTTTCTTGAGACATCTGAGCTTTCATGAGTCCAAACATCTTTCATGGAAATATCTGCATCAAGAACAAATGCAGTTTGGATCAATGTTTTCCACCAATTTCTAGATTTATGAGAAAATGCCAAGCATTCTTTTCTTACCAGTAAAAGAATCACATGTCCTAAATAAAAGAATTAAATTCTTCAAATCCCCAAATCTAAGACTGTTCCTGAGTGTTCCTGGCTTGGGTCAACAATCTCTAAATGTAAAATTGGGCTCCTGTTTGGTCATAATCCCATTTTCCTGGTGTTTGACTAGGCAGAAGTAACCCTGCCTTGGAAAAAAGCTAGAGAAGTATGGCCTCCAACTTCTCCATTGGCTGAGATGTGATCAGATTGACACATTGCACTTTATATAGTCATACCTAGTCAAGAGAGACCAACCTGAGGCCCAGTGGCACACCACCCAAGCTGTGAAACTGCACGCACATGCACCTCGTTTACTCCAATGCACAGTTGCTCTTGAAAGCAGGTTGCAGTGTCTGACTCCTAGCCTCCCATTCCAAGAATAAGGCCATGGTTTCCACAGGTTCAGCTTGGTCGCTTTGTTTCTGATGTCTATTGAACAACCACCTCCATGGCCTATGGCCTCTGAAACACTCCATGAGCATTTCTACCCCCTCTTCATTTAATGAATCTCATTCAGCTGTTACACTGGAATTCAGAAACACAAGAGAGTTTGTGGGCACAAATTGCTATGCTTTGCAGCCTCAGCCTCTGAAACAAAGTCTTGTCTTGATCAAAATCTTGTTTTCCTGAGCTGGAGGAAGGATTGGCACTCTTGCCAGCCTCTAAGGAGTTGCTCCAGCCTTTTTCTCAGTAAGTTGCGTCTTCTCGAGTGAAATGAAAGGCAGAGGAGAAACTTCCAGAAGGTTGGAAATTGTATTTTCCAAGGGCTTTAGGCATTTGAGGCCTAGTCTTCTTTCTGCAGCTGATGAGGCTACATATGCAAGACAATTGAGAGACTTTGACCTTCAGAAAATCAAGATGATAGCAAACTAGTGAGGACCACTATCTACTAAGAGAGCTCACGTGCAGAACATCTTTCTGTCTCCTCAATAACACAGTCCAAGTTCTCATAGGCTAGGACTAGGGTAATACATCTGCCCTGAGATCAGTTTATTTAGATTGAAAAACTGAGATATCTGTTATGTGTTGAAGTTTTATTCTCCAACTCATTTAGGAAATGAAGCTATTTTATATCTAGAGTCCAGCATTACCTATATGAAAGAAAATAGTTCATTAGCTTCATAGTATCCTTAACTCATAGCATTTTTTGAAGTCCCTTAAAAGAGCCTATAGTCTCCTATGGGTTCTAATGCAGAAGAGGGAATACCCCGTTATGTCAGAAGTAAGCAGTTTGGCAGGGTAAGATTGGGAAGACAGTCTGAGAAACAGAACTGTAACAAGATAGCTCTCTTCCCACACTGCTGCTGTACTATGCCCGACAAACATGAGAGGCACCTTAGTAAAACATGGGGCTGGTTTGTCTTGACAGTCATTTGCACAGCTTTTGCATAACTTTTAGGAGGTGTTTTCTTCCTAATATCAAATGGAGAGCGCCGCAGTGCAAGTACTAGAGCCCATTAAAAAGCAATACTATTCGTTACAGCATTCTCTGCCATTTATGTAGGAAGAGAAGCAGCCAGCATCCTACCTGCAGTGTAGACCTTTGTCCATTGTCAACATGAAGATCTTTTCCTCTTGCAGTCGCATATGTATTTCGCCAATGTACAAAACAATTCTTCTTCACTGCATGCGCTGGATTACATAGCCCAACAAATCTGGCCAGCTGTTAAAATATTTACTAAAGTAAGGCTAATGAATACTGCCTTGAATGCCTTGGAAACTTCAACCAACTGACAAGGTATCATTAATCTCATGTTATAGATGATAAAAGTGGAGGTTTCTGAGGTTAAGGGCCAAGGAGCCAAAGAGCATTGATTTAGCTCTTCTCCTTTTTTTGCCCCAGAATTTTAGCCTGGCTTTCTCAAAAAGAGCAACAACAGCCATTTCTTGAATGCACACTAAATCATATGGTCTTGTACTCAGTTCCATAAAAGCATACTTGATTAATTTTCATAACAACTTACTACGGCAAGATACTTTACAGTTTTAAACTCTTACTAAAAAATCTGGTTATGACTTTCCATGTTCTCACTCCAACCCCCAACAGCTTTTTATTTTTAAGGCCTCCACCGCTGACCCCTCCAGAGCATGTGAACTCAGTGAAGCTTACAAAGCCTCTGGCCTGGCTCCTGACTTGGGGAGAGAAAAAGTAGAGATCAGCGGGGCCTCAGACTCTGCTTTCCAGTATGAGAGTGGGAATCACCAATCTCAGTGCCTTGATCCAGGCTGAGGAAAGTCAGAGGAAACTGTTTCCTCCCAGAAACTGTCCAGGCAGAACAATGGGTGCCCTCCTACAGCAGATGGGCGATTTCACCTTTCAAACATTCTCAGGTTTGAGTGACCCTCAGCTCCTGAGCCAGTCCAAGAACAATTCCTTCCAGATCTCTCCTGGCCCAAGGTCTCCAGGCCAGTGAGGGAAGGTGCCTTCAAGGCGAGCTCCTGCACACTCACGCACACACTTGATTTTCCATTTCAAGTGACAAATATTTGAACATCTCAGGTGAAGCTGGAGAAATATCTAATGTCCTTAATGAAGCTCCTCACATAACTGTGTGTTGTGGACACACAGTTACGTGAGGGATCCTCTGGGCAGAAGTGTGTACCCTTACATGTCCACACTCTTCTGGGCCACCGGTATACTTTAGTGAATTGTTCTAGCACACTACTCTCATATTGGCCCTGGCCTATCCTACCTTCTGCGTGAAGCCACATTTGCAAATGGTTAATAAAGTATCTGTTGCCTAGTCATCACTTACTCAAACCCTCCGTAACTTCTCCCAGTGTTTGCACCCAAGTCAAACATCCAGCCATTGCTTCCATCTGCAAGGCAGTGCTGTGAGTTGGGCCATGGTCTGGTCACTTCAAATATGCAGGCTTGCCGACACTTTGAGGATGAAGTACTCAGGAAGGGAGGCCAAGCTCAGCAGAATAGGCTCTGAGGAAAATCCAGGTGATGCTCTCCATAGTAAGTTATGAAGATATTTCCTACCGGTCCCTCCAGTTTTCCTCTCCACCCCCTCCCATCCTCCTTCCCCACACTGACTATAGCAGCGGCTCCCTTGCCTTCTGCCTTCTAACTGGATTCAGCTAACAGGGTGTAGGTGGGTGATCCCTGGCAGGAGGAGAGGGTAGAGGTGCCTACTCCCATCACATGGCTCTCTCCACAAGACCTCCATGTCTAGGTTACCAGCAGCCACTTCCTCCTTTGCCCCTTCAGGTCTTGGATATATTGGTTCCCACTGTTGCTGGCCCTAGAGAACTGCACTAGCTTTAGTTGATTTTTCTAAATTTGTGGTCTCTACTTTTGTAAATAATCTTCATTTTTCCCTTTTGATGAGGGACTCTTGAGTTTGATTTTCTCTCTTTGTAGAATATCTGATTTTATTAGAGGGAACAAGTGAATATAAGCTAGAATCACTTTTTTCAGATGAGGACTTCCTGCTTCAAATTTGGTGCCAGCCTTTCTGAGGATGTGTTTCATTTCATAAGTAGTAAAATACTTCTTCAGCAAACGCAATCTTCTGGTGCATGTCTCCACCCAAAGTCACCTCTCCTGCACTTACAAACCCTGTTAACGTGTAGGCAGGTCAGCTACTGGGCAAGAGGAATGGACAGTAGAGAAGAGGTGATGCCACACAACAAGCTGAACTGCCCAGGTTCCACATGGACAAGTTTGATGAAAAATATTTTCCACATTATATAAACTTCACTCTCTATTCTAGTGGCAGACTATATATCTGATAATTCAGATTAAATTTCATATTTTTACCCCAAGCTATTTTCTATGTGTCTCCATTTTTTATTAATCTTCCCAAAAATGATATATAGCGTCACTATGACTTTGAACTAATCAATACTCTTATTTTCAATGTGAAAAGTTCAATGACAAGACATTTAGTGTGTTTTTTAAAAAGACATCTTTTTTATTGTAGTAAGAACACTTCACATGAGATCTACCCTTTTAATAGATTTTTAAGTGCACAAGACAATGTTGTTAATTATAGGCACCATGCTGTACAGCAGATCTCGAACCTACTCATCTTGTGTAACAAAACTTTATACCCTTTGAACAGTACCTCCACCCCAGCCCCTGGAAGCCGCCATTTCACTATTTCTATGAGTTTGGCTATTTTGGATTCCTCATATAAGTGAAAAACACAGTATTTGTACTTCTGTGACTGGCTTATTTCACCTAACATAATGTCCTCCAGGTTCGTCCATGTTGTCACATACACAAGATTTTCTCTTTTTTAGGGCTGAAAAATATTGCATTGTGTGCGTAGATCACATTTTCTTTATCCATTCATCCACTGATGGACAATTCCGTTGATTTCATATCTTACACATTGAATACTGCAATGAAAGGGGGAGTGCAAATATCTCTTCAAGATCTGATTTCAGTTTTTCTGCATATATACCCAGTAGTGGGATTTCTGGATAATATGATAGTTCTATTTTTAATTTTTTGAGGGACCTCCATACTGTTTTTTATAGTGGCCGCACCATTTTATGTTTCTTCCAGTCTTGCACAGGAGCTCCAATTTCCTCACATTTTTTCCAGCACTTGCTATCTTTTTTTAAAATAATGGCCGTTTTAGCAGATGTGAGGTAATATCTCATTGTGGTTTTGATTTGGATTTCCCTGATGATTAGTAATGTTGGCATCTTTTCATATTCTTGTTGGCCATTTGCATGTCTTCTTTAGAGAAATGTTTATTCAAGTATTTTACCCACTTTTTAATTGGGTTATTAGGATTTTTTGCTATTGAGTTTTAGGAATTTCTTATATATCTGCATATCAGATATATGGCTTGAAAATATTTTCTCCCCTTCTGTAGGTTGGCTTTTTATTCTAGGAATAAACTTAACTAAGGATGAAAGACTTATACAATGAAAACTACAAAACATTAATGAAGGAAAAAAGACACAACTAAATAGAAAGACATTACTTACTCATGGAATGCAAGGCATAATATTGTTACAATGTCCATACTACCCAAAGTGATCTACAGATTCAATTCAATCCCTATCAATATCCCAATCACAGTTTTTACACAAGTAGAAAAAAGCAAACCTAAAATTTATATGAAAAAAACCCAAATAGCCAAAACATATTGAAAAAGAAGAACAAATCTAGAGGCATCATTTTTTTTTCTGATTTCAAAATATATTACAAAGCTGCAGTAATCAAAACACTACAGTACTGACATGAAGACATAGACATATAGACCAATGGAACCGAATAGAGAGACCAGAAATAGACCACATATATATATAGTCAACCACTTTTCTACAGAGCTACCAAGAGTACACATAGGGAAAAGATAGTTTCACCAATACATAGTTTTGGGAAAACTGGATATCAACATACAAAAGAATAAATTGGGACTTTTATCTCACACAATATACAAAAATGAACTCAATGTAAATTAGACTTGAACATACAACCTGAAACTGTAAAACTCATAGAAGAAAACATTGGTGAAAACTTCATGACACTGGTCTTGACTATGATTTCATGGACATGACACTAAAAGCATAGGCAACAAAAGCAAAAATAAACAAATGGGACCACATCAAACTAAAAAGCTTCTGCACAGTGAAGGAAACAATGAGCACAGTGAAGAAGCAACCTACAGAATGGGAAAATATCTGCAAACCATTCATCAGATAAGGGATTCATAAATAAGATATATGAAGAATTCCTACACTTAATAGCAACAACAGAACAAACAAACAAAACCCAAGTAACTTTATTTGAAAGAATGGGTGAGAGACTGGAATAAACATTTTTCCCAAAAATATATTACATTTTATATTGTCTTCCTTGACAATTACTTTTTCACTGTGAAAACCACTCAATGATGTCACAGATGGATTTCACAAACATGGAAGTTCAGACTTCATGAAAGATTTGGCCAAAGACAAAAAATAGCTCTGATTTCCAAATACAAATCATTTCAATGGGCAAAAAAACAAAGTGCCTGGTATGATAAAATGCATTCTCTCAACCTTCTTTGAGTGTGTTCCAGCACAAATGTCTATCTGCAGTATTCATAGCAAATTCTAGCCAACCTCTGCATTTCCTTATTAGCTTGAAACTAAATGGCAGGAAACACCCAGGGGCACTAGTAACACTAGAATCTTGTGCCAATTTAAAACTGGATAGACAGTACTGTGGAGCTAGTTTCTTAATACTTTGAAAAATTCCATTGAAATGAGAGATAACAAACTTGAAAGGAAAGTACTTTTTGCATCAATAAATAAAACATCAAAGTGATTATTGAGCCAAAGATCCAAAGAAGTCATGTGCAGTTTTCAGTATAATGAAGCACTGAATATGAATTCATAGGATCAGCCTAGTTTAAAAAAATAGCAATACTTTCTATTTCTCGAACAACCTTTCTCCTGGGGAATGATGGAGGCACTAATATCACCATACTGTGCCCAGTTTAACACTTGTGCTTTGTTTCTGATCATTTTCCCAAATAACAGAGCACCAATAAGTTAACTTCAGTTTCAAATCACTTGACAAACACCAGGATGTCAGAGGAAATTGTGGTGATAAAAATAATTAAAAAGCAATACGAATTCTGCAAGCCCAAAGTTCTTGTGACAATACATAAACAGAAGAAGATAATATGAAGTCTTTTTCTTATAATGATTAAAGACGGCCAGCAAGTCAAAGCTATTGCCCTGGGGCCTGCTTTCTCCCTTTGCTGTTTTCTCTGAGTGGGTTGGGCAGGGTTGCCATCCACTTCCTCCAGGTCCCTCTGTGGATGCCTGGGCTCTTCGGTGCTCTGCTTTTGGCTTTCTTAGATGTGAAGTGGAAAGAGTATGGGCTTTGGAGCCAAACAGGCCCGTGTTTGAATTCCTGCTCATATACTGTGCACTTGCCCATTTTGTAAGTCATTCAGCTTCTCTGTGCTTAGCTTCCTCACTTATATACTGGGATTCTTAACCCAGTAGAGGAGAAGCTGGACTTGCATTGACCAACTTTCTGGGTTAATGGCACTCCCATTGCTGCAGAAAAGTATGCTGGCTGCTGTGCATGGCCTGATACAGCGACTTGTTCCCCACACTGCAGACCCTGGACCAGCAGCATTGCAGCAACTGGGAGTTAGTTAAAATTGCACAAATTCAGGTTCATTCCAGACCTGCTGAACCAGAATCTGCATTTCATTAAGCTCTCTAGGGGATTCCTGTGCAAAAGAAAGATGGAGAGGCAGGACTTGACTCTAGCACGCCCAGGTACTCCTACTGCCACAAGCTAAGTTGTATGCCCCTTCATAGTAAGTTTTAATTCCCAAGCTTCTGTATGCTTGCTGTTCTTTTTGTTATAATTGTACAATAATTTTAAAAGTTAATTTTTTGATGAAAACAAAAAATAAATAAATAAAATAATGATTTATTTATTTTGTAAAGAAAGTTGTTGTCTCCGTGAAACCCAAGGTGAATGTGATGGAAAGACGATATGCAAAGTGACTTAAAATATTGCTGTTGAGTAAGGTATAAATAAGACAACTGTTAGTTACTGACTGAGGTGGAGGGATGTAAAAATATAGAAGGAATCTGAATTCTAATGATTTCACACATGTCTCTAAGTTATTAGTATTACAAGCTACCTGCATGCATTACAAGTGAGATGTATGCAGGAAGTTGGTGCAACTATGGGCCAAGATATGTTCCTGGTCTGTTATGAAAAGACTGATGCATAAATGTATGTTTACATGTTTTTGACTAAAATAAAATATTCAACGTATATTGAAACTGTTTGTTTATGGTATTCTCAATTCAACTCACTCTTTGTCTTAGCAGACCAACTATTATCCCTGTGGCATGCTGGTGGACCTACCCACAGAGTTGATATAGAGATTAGAAGTGAGTGTGCGTGGTACAGGGTAGATGCCTAAGAAGTAGGAGTTCTGAGAGGGTGACGTTATGCAACTTCTCATGGTGCATCTTGTGGTTTTGACGCCTTCCTCTTCACCACGAGTCATTTTACTTTAGGAACTATTACATACGTGACATTGAAAGAGGCACTGTGAGAACTATGGAGATTTATAAGTACTGACTCCTCTCCCAAGAGGCTGCAATTGAATAGTGATGATAAGGTAACAGAAATAATAATCATTTAAGGCAATGAGTTATTTGTTTTTCTGAAAGTTAATCACTTTCGGAAAAATTTAACGTATAGTTGATGTAGACAAAGACAATGTTTATAAATAACCATTTGAGTAATAACTTTTTACTGTGTTAAAATCATATGAAATTCAGCATTTTAACCATATTAAAGTATAGAATCAGTGTACATTTATAACTTTATGCAACCTTTGCCACTATTTAGCTCCAGAACGTTGTCATCACTCCAAAAGGAATGCTGTACCCTTTAAGCAGTCACTCCCATTGCCACTTTCCAGCCCTGGGCAACCACTAATCTGCTTTCGGTCTCTATGATTTGCCTATTCCAGATATTTTATTTTAATGGAATCGGACATTACATTGCTTTTTCTCTCTGGCTTCTTCACTTGGCATAATGTTTCTAGGTTCATCCATGTTATAGATGTATCAGGACTTTTTACTCCTTTTTATGGCTGAATAGTATTCCAGTGTATGGATGACCACATTTCGTTTAGCTCTTCATCAGTTGATGAGCATCTAGGTTGTTTTCATCTTTTGGCTATTGCAAATAGTGCTGCTATGAACATTCATATACCAGTTTTTGTTTGACTCTTGTTTTCAGTTCTTCAGGGTGTATACTTAGGAGTGGAGTTGCTAGGTCATAGGGTTGTTGCATGTTTAACTAACTGAGAAACTACCAAACTGTTTTCCACAGCTTTACCATTTGACATTCTCACCAGCAGCGTATGAGGGTTTTGGCTTCTCTGCATCCTTATCAACATTTGTTAGTCTCAGTTTTTTTTTATTATTATTATTATAGCCATCCTAGTGGTTGTGAAATAGTATCTCATCGTGTCTTTAATTTGCACTTTCCTAATGACTAGTGATATTGACCATCATTTTATGTGCTTATTAGCAATTTGTATATCTTCTTTGGAGAAATATCTATTCAAGTTCTTTGCCTATTTTTGAGTTGGATTGTTGTTTGTTTTTTAGTTGTTGAGTTGTAAGTGTTCTCTATATATTTTGTATCCTAGATCTTTAACAGATATATGATGTGCAAGTATTTTTTCTTATTCTGTGAGCTGTCTTTTCCCCTTTCTTTTTTTTTTAAGAGTTGGGGTCTCACTCTGTCACCCAGGCTGGAGTGCAGTGGTGTGATCATGGCTCACTGCAGCCTGCACCTCCCAGGCTCAAGTGATCCTCCCGCCTCAGTCTCCTCATAGCTGGGACTACAGGTATGTTGCCACCAAGCTCAGCTAATTTTTAAAATTTTTTGTGGAGACGGAGTCTTACTGTGTTACCCAGGCCAGTCTGAGACTCCTGGGCTCAAGTAATCCTCCCACCTCAGCCTCCTGCCTCAGCCTCCCAAGTAGCTGAGACCACAGGGACTTGCCACCATGCCCCGCTTTCTTGATTGTGCAGTTTAATGCACAAAACTTTTTAATTTTGAAGCCCAATTTTTCTGTTTTTTCTTTTGTTGCATGTACTTTTGTTATTATAGGCAAGACACCACTGCCAAATCCAAGATTATGAAGATATACCCCTATCTTTTCTTCTAAAAATGTTACAGTTTTAGCCCTTACATTTAGATCTTTGATACTTTGACGTTATTTTTTGTATACAATGTGAGATCAAGGTCCAACATCCTTTTATATGTGGATATCTAGTTACCTCAGCACTGTTTATTGAAGAAACTATTCTTTTCCCATTGAATGATCTTGGCATGCTTGTTGAAATCAAGTGATAATAAATGTATGGGTTTATTTCTGCAATCTTAATTACATTCCATGATCCATATGTTTCTGATCTAACCTACACCTTTATGGTATATCCTAATGCCAGTAGCACATTGTTTTGATTACTGTAGCTTTGTAGTAAGTTTTGAAATTGGGAAATATGTGTCCTCCAACTTTGTTCTTAAATATTGTTTTGGGTATTTGGGGTCCTGTGCAATTGCTTATGAACTTCACGATTGGCTTTTCTTTTTCTACAACAAAAAAAGAAACTATTGGGATTTTTGAAGGCATTGTATTGAATCTGTAGATCAATTTGAGGAGTATTGTCATCTTAACAATATTAAGTCTTCCACTTTGTAAATGCAGGATACATTCCATTTATTTAGGTCTTCTTTAATTTCTTTCAATATTTTATAGTTTTCAGTATACAAATCTTACACCTTCTTGGTTAAGTTTATTCCAAACTAGTTTATTCTTTTTAATGCTATTGTAAATGGAATTGTTTTCATAATGTCCTTTCAGATTGTTCATTGCTAGTGTACAGACATATACTAGACTTTTGTGTGTCTTCTATCCTGCAATTTGCTGAATTCATGAGCTCTAATAATTTTTATGAGGATTCTTGAGTATTGTCTATATATAAGATTATGTCATCTGTGAATAGTGATAGTTTGATTTATTCCTTTACAATGTAGATGTGTTATATTTCTTTTCTTGCTTAATTGCTCTGAATAGAACATTCAGTAAAATGTTGAATATGTGTCAAAGTAGAAATTATTGTATTGTTCCTGATAATAGGGAAAAAGCATTCAGTTTTTCAGTTGAATATGATGTTAGCTGTGAGGCTTTTCATGAATGCCCTTCACCATCTTGAGGAAGTTTCCTTGTATTCCTGTTTTGCTGACTGCTTTCTTTCTTAAATCATGAAAGACCTCTGGATTTTGTCTGATACCTTTTCTGCATCAATTGAGATGACTATATGGGTTGTTTTCTTTTTCCTTTCTTCAGTTAACGTGGTGTGTTGTATTGATTGACTTTGTTATGTTGAACTACCCTCGCATTTTTGGGATAAATCCCACTTAATCATGATGTGTAATCTGTTTAATATGTTTCTGGATTCAGCTTGATAGAGTTCTGTTGAGGATTTTTCCACCTGTATTTGTAAGGGATTTGTATGTAGTTTCTTTTTCTTGTAACATGTTCACCTGGCTTTGGTATTTGGGTGATGCAGAACTCATAAAATATTTAGAAGTGTTCCCTTCTCTTCTACCTTTTGAAGAATTTGAGAAAGTTTAATTTTAACTCTTCAAATGTTTGGTAGAATTCACCAATGAAGTCATCTGGTACTGGGATTTTCTTGTCTTGTTTTTTTAATTACTGATTCAATTTCTTTACTTGTTTTAGATCTGTTGATATTGTCTGTGTCTCATTGAGTCAGATTTCATAGTTTATTATTTTTAGAATTAATTCATTTTATCTAGATTATCTAATTCATTGGCCTACACTTTTTAATAGTATTGCCTTAAAATCTTTTTTGTTTCTTTAAGGTTGTATTTTTAATTCTAATGCTAGTAATTTGAATCTACTCTCCTTTTATTTTTCAGTTTGTTAATTTTCTTGATCTTTTCAAAGAACTAACTTTTGCTTTTGTTGTTTCACTCTTCCTATTCTATTGTTTTATTTCTTTCCTTCTAATAGCTTTGGATTTAGTTTGTTTTTCTGGTTCCTGAAAGTGTACAGTTTATTGATTTGAGATTTTCTTTCTTTTTTATGTAGCTATTAACATCTACAAATTTCTATATGAGCACTGATTTGCTGCCTTCTGTAAGTTTTGGTATGTTGTGTTTTTGCTGTCATTTGTCTCAGAGTATTTTCTTATTTTCTCTTGAAATTCTTTCTTTGATTCATTGGTTGTTCAAGTTTGTGTTTAATTTCCATGTATATGCGAAATTTCCAGTTTTCCTTTGTTATTGGTTTCTAGTTTCATTCCATTGTAGTCAGAGAATGTACTTTGTATGATTTAGGTCATTTAAAATTTATTGAGATTTGTTTGTGGCCTAATGTATTGTTATCTCGAAGAATATTTCATTTGTACTTGAGAGTGTATATTCTGCTGTTGTTGGGTGGAAAGTTCTATATATGTCTGTTAGGTCTAGTTGGTTTATAGTGTTGTTGAAGTTGCGTATCTTTTTACTGATCTTCTGTCCAGTTATGCTATCCATTATTGAAAGTGGGGTATTGAAATCTCCAACTATTATCCTAGAACTGTCCATTTCTCCCTTCGATTCTGTCAATGTTGGCATCAAATGTTTAGGAGCTCTGTTGTGTGCCTATATGTTTATGATTATAATATCTTCTTTATGGATTGACCTTTTATCACTATATAATGTTCTTCATTGTCTCCTGTAACAACTTTTACTTAAAGTCTATTTTCTCTTATATTAGTATAGAATAGACACTGCAGCCCTCTTTTGGTTAGTATTTTCTTGGAATATCTTTTTCTACCCTTTTACTTTAAACTTATTTGTGTCTTTATATCTAAAGTGAGTAGCTTGTAGATAGCATACAGCTGGAGCATGTTTCTTTATCCATTATGTGAATTTTGGGCTATTAATTAGAAAGCGTGATTCATTTACTTTAAAAGTGATTATTAATAAGAAAGAAATTTCTTTTGCCATTTAAAAATTTGTTTTCTATATGTCTTTTTAAAAAAATCCTCAATTCTTCCATTACTGCCCTCTTTTGTGTTTAATTGATTTTTTTATAGTGTGCTATTTGGATTTCCTTCGTATTATTATTTCTGTATTTGTTTTCTTAGTGGTTATCCTGAGGTTTACAATTAACAATTTTAAATTTGTAACAATCTAGTTTGAATTAATATTCAATTTAGCTTCAATAGTATGCAAAAACCCTGAATCTATGTTGCTCCATTTGCCCCCTCATGTTGTTATTGTCACAAATTATATCTTTATATATTGTGTGCCTATGCAAACAGATTTATAATTATTGTTTTATGCATTTGTTCTTAAAATTATATATGGAAAACGAGGCTTTACAAATTTTAAAAATAATAATACTGGATTTAATATTTACCTAGGTAGTTAACTTTACTGATGTTCTTTAGTTCTTCACGTTGCTTACAGTTACTATCTAGTGTTCTTTCATTTCAGCTTGAAGGCTTCGTGCTGGCATTTCTTGTAGGGCAGGTGGGTCTACTAGTATTGAACTCTCTTAGCCTTGTTTACTGAGGGATGTCTTAATTTCTCCTCCATTTTGAAGGATAGTTTTGCCAATTTATAATTTTTGGTTGACAATTTTTTTTTCTTTTGGCACTTTAAAAATGCCATCCAACTGCCTTCTGGCCTTCACAGTATCTAATGAGGGATAAGTTGGTAATCTAATTAATGGTCCCTTGTTTGTGACTAGTCACTTTGATCTTGCTGCTTTCAAGATTTTCTCTTTGTTTCTGGCTTTCAACATGTAATAATGTCTCAGTGTGAATCTCTTCAAGTTTCTTTTACTTAGAGTTCATTGAGTTTTCTGGATATGTAGATTCATATCTTTCATTATATTTGGGAAGTTTGGGGCCATTATTCAAATATTGTTTCTGCTCCTTTTCGTTATTCTCCCTTCAAATATTTTTCCTAACTTTACTTACTTCTTCTCCCCTTCTGGGACTTTTTTTCTTTTTTTCCTTTTTTTGACAGAGTTTCACTCTTGTCACCTAGGCTAGACTGCAGTGGCATGATCTTGGCTCACTGCAACTTCTGTCTCCCAGGCTCAAGTGATTCTCCTGCCTCAGCCTCCTGAGTAGCTGGGATTACACCACGCCTGGCTAATTTTTGTATTTTTAGTAGAGATGAGGTTTCGCCATGTTGGCCAGGCTGGTCTCAAACTCCTGACCTCAGGTGATCTGCCGGCCGTGGCCTCCCAAAGTGCTGGAATTACAGCCATGAGCCACCATGCCTGGCCCTTCTGGGACTTTCATTATGTATACATTGGTATGTTGGTATGTGTCTCACATGTCTCTTAGGTTCTGTTTATTTTTCTTCATTCATTCTTTTTTTTTTTTTTTTTTTTTTTTTTAGTATTTATTGATCATTCTTGGGTGTTTCTCAGAGAGGGGGATGTGGCAGGGTCATAGGATAATAGTGGAGAGAAGGTCAGCAGATAAACACGAGAACAAAGGTCTCTGGTTTTCCTAGGCAGAAGTCCCTGCGGCCTTCGGCCCAGTTTGTGTCCCTGGGTACTTGAGATTAGGGAGTGGTGATGACTCTTAAGGAGCATGCTGTCTTCAAGCATCTGTTTAACAAAGCACATTTTGCACCGCCCTTAATCCATTTAACCCTGAGTTGACACAGCACATGTTTCAGAGAGCAGAGGGTTGGGGGTAAGGTTATAGATTAACAGCATCCCAAGGCAGAAGAATTTTTCTTAGTACAGAACAAAATGGAGTCTCCTATGTCTACTTCTTTCTACACAGACACAGGAACAATCTGATCTCTCTTTCTTTCCCCCACATTTCCCCCTTTTCTTTTTGACAAAACCGCCATCGTCATCATGGCCCGTTCTCGATGGTCGCTGTCTCTTCGGAGCTGTTGGGTACACTTCCCAGATGGGGCGGCCTGTGAGAGGCACTCCTCACTTCCCAGATGGGGTGGCCGGGCAGAGGCGCTCCTCACTTCCCAGATGGGGCGGCCGGGCAGAGGCACTCCTCACCTCCCAGACGGGGTGGCGGCTGGGCAGAGGCACTACTTACTTCCCAGAGGGGGTGGCCAGGCAGAGGCGCTCCTCACTTCCCAGACAGGGGCGGCCAGGCAGAGGCACTCCTCACTTCCCATTCGGGTCAGCTGGGCAGAGGCGCTTCTCACTTCCTCCCAGACGGGGCAGCTGGGCAGAGGCGCTCCTCACTTCCCAGAGGGGGTGGCCAGGCAGAGGCGCTCCTCACTTCCCATTTGGGGCAGCCAGGCAGAGGCGCTCCTCACTTCCTCCCAGAGGGGGCGGCCGGGCAGAGGCATTCCTCACTTCCCAGACGGGGCGGCCGGGCAGAGGCGCTCCTCACTTCCCAGACGGGGCGGCCGGGCAGAGGCGCTCCTCACTTCCCAGATGGGGCGGCCGGGCAGAGGCACTCCTCACCTCCCAGATGGGGTGGCGGCTGGGCAGAGGCGCTCCTTACTTCTCAGAGGGGGAGGCCGGGCAGAGGCGCTCCTCACTTCCCAGACGGGAGCGGCAGGCAGAGGCACTCCTCACTTCCCATTCGGGTCAGCCGGGCAGAGGCGCTTCTCACTTCCTCCCAGACGCGGCAGCCGGGCAGAGGCGCTCCTCACTTCCCAGAGGGGGTGGCCAGGCAGAGGCGCTCCTCACTTCCCATTTGGGGCAGCCGGGCAGAGGCACTCCTCACTTCCTCCCAGAGGGGGCGGCCGGGCAGAGGCGCTCCTCACTTCCCAGATGATGGATTGCCAGGCAGAGACGCTCCTCACTTCCTAGACAGGGTGGCGGCTGGGCAGAGGCGCTCCTCACATCCCAGATGGGGCGGCCGGGCAGAGGCGCTCCTCACTTCCCAGATGGGGCGGCCGGGCAGAGGGGCTCCTCACATCCCAGACGATGGGTGGCCAGGCAGAGATGCTGCTCACTTCCTAGACGGGGTGGTGAGTGGGCAGAGGCCGTAATCTTAGCACTTTGGGAGGCCAAGGCAGGTGGCTGGGAGGTGGAGGTTGTAGCCAGCCGAGATCACGCCACTGCACTCCAGCCTGGGTAACGTTGAGCATTGAATGAGCGAGACTCCATCTGCAATCCCAGCACCTCGGGAGGCCGAGGCAGGCAGATCATCTGAGGCCAGGAGCTGGAGACCAGCCCGGTCAACATGGCGAAACTCCGTCTCCACCAAAAATACAAAAACCAGTCAGGAGTGGCGGCGCGTGCCTGGAATCCCAGGCACTCGGCAGGCCAAGGCAGGAGAATCACCGGAGCCCGAGGGAGGGAGGCTGCAGTGAGCCGAGATCATGGCAGTACAGTCCAGGCTCCGCAAGAGAGGGAGACCGTAGAAATATTTTTCTTCATTCTTTTTTCCTTCTGCTCCTCAGACTGGATAATTCTAACTGAAAGATCCTTAAGAACACTGATTTTTTCTCTTAATTTCTATGTTTATTTAAAAACAAAAACAAAAATATTTAAAAAAGAACACTGATTTTTTTATTCTGCCATCTCAAATATGCTGTTGAACTGACCTAGTGAATTTTCCATTTTACTTACTGTATTTTTCAGCTCCAGGATTTCTAATTCTACTTGGTTTCTTTTCTTATTTCTATCTCTTTATTGATAGTCTCTATTTGGTGAAATATTATTCTCCTCGTTTCCTTTATGTCTTTGAGCATATTTAAGACAACTGATTCAAAGTCTTTGTCTAGCAAGTTCGATGTCTGGCTTTCCTTGGGGACAGTTTTCATTAATTTCCTTTTGTCTTGTGAATGGGCCCCATGTTCTTATTTCTTAGCATGCCTCATAATTTTTGTTGCAAATTGGTTATTTCAAATATTTATATATCAAATATTATGTGATAATTCTGGAAATCAGATTTTTACCCTTGCCCAGGGTTTATTGTTGCTGTCTGTTATGGGTTGGAGTGGTTTGTTTAGTGACATGTTTCCAAACTATTTTTGTAAAGACTGCATTCTTTGTTGCACATGGTCACTGAAGTGTCTGTTCTGTTAGCTTAGCTGTTAGCTAGAGATTTCCCTAAGTGCCCAGAGGAAAAAAAAACACCAACCCCCCACTAAGAAAAAAACAATACTCCTGGGTTTTCAGATTGATTTCTGTTGAGGAAACTCATTTCATGTTTAGCCGGGCTGTTTACAACTCTGCCTTAGCCCTCACTTCCTGCTTGCACAGAGCATAGAAGCAGCCAGAAGTAAAAGCTTAGGGTCCTTTCTGGTCTTTCATGAACATAGTTCTGGTCCTGGGCATTAGTATAACCTTTTCGTTTCCTTGGTATGCATGGGAGCTTTTCAAAGCCTTTGTTCCCCTGTGTATCTCTTTCCCCAACTCCTTCCTTCCCAGATTTTTTTGGCTTGCCTGCTGCCTGCCCTTTAGGGGCTACTTCTAGTATATTTACCTTTAAATGCATTTGACAAACACTGCCTGGAAAGCCACTTATCTCTGAGAAAACTCTATGGTGGGCAAAACAAAGTTTAGCCCCATGGACGAATCCCTCAGGGAGCCACCAGGCAGATCAATGTCCACCTACACAGTTCTCCAAGAACAAGCCCACACTGCTCTATCTAGCACCAGCAAGCTGCACCATGAACACAGGTCCTGTGTTCATGGCTACTGCCATGCTCTGGAACAAAGGATCATGGACAGATGTGTTGAAATGCTACCACAATCTCTTCACAAATTTCAGCAGTTTCTTCCTCTTTAGTCATTCTCCTTGTTGTTGTAAGTTTTTAAATTAAATTCCAGAGATATGAAAAAGCTTATTGTAACAACTTTTGCTTGCATAATCATTGTTTTAGTGAAAGGAGTTAGTTTTGGAGTTCCCTATTCTATTTTCAATCACATAATAATGTTTTAACCTAAACTTGTCTAGAATTGTTATTTCTGTGTTGTATTTAATAACACAAATTTTGCTGATCCCAGAAAATATCTCTGATGCAAAATCTATTATGTGCTGAAAGCACAAGACCTTGCCAAATCTTAAAACCAAAATTTTAAAATATGTTTTTATAATAGGCACTGAAGTATGGCCTACTCTATATTTTTTAAAATCTTTGATTAACTCAAAATAAAATCTTTGTATTTATTGACCCTGTTTTAAAAACTCAAGTCTTTCTCTTTTCTAATACATTTTATAATCTGTTTCTTTAAAATAATACTGTTTACAAACAGAAAGCTGGATACCAATGCTGTTTTACTGTGTTCCATCTCTCAGAAAAGACTCCAGAACAACTTTCAGGAATGGGAGCTTGGCTCTTTATAATTGTCAGGTTATTTTGGCACATGTGGGGGATCTGTGACTTTACAACCTTGCCCCACAAGCTCTAGTTCTACAACCTTATCACCAGGCACTATGGTATAAGAAAAGCAACTATCATGTAAAATTTTGCTGCACATACCAACATCTTATAACAAACAAGTACAAAAATGGTTATTCCACTTATTCCTGTAAGGTCTATGAAGTCCCAGCATTGTTCTTCATGCTAATTACATGACCTAACTGCTTTCTTCCTGGGAGTCATGCAAAGACACAACGGAATGTGAAGGTGCTATGGCTTGAATGTTACCAAATCTACTGTGGAAACTGGATCCCCAGTGTTGGAGGTGGGGCCTAATAGGAGGTGTCTGGGCCATGGGGGTGGATCCCTCACTCTATTAGTTCCCATGAGAGCTAGTTGTTAAAAAGAGCCTGGCACCTCGCCCTTCTCTCTCGCTTCCTTTCTCACTATGTGATCTCTACACAGCTCCCCTTCACATTCCACCATAAGTAGAAGCAGCCTGAGGCCCTCACCAGATGCCCAATCTTCCAGCCAGCAGACTGGTGAGCCAAATAAACCTTTTTTCTTTATAAATTACCCAGTCTCATGTATTGCTGTATAGCAAAAACAGAGCAGATAAGATAAATAGCAGGTTAGCTAATCCTAGATGGTATGACTTAAGTCAATTACTCTAAATTCAAACACATATTTTGGTAGTTTTTCACTAATTTTTACATGGCCGCCATTAAGTAAATTGATCAATGAGGCTAAGCCCATCCACTATTTAAGAACAGCAAATATGTTGCAACAAACAGGACTTTTACACTTAAAGAAACCTTGGAAACAATCTAGTTCTACTCCACACACAATGCTGTGATCCTCTCAATGCTGTAACTGATAGAGAATTTTCCATGTCAGCTTGGTCACTTCCAGAGACATTACTCAGATCTCCAAAGCTTCTCATTCCATTTTGGAAGACTTGTAATTTCTTTCCTGATAGCACTTGGACACCACTGCTTTAAGTCACTGCTCCATTCTTGCACCTTTGGTCAAGCTCCAGTTTGACAAATTAACATTTCTATGAAAATGCTGAATAAAAGAAATGTAGATGAATCAATGAAAATAATATTAGTACCACTACTTCCCCTATCCTGGACCAATTCTGGTGAAATAGATAAATTATAGTTTTTAAAATAAGATTTACATTCATTTTAGAATTGATATTCTCAAAGATTTGGAAGCCAGAGTTATCTCTTTTATGTTACATGATGTAGAAATGCAAAGATTCAATAAGCCATTAGTATAAGAACTTGCAAAGATTGAAAGTTTTTCAGAAATAAATAATTTATATGTACTTGTTGCATCTATCTGGAAGCTATCGCAGTGCTATGTCAACTTTATCTCTGTTTTTGGCATCTATGGCATGCATCATATGTAATTCACAAAATAGCAGATACTGTGTGAAGATACTTGCTGAAATATTTTACCTTTGACAGATTCAGTGCTTATCAAAGCTCATAGAAGATACTTAATTGCAATGGAAGAACCAGATTAGTCTGCATGGCAAGACATTAGTGCATGTCAAGATTGCTGTTGAAGCCAGGACTGCTGAGTTTTATTTCCATGAGAGACCGAGAAGCTTCGAGAGCTGGACATTTTTTCAGGGAAAGATAAAATGGGGAACATCACCTTGGTCTGACAGCAAGTGGTTGTATTTAGAGCAGAGAAGTGGAGAAGTGGGCTGTCAACTTATATTTTGATTATCTTAGTGCTTTATTGTTTGTGCTTTTGAATGGTTGATTTCTATTCTTGGCTTTGATCTTATTGCATTCATTTATATTGTATGGTTAAATTGTTTGAGTTCTTTAATTTGCAATCAGCATTTCTTTATTTACTTATTTATATCCCACTTTATTCCAAAAATGATTCAAGGCAGCTTACGGAAATACCTACAATTCAAGAAGACCAAATAAAGTATAAAAATAGCTGAGTGCATCTGGACAACCAGAATGTAGGGCTGTGAAAACAAGAACAATCCAGATGTGGCCTTGGAATACTTAGGCTGTGCTGTCAAATCTTAAACTCTAGCTGTAGTTGAGCCATATTTAATGTCAGCCTTTCTAGATGCTAACGTGGTAATGTGGCTTAAAATTTCATATGACTTGAACAAGTTAATTGCTCAGGAAAAAGCACAATTGTTTCTGACAGCAGGGAGAGATTTCCCATTTGTGGGAAATTTATTAAACACAGAGGAATTCACTTATTTATTGCTCAGCATGGTACACTCATTCCAGTTAGGAATATAGACGCTGGTGTATCTTTTAGAATATGGATTAAGGATACCAATGCTACATACCCTAGGTCTGCCCCACATTCCATCCAAGCATGGACGTTTTCGGTTAAATTTACAACCCTGGGTCCATCTGAAATTAGCCTTCACTGCTCCAAGGATCCTTAGAAAACATAATTCTCTTATTTGTGTGTACCTTTGATGTATGTGGCTTTTATGTTTGAATTACTGCATTAAACACAGAGGTCTTCCTTACCAGGGCTTTGTGTAGCAAGATTTTACTTTCATCCTTCAGTTAAATCTAATTAAGAAAATTAACTGAAGGAACTTTCCATAAAAATGAGATGTTATTATGTGCTAATGAAAGGCAGATTGATGGAGCAAGTCTCCTAGTTACGCAAGTCATAAACTCGAGGTCTCATTCCCATCAAAGAGGCTTAACTGTCTGTTCCCAGAGCTTTCATGTAATTAAGGTATGCTCTTATTAGGTGTCAATAAATGCCCAGAGGGTGCAGTCTGTATGTGGAGTATGTTCTGCTGAATATTTGATGTGACGGTTTTTGTTAAACCTATCCAAGTTTAAAACTCTAAATTGCTCTCCTTCACAGCGACACCACTTATTGTGTAACCTCCATGTGGAAGGGTCCTTGCTTTACAAAATGTATCCAAGGATGTTCTTGGATAGACTCTTGTTGGGGGAGGGGTGATCATGACCATCTTCATCCTCAGAGGGCTTAGAGGGTCTCCATGTGCCCAGCCTCATAAGTCTCTCTCTCCTCTGAAGTTAATCATGGCTGTGTCTCTCACCTTCATGACAGCTCTCTCACACAATGGCTGGGAGTGAGGAGTTACTTTTTCCAGGGTCCCTCCTGCCCGGCCAGTCTACTCCTGACCAATGACAGCAGACCTCAATGGCAAGGCTTCGCATGGAGTCCGGAGGATCTCAGCATTGGAAGCACAAGGCTAAGAATTCTTATTTCCCTCAGTCGCGGATCCCCTTGTGCTGCCTGGGAAGGGACGGCCTTCCAGATGCGAGCCCACAGATGCCACCCTCTCTCCTGAGTTCTCCCTGTTCCTTTCTTCTTATCTTCTGGCAGAGGGATTTCTTAAAGTCCTCAATCCAGGGCAGCTTCTCCTCTGGGAAATAAATCCCTGCTCTTCCTAAGATGGGTGTGTGTGTATGTGTGTGTGAGAATCTGTGTCTGTATTTGTGTGTGTGTCTATGTGTCTCTATGTATGTTTGAGTATATGTGTGCCTGTGTGATGTGTGTGTCTGTGTGGTATATGAGTGTCTCTGTGTGTGTCCCCATGGGACTCTGTGTGTGTGTGTGTGTGTGTGTGTGTAGTGTGTGTCTCTCTGTGTGTGGTGTGTGTGGGTGGGGCAGGGATGCCCTCTGGGTCTTCTTTGCCCTACACACTAGCATCCGGGCTTCACGGGGGCTTCTTCCTTGCCGGGTCACAGCCTGCTCGCCACAGAAGGAGACGTGCAGCCCCATAAATGGATGGGAGGAGCATCCACTGCTCCTCAGCGCCCTGCCAGCCTGGCTGAGGCTGATTTCCTTACTGGAGGCAACCAAGCCACAGCCAGATGAGCACTGCTTCTTTCTTTTCTTTTATAATAATTATCATTTTAAGAAGCATTTGACCCTTTCCTGGAATTGCTTATAATGCAAGAGTCAACCCCAAATCTTCATTTTTAAAATTTTGAACCTCCAAATGTGAAAAATACCAGACTTACTCAAACTTATCTTTTCTTCCAAATCTCATATCATCAGTCTTCAACCTGTTCCCCCAACCTTCAGGCTCAGGATGCACCCTGTAACATGCCAAGGAAACATCACTTATTCAGTTGATGGATACTACAGTGAGTGCCACATTTGCAGAAAGTGCTGTGCTAGTTGCTCTTAGATTGGCCTCCACAGCCTCACACCTTAACTGCAAGTGGCACTCTCAGGCACCAGGGTCCCAGGCTCTTGGAAGCTTATTCTCCACTGATGAGTCTTTCCTCAGATTGTCATCCCTGGCCATGTGCCATGGCTCACGCTTGTAATCCCAGCACATTGGGAAGCTGAGGCAGGAGGATTGCTTGAGCCCAGGAGTTTGAGGCCAGCTTGGACAACATAGTGAGACTCTGACTCTACCTAAAAAATTAAAAATCAGCCAGGTATGGTGGCACACTCCTGTGGTCCCAGCTACTCAGGAGGCTGAGGTGGGAGGATCACTTGAGCCCAGGATGTAGAGGCTGCAGTGAGCTGTGATTATGCCACTGCACTCCAGCCTGGGTGACAGAGCAAAACTCTGTCTCAAACAAAAAGGAAAGAAAAAAGGAAGGAAAGAATGAAGGAAGGAAGGAAGGAAGGAAGGAGAAACAGAAAGAAAGACAGAAAGAAAGAGAAGAAACAGAGAGAGAAAGAAAGAGAAGAAAGAGAGAGAGAAAGAAAGAAAGAAAGGAAGGAAAGAAGGGAGAAAGAAAGAAAGAAAAAGAAAGAGAGAGAAAGACTATTATCCCCCAGCTTTCCCTGTGCTGTTGGGATGCAGCTCATGTCCAGCCCTCCCTAATGCACCCCATGCCTCACCCCCTTGGAGGGGGAAGGTTTAGTCTCCTTGGCAACACTTTCCATATTTCTAGTTTCTAAAATTGTGATTTACTATCTGTCTCTTTTGCTGTGAAAGTGAGCTCCTCAAGGGAAGGGACTGTTCCCGACTTGTCCCTGCTGGTGCCCTTGGCAGATCTCAGTGCCTTGCACATGGAACACTTTTGGCAAAACATGTTCTGATGAGCAAGCAAACACTGCATGTGCCATCTGGGTCCCCTACCAGCGTTAGAGCCTCGCTTCATTAAAAACTGCTCTATACAGAATTCAAAGTTTCAGAATATTACAAAATCTGAACAGAGAGTAAACAGATTTCATCATAGGACTGGGAGTAAAAAGAGCAGAACTTCAGCTTCAAAAATTCTTGTGTATCATCTAAAAATATTCTATATAAAACATATAGATTTTTGTCCTACTATAAATGTTACACTAATTCCCTATCTAAAACTATTGTCAGGAGCAAAGTTCATTGTGAATGATATTCTGTGCAAAAAGCTCCAGTACTTACCTAAGAATCAGAAAGAGAATTCTTTACTCAGGATGCAGAAAAAAAGAATCTCTCTGGGAAAATTACACACAGATGGTCCCAGCAACAAGTGGGAAGATTTATGTGTTTCCTGTTCAATGTCTCAACAGTAAGGTAGTGCATGCTCTTGCTACTGTGAGAATCAAAAGACAGACAGACCCTCACACCAACTCCTGGAACCTCACTTAGGCTGGCCAGGGCCTCAAACTGGTCTCTGGGAGCTGAACTTGACCCACCTGATAGGGAAGCCTGTGCAAGGTGTGGGGTGGAGGGGCACGTTCACGGTAACACCTTCTCATACAACCCAGGAGTCTTGAAATATGGATAAAGGACAGGTTAAAGTTGCCAAGTTCTGCTGTTTTCGTAAATTCATATTTTTAATAAATAAGATGTATAAAATTATAATTCAGTAAGAGCATTGATTTGGAAGCCTGTTTTGAATATCAAAGACATATGCTGTAGTGTAAACTGGAAGTTATCTGCTGGTCAGCGCTTATCTAAATTATAGGTTCCATCTTGGCTTTAAAGGTTAACACCATAAAATTCAAGTTCTACCATGGTAAAGGCCACAGCTCAAAGAATGACTGAAACGGAAGCTTGGGGATGGCTTGGAGACAGACACATTCAGGTGTACTGCTGTTTTGTCCTCAGCCTGCACCATGAGAGAAGGACCTTTCTCTCTTCATCTGTAGGATCAGCACTGAAGCTCAGGAACAGAGGAAATTAAAGCAAGTCGTTGTTAAGGTAGAAACTCTTCCTGGAATTGCCTGCAAATGCTGCATCCTCATCATGGTTCCATGTGTCTGTGTGGCTACTGGTGTGGCTTTTACGTAACTCACTGGATGGAAGTTGTCAGCTCACTTGTGGTTCTGTTCTGAGAATGATGTGGGATGGGTGGCAGAATGCCAACCCAGGGCAAAAAGAAGCCATGCAGAGAATGCCCTTCCAAAGGCAACAAGGCCGAAGGGAGGGCAGCAGCAAGCTAGGGCCTGCACTTCAGATGAGCAACAGAAACCTGTCCAGGAAGGTTCCTGTGGGGATGCTGGAGATGAGGATGAAAAGGAGAAGCTGAAAACCTGAGCTACAGGAGTGAGACAGGAGAAACTGGTAACGGGAAAACAACATGGGGCACAGTGGGAAAGTGGGCACTTGGCTTCTAAATGGAACTCGAGCAGGTTCTGACGACTCCTAAGCTGTTCTCCTTAGGGGACAGAGACAGCTTAAAGCATCAGCACAAGAGCTGAGCGCCTGGTCCCGGCTTGGCTGGGGAACATGTGAGTCTTGACTGGAAGTCTCTTCCCTCCCTCGTTTTGCTTTGTAACTTTCTGCTTTTAGTTACATCTCTTTTTTTTACTCAAACAGTTTGAAAGAACTGACGGAAAAAAGCACCTTATTCCAAGTTATTTGTCCTGGTCCTGGTAACTTGGACTGATATTAAGAGTCCCAGTTTAGATCCAGAGGCTGACTGTGAGAAATAGAAGAAATCCTTAAGCAGAAGGTCCTCCCCTCCCCTCCAAGCTGGCCTTGGCTGCTTCCATCAGCTGTGGGCCATGTCATCCTGGCTTTTGTCCCTCACTCCTCCCAGAGAGTTAACCCATGAGCCATCAGTCAGAGAAGTGAGGGGTGGCACACAGGGGTTGGAAACCTAGGCTTCTCCAGTTGGTAAATTTTTCTTCCATTAGTAAAGAAGGACTAAAACAAAGAGGTGCGTGAGTGCACTGTGACATTGGTGCTCTAAGAAGACCGTGCTGCAGAGGAGAGGATGCATTGAACAGAGGCCAGGTTGGTGGCAGATTGACTAATCAGGAAGAGCAAGTTGTCCAGCAGGCCGGGCTAGAGAAGGTGTTGACAGCAGCCAGGATGGGGAGCAGTGGACTTCAGCAGGAGAGGTTAAGGAATCTTGGGATTCTGAATCCTTCAAGTTCGCTCCATTGAAAGTACTTTATTTCCTAATATTATCAGTGTCTCAATGGTCCCGAGATGTCTACAATCATCATTAGAAGTGTCTCCTAAATACCTGTGCCCCAAAGAGAAGGTCACTTGGGAGTAGGGAGACCATAAGTGCTTGAGAGGCTCTCAACCTGGCTGGACTGCTCTCCGTGCAGTCTGGACATCAACAGCTACATTCAAAGATCTCTTAGGTCACCTTGCCTTCTGTAAACCCAATTGTGCTTAGTTGCCTACTGAGTTTAGGTAACCAGGGAGATTTATAGGGGAGGAAAAAATACAAGAACAAGGTGGAGCTGCAATGTTTCTGGAATGCAGGGACAGCATGTCTCGTTTACTGAGAGGACACATGTTTAACGGCAGTGCAGGCACTGGCAGGGTTTTAGTGGCTCTCCTGCACCTGACTGGCTTGGGCTAGGAAGGATTTGCCATCCCAAAGCCCGTGTACTCCCACGCAAGTCAGCTGTGAGGGATTTCAATGCCTTCTGTGAGCTCAGAAAGGATTCTCTGATCACATTTCTAATAAACGCTCTTGTGGGAAGATCATGAGAACAACAGTACAAATGATGGCTCCTATTTACTGAATGTTCCCTATGTGTCCATTCTGTGTAGGCGCCTTGGAGGTATTATTTGTAAAACTGACAGTAGCTCCACAACATAAGCATTTAGTATGTTTATCTATTGCTGCTTAACAAGCCATCTCAAAGCTCAATGGATTAAAACAGTATTATTGTATCTCCTGATGATGTGGATGGAAAATTTGGACAGGGCACAGTCAGAGGAGCTCCACTCAGCTTCACGGTTGGAAGCTTTGCTGGGACGGCTCTAATGGCTGCAGCTGGGAGATGCGGGGCAGCTGGCCATTGCTTCTCTGCTCATAGACCTCTACCGGGGTGGCTTGAGCTTCCTCACATCATGGCAGCCTCAAGGGAGTTGCACTGTTCAGGGTTCCAAGAGCTATTTCATGTTTTGAGAGATGGGAAGTGGGAGCTGCCTGTGCCTTGAAGATTGGGCCCTGAGACTGGCACAGTATCACATCCTTGTTCTTTTGGTCAAAGCAGTCACAAAACCCACCTGCATTCAAGAGGATGGGACAGAGTCCCCCTCTCAATGGAAGAGGGTCAGAGATTTGGCTGCCATTTTTAATCCACCACATTATTATTCTTCCCATTTTATAGGAGAAGAAACTGAAGCTCAAAGAAACCAGATAATATATGTCTTTAAATAACATAAGAAATACTGCTGAGGTTTGAAAGTATGACTGACTCTAATCCATTTTTCTTTCTAGTATACAGCCCCGCTCTCTTAAAATGTGGACATTTGATCTTCTAAGATAAGACTTTTTGAGCCACAAGCTACTCTTCTGATTGGATGTAGAACAAAACATAGCAAGTCATCGTCCACGTTCTTTCTAAACTTTGCATCGTTGAATGAAGAGGCCCTATCTAATAAGCTGTAGAACTGAACACTCCTCTTCAGTTTGAGAGGCTGTTCAAGGTAAAAGAGAGGGAAAAATGGAAGTGAATAAAATCACAAATTTAAACGATAAATACCTGGCTTGGGGAAGCTTTTTTCCCCAGAGGATAGAAATATATTTACATTATGAAATAAGTTGGAATCCAATGGAAACCCCTTGTTATTATTAGATTTCCTCTTGAGAAGGATTTATAAATGAAAACACAACTTGCTATTTTAGTATTTTGTTTTTCAGGGAAGAAAAACCCTTTGCAAAAACAAATTTAGAAGAAAAAACTTATCCATTTCAAGCTCTTGTTTATTTTCTTATTTACCAGGCTAAAACTGTCTTCTTTCATCTCTGATTATGTTGGGAGCTGGAGAAAAGAGGGTTTTTATTTTGTTTTGTTTGCTTTTTTCCTTTTCTCTAAATCTGGAAGGTCTCTTTTCATTTGTGGGCAGTGCTAAACCTTTCCTTATCCACAACTGCGTTTCTGAATCCACAGCCTCCTCCAGCCGTAACTGTGACCCAAGGGCTCCACGCAGTGGGGGATAGGAAATGAAGGATGAGGGCAGTCACATGTGAAACGGCTGCAGTGTTCATCTGTGATCTGGTGGCCCCACTGAACAACAGTGGCCATGACCCCGCTGTGCACCTGCTAGCACACAGCTCCATGCTCCTTTGCCATGTGTCCCTCCATTAGGCTGTGATTCCTCCTCCTCAGCTCCACAGGAATCTGGAAAATAAGGGTCCTGTGGCTGCTTTTGCAATCCTAGTACACTTTGAGAACGTCATGTTCCAGTAAGCTTTATATAACGTTCTAGACCATTAGAGCCTTTTCAGCTTCCTTATTAACATTTATTCATTTCTAATTACACGAGTAGAGGGAAGTTGCAAGAAATGTGTCCCTGAAGATTTTCAAACTTAATGCAACCATTGCATAATTTTAATCCAATCTTCACAAAGGGAGTCATGTGTTGCTTTTCTAGCCAAGTCACCCTTGGCCCCTGCAACCTCGTCACCTCCCCATTCTCCCCTGGAATGTGGGGCCAGGCGCCCGCATACTCTGCCTCACAAATTTGCTATTCCTTCTTTATCGGCAACTATCTTTGTCCAGATATCCCAGGTCTCAGGCCACCACTCCTTCAGAGCTTTATTTCATTGTCACCTACCTGGTGAAGAAACTCACCCCACACTCACGGGTGCCCTCCCATTCCCACATCCTGCTTTGTTTTCCTGAGTGTTGACCCCCTCTAGCACTGTGTCTACACCGCCTTAGCCAGTTTCCTACTGGACTCCACAACCCCACCCATATGCCCTGTGCTAGAATGTCAGCTCTGTGAATCCCTGCTGCATTCAGGGCTGTCTCCCAGAGCCTAGAACAGTGCCTGCATGGAGAAACCATTCCACACATACTTGTTGAATGAGTGCCTAAAGAATGAATAGCATAAACCCAGTCCACAGCTCTTTATTCCTGGCAGCTTCCAAACGTGCACTTCTTGAGGAATTCTTAATTTGGAAGACATGTTATTTAAAAAAATTCATTAATGCAGTTTGTGAATGAGTAATTCACAAACTTCATTAATGAGTCATGTTTTATGTTGTATTCTTTCAATTTTGCCTACTTTATATTTGTACAAAATGTAACTGCGTGAATATATCCTCCTTGAAAGAAAATGATTGCTGTATATCTATGGGATGTGGTTTTCAAGAGAGAACATTTATAGGTTGGCACTAGGCTATCTGCAAGTGGTCTAATGAAATACATGACGGGTTTCCACTAAGCCAATTCAGTGTGTTGGTTTTATCTTTTATTCAAAGATAGCTTGCAAAGGAAGATCTGTATTTTTCTCTCTCTTTAAAAATAATATTCATCAAAACGGTTGTGTTCGTTAGAGTGGATTTAACAGAGATCTGTTGTTAAACATTTACAATGCTTCATCTCTTTCCAACATTACTGTACTCGGACAATGCTGCCTCACTTTGTGTACAAAACAGTGAGAGAGATCGCTTTTATGTGGAAAGTTCAGTTATGAATGCGAAATGTTGCCAGAATCTGACTGTAATCCCAAGAGGCAGAAACTAACCACTTTTGTTTGGACGGCTTGCAGCTTGTAAAGGCACGTGCAGGCAGCGCCACCATGTGTTTTCTGAAGAGACCCATAAGGCTACGCGGGAGAAGGAATGAACGCCAGGACTCTCCCCAGCCAACGTATACCTAAGTGGGACTTCTCAGTATAATATGCTTGGCGCATCTGTTAGGGGTGGCCCTTTCTCAGCCATTTGACAACTTACTTCAGTCAAACCTAATAAACTTCCAACTCTCATTTTCCAATTATTATTAAAATTTCAAAGCAGGTAGGTGTAAAGTACCAGGTATGTAGTAAACTGACTATTTTTTCCCCCATAAAAACATTTGAAAATTAATAATTGGTCCATACAACTAAGCAGCGGTGTTGCGTGAGTGGTTATTAAACTATTACAAAATAAGGACCATTTTCTGGTCCATTATAGTGGGCCAAGTATAAATTTGGAGTCAGATGGGTCTGGGTTCAAGTCCCCATCTTCCCGTTTACTTGCTGTGTGACCTTAGGAAAGTTACTTAGCTTCTCTGACCTTCAGTCCTCATATGTGAGATGGGATAACAACAGTGTTTCTAAAGCACTTTGTAGAGTTTCTGGCAAATGGTGACCAGGGGCCCTAGGGTTTAGTGGAGGTTTTAGCTGCCAGCATCCATCAGGTGCCTGGGAGCTCAGGCAAGCTCCACGCTGCTAATCCCACTCTCACTCCAGGCACCTTTGGCACCCGTCTCCCCACCGACCCCACCTGGCCCAGCTTCCTGCTGCGCTGGAAGCTATGCTATGGTTAGGGGATGCCAGTCTACCTGGTCTTCAATGGCTGGCACCTGTGGGTGTGGCCCCGTTCTCTTTCTCCTTTTCAAACATTCATTCTCTTGCTTTGATTTTGAAATTCAATTGAAAATAAAAAAATTAATAATGATGGTTCTGTGAAAGGTTAGAGCAGGAGAGGTTGAGAGGAATGTGGAGAAAGCCCAGCAAAAAGAAGCAAATACAAGCCAAAGAAATCACTGGAAAGGGCTGGGTGCAGGGGGGTGCACTGGTGATCCCAGCACTCTGGGAGGCTGAGGCAAGAGGGTTGCTTGAGCCCAGAAGTTTGAGATCAGCCTGGGCAACATAGTGAGGCCTTGTCGCTACTAAAAATAATAATAAAAAATAGCCAGGTGTGGTGGCACATACCCACAGTCCCAGTTACTTGGGAGGTTGAGGCAGGAGGATTGCTTGAGGCTAGGAGTTTGAGGCTGCAGTGAGCCATGATTATGCCACTGCACTCCAACCTGGGTGACAGAGTAAGACCCTGTCTCTAAAAAAAAAGAAAGAATAATTTAAAAAAGAAAGAAAGAAAGAAAGAAAAGAAATTACCTTGAAGAAGGGCCATGGCCAGACTTGAGAGAAAACACCTTCCAAGTGTCCAAATGCTTCTTCCTCTTCTTCCGTAATGACACAGGACTTTCAGCCAAAATTGACTGAGTTCTGCTCTGGAATTCGCACTGCACTGTGTTCTGAACACAGATGGTGAGTGCAGTCACAGACGATGGCAACTAACAGACTACGCGGTGGCTGTGGACAGGGAGATGAGGAGACGTGGTTGCCTCTGGGCACTTTTTGGAGGCAAAGTCGACAGAATTTCCTACAGATTGCATGTGTTGTGCGACAGAAAGAGCAGAGGAGCATGACTCCAAGTGTTTGGGCAAGGAGAGGGTGAAGCTGCCATGAACCCAGCATGGCTGAGCCTGAAGGGAGAGCAGGTATGGGAGCATCAGGAGCTCAGATTTGAACAGATTATGTATGACATTTTAGATGTCTAGGTGGAGCTGCTAAGAAGGCATTGGACACAGGAATCTGGAGAACGAATTCTCCATATTAATCTCATAGAGATTCAGTGGTGATTTTTAAAAGTCAATGTATTCATTAACACTTAACCAGAAAAAAAAATACAGATCATAATGGCTTCTATTAGTTTTATCAGAAAAAAAGCCAAGAACAATCTTCTAAAATCCTATTCTGATGAAAGGAACTGTCAAATGATAGCAGAATTTGTTCCAAAGGTTTTTTGTAAATTCGTTATTTATAACTCAGAATATATTTTCCCAGAGAAATGATTTTATGATTCATGGCTAACCTCTTGGGCTGGGTCTCAGAAGTGTATCTCTTGTATAACATAACAGTATATTTGTGGGGGAAAAGGGTAAAATTACACAGTCAGGCTACTAGCAATTAAACAAACAAAGAAAACTTAGCGATATAGGAGCTCTTATGTTTCCTTATTTATGATTCCTGATTTGAAATAGAGCTCATTTGACCCATCAAACCCTCTCTCCAAGAAATGACAAAGACCTTTTATTTGACTGGAACATTCAGCTGTGGGAGGTAGGTCCAAGGATTTTGCTTCCTGGCAGCAGACTAGGCTAGGGGAAGGAAGCAGGTTTGTGTAGACAAGGAACCTGGGGATGCAGGCTTAAAGAACTCTCAGAGACTTAAGCCCACCATGAGAGAAGGAATGGGGTTTGCAAGCTCTATTTTAAGCCTCATTCACACTTTGATGTGAATCATTTTAGTCACATCCAAAACAAGTAGATCACTCAGGAATGCACATTTTTATTGAGGCAGGATAAAGAAAAAGAGTTTCTAGAACTAGAGGAGAGGATTGGCTCAGATGGAATCACTTGGGCCAGCAGCCAGCAAGTCTGTATGTTGACGGGGTAGGTGAGGGAGGACATGAGCGTCTAAAGAGCCTTAGGAGAGGAGGCAAGAGGTAAGTTGAAGTCACAAAGACAACTTTTGCTGAGGTTCTGGTGGTAGCTGCTGTGATAACAAGAATTACGTTTATGGGTCAACAAGGCCTGGGGTCACACTATCGATTCTAGCTTGGGAAACTACACGTCTTAGTCTATCATCATTTGGTCCATGCTTTCCATTCTCAGTTCTTCTAAGCTGACTTCTCAGTTTAAATTCCCCTTGCTCAACTCCCACCTCAATGTTATTGCAGGAAGAGAAGGGGAGGGGAAGAAAGTGGGGGCATTTGTGTTACACCTTTACTGTGCCCATTCTCTCTCTTCTTCTCCCCTTTACTATGAATGCATGTTAGCACATACTTACCACGGCTTCCCTGGTCAAGGGTCCTTTGAAACATAGAACCCTTGAATGCCCATGGCTATTGATATAGCTCCAACGAATGGAGGAACACCAGGGTTGTTGGTCTCGTGCTGATAGGATTAACAACACGGACACGTGGAGTGGTTTTAAGGAGTGAAAAGTTTAATAGGCAAGAAAGAAGGAAGGAAGAAGAAAACACCTCCCCCATACAGAGACAGAGGTAGGGAGGATTTGAACAAAGAGAAAACCCAGTGTGCAGTGGAAAAGTGGTTGCTTATATTGGGATCCTGGAGGAGGTGGTGTCTGGTTTGCATAGGGCCCAGGGGATTGGTTTGACCAGGTGTGTCATTTACATAGCTCTCGAAAAACCTGGCCCTCCCACCTTAGCCCTTTAATATGCAAATACAGGTCACCGTGATGTTCTGAACACATGGTGTTATCTGGAGGTGGCCATGACACTTGGTACACCTGATGACAAGGAAGAGATGGCGGAATCACCATGTTGAGTGAACTCAGTTTCTAAGGACTGACATTTGCATATCAAAGCTTGCGGGCCTGGCTCTTCAAGCTGCCTTTTCTGTTAGAAAAGAGATGGTTCAGGGGTTGTTTCTTAAAACAGGAAAATTTCCACTGAGAACATTTACCCTTACTATCTGCCTAAAAAGTATTTCTTAATAACTGCTATATCACTATCGTGGGGTTTTTTTCCCATTCTTTCTTTGTTGATGCCAAAGTAAAATTAAGTTAAATATTGTATCCTCTCATAGATCATGAATGCAATGAGGGCAGGCATTATATCTCTTGCTCAACAATTGGGTCCTAGGTGTGTAGGCTTAATGTCTTGTGCAGAGTGGGCATTCAGTAAACAATAATTCAATAATGAATGAATAAATAAGGGAGAATGTGGAGGAGGTTATAGGCTTAGAAAACTTTCTGGGCACTTTCAATGGTTTTAGAGGGTGATGGTATTGGGTGGTTAATAAATCTAAACTCACTTGAAAACATAAGGCTTTCCACTGGTAACAGTCCTTTTATATTTAATCAGTCATCCCAGAGTTGTGGTGAATTGGAAGTCATGGCCAAAGTATTTTACACTCCTCTATTTTCCTACCTCTTGAATCTGAACTTGCCTTATGACATGTTTTCATCAATAAAATGTGGCAGAAGTAATGTGCAGTGGGAGTCCAGGCCTTACGAAGCCTGAAGTTTCCACTTTCACTCTCTTGAAATTCTGCTGCCTTCCTATAAAGGAAGCCCAGGCTAGACAACCAAATGAAGAGGGGTCTTGTGTGTGGGTACTAAATAAGAAAGTGAGGATAGAGAAAAAAATCCAAGGCCAGTTCACCTGTTGGCACTAGAAAAAATGCAAAATATTGATTGGCAAATAGATGCAGGAAGATCGATCGATTGTGTGGTGAGGCCAAAGGGAAGAACTCTTCGAATAGTTATTTCATATTCAACAATAAGTGAGAGTTGGCAGGCAAGCAGAGATTGTGTAGGAGTTTTGAGAAGGAAGGTGTGAACAGCCCTCCAAGTGAGTGGGTGAGTGATTTGACCATGGAAACATAGGAGAGTTGCTCAGCAGCACCAAAGGTCGGCTTAATGTTTATGATCATTAAAATGAGTAATGTTAGCATCCTCGTTTGTTTTTTTCCAGTCAAATTCACTTGCTCAAGAGCAGTTCCAGAGTAGGTGGAGAGCTGGGGTTTTTCCTGGCTTGGAGAAAGGAGGGAGAGGGAGCCAAGGCCGTTGAGAGTATACGCACTAAAATGATGGGACATGAATTTATGCTGGGAAAAGAAGGACGTGTAAGAGCAGAGGGATAGGGAAAGGTGAGGAATCTGGTGAAGGTTAAGTAATTACTAGCACTAGGAGGTATGAGCTGGAATGGAAAGGGGAAGTAAAGTGAGCTGTTTGAAACTGACACTACGGAGGGTACACAGTTATGAGTAAGGTCAAGGGTGTGATCCCAGGAATGTGTGGCTGCGCTAGTGTGGGAAAGATCACAGGAGGTTGGAAGCTGAGAGGCTGTATAGTCATTGCAGGAATCATCCATGTGGATATTGAAATCACCATGAATTATGAATGAAGCCAACTGTATTACTGGTTACTATTTTTACCAGACCACTGTACGCGACTTTAGATCCCTCAACTTCCCATTTAGAGCACTTATCACGGCTTGAAATATTAGAGCGATTATTTGGGTTGGGCGCGGATTATTTGACAGTAATCAGGGTTTACAAGTCTGTTTCGTTTCTTGACTGACATACAATTAATACCCAAAAGGCAGAATGGATAGAAGAATACTATTCTATCTGTCATACAGAGAAACTTCAGATGTAATAAATTATAAAGCCAATTAACCCTACAAACAGGATCCACAGCAGTTTCACATTAATGAAAAAGCAAGACTTCAAGAGGGCGGGAGTTTTTGTCTGCTGATCTTCCCGCATCTAAAATAGTGCCTGACACATATTAGGTGCTTTGCAAATATTGAATGAAAGAATACGCCCCATCAGTATCTCACCGCGCCTGCGCTAGATGCCCTAGGTGGGGCCAGCCTTGACGCGCTGCGCCTGCGCAATGTCTCTTTGCGGGGCGCACCGGCAGGCTCCCAGCCCCGCTTCGTCGCAGCGGCTTGGGCCCTCCGGCCCTCCGTAGCCGCTCGACTGTCGCGCTGCACCAGCTTCCTCCTCGGCGTTCCCACGCCTATTTGGGCGGATTCTTGGCGCCGGAGGAAGAGGCAGGGTCACCCTCTCTCCACGTCAGAGACCTGACTGTGGAGATGGCGGCTCAGAAGATAAACGAGGGGCTGGAACACCTCGCCAAAGCAGAGAAATAGTGAGTGAGAACCTTCCGGGGGCCTGTGTGTAGACGCCGGGTCCGTCTCTCACTGGCGCGGCCTTAGCACCCGGGGGGGGCGGGAGGGAGGGCTCAGGGCTGAGGGGCCTCGGCGCGCTGGTGCCCGCAGGGCTGCCGGGGCTCGGTGTCCTCTGGGTCACACTCCCGGGGTCGGGGTCAGCTCTGCGGCGCCTCGGGAAGCGCCGTGGGTCCACCCCGCCGGAAGTCCGCTCCCCAGAGCCGGTGTGGGCGGGGACTCGGCGCAGTGCTGCGGGGCGAGGGCTTCTCTACTTGGGCGCTCTGCTCCTGAAGATTGTGGTGGGGGCTGTCTGTGCATCGGAGGCTCGTTAGCAGCATCCTTGGCCTCTACCTGCTGGGTGCCGGTCGCATCTCTTCCCCATTTGTGGCAACCCAAAATGTCATCTGGGGAACAACATCGCTCTGTTGAGAACCACCGCCCTAGAAGAGCCCCCTGTGTGGAGGGGACCATAGGTTTACCCCAAAAACTCCTCGGTGAACCTTTGTCATCTGGCATTTTACTGTCCCTGTGGGCAGGGACTGTGCTTCGTTCGTCCTTTGATGTGTATGTCCTGCCACCTCTGGTACAGTACGTAGTAGGCACCCTGCAAATGTTTGTGGGACTGAACTGATAATCCTTAATTCATCCTTTTGGCAGCCTCTTCCCCCCGTTTCATTACTCCAGTGCATTTTTATCTGGCAGTTACAGTTAATAGAAAGTCAGCATTGTGGGCCGGGCGCGGTGGCTCACGTCTGCAATCCCAGCACTTTGGGAGGCCGAGGCGGGCGGATCACAAGGTCAGAAGATCCAGACCATCCTGGCTAACACGGTGAAAACCGTCTCTACTAAAAATACAAAAAATTAGCCGGGCGTGGTGGCGGGCGCCTGTAGTCCCAGCTACTCGGGAGCCTGAGGCAGGAGAATGGCCTGAACCCGGAAGGCAGAGCTTGCAGTGAGCCGAGATCGCGCCACTGCACTCCAGCCTGGGCCACAGAGCGAGACTCCGTCTCAAAAAAAAAAAAAAAAAAGAAAAGAAAAAGTCAGCATTGTGCTCTGTGGTGGGTGCTTCACATACATAATTTCATAAGCTGAGATCTTCACAATAACTTTCCAAATAGAGATTCTAATTTTTCGTAAGAGGAAATGAGACTCAGGGAAGCCTCATAACGACTTGCCCCCAACTGCACAGGTGAAAGATCGCAGAGCCAGTTTTCAAACAGTGGAAAAACTCAAGCTCTATCACATGACTCGAGGCAGTCAGCGTGTAAGGTGCTGGGGCTCTCCTGGTGCAGGAGGTTCCCACAACATTCTGCTTTCTAGTGGGAGCAAACGCAAAATTTGTAATAAGAATAGTGTGTGGAATAGGGACCACAAAAAAGCTGTATTAACTGTGCATAGGTAACCCAGAGGGAGAAGTTTATTCTGCCTGAGAAAATTTGAGGAGGAGATGATTTGTGAGCAGAGCTTGAAAAATACGGAATGTTTTAGACGGAGGGAAAATCTTGTGAAAGAGATTCTGTGCGCAACCTGTAGTATGTATTATACGCGGGCCTGAAAATGTGCTCTGGGAACAGTGAATGTAGTGTAGTCACAGTGCCAGGGGACGAGCTGGAGTGAAAAAGAGTTGGGGCCAGACTGTGAAGGGACAGCTTCTCACATGGCTATTGTAGGCATCCAACCAGTGGACTCGGTTAGATTTGCTTTTGGTGAAAGAAATGTGGCAGCAGGCTGGGCCCTGTCGCTCATGCCTGTAATCCCAGCACTTTGGGAGGCTGAGGCGGGTGGATCACTTGAGGTCAGGAGTTCGAGACCAGCCTGGCCAACATGGTGAAACCCTGTCTCTACTAAAAATACAAAAATTAGCCGGCTGTGGTGGCGCGCACCTGTAATCCCAATTGCTCAGGAGGCTGAGGCAGGAGAATCCCTTGAGCCCTAGAGGCGGAGGTTGCAGTGAGCGGAGATCGCGCCACTGCATTCCAGCCTGGGAGACAGAGCAAGACTCTGTATCAAAAAAATAAATAAATAAAAAGGAAAAGAAAAAGAAATGTGGCAGCAGTGTGGAGAATGGACTTTGACATATTCAGTAAACGAACATTTACAAAGTTGTCTCTGTGTACCTGTACCAGCCACAGAGGATACTGGAGTAACCAAAAGTGGTCCCTTCTTCAAGAGCTTAGAATTCACAGGTGGGCAGACAAGTTAACAGAGGACTAAAAATAGGATGTTCAGTGCTAGAATAGAAGTATTCAGTGTGGTATGGTAGAGATAGGAAGCAAGGAAAAGGTAATATGCTCAGGATGTGGGGAATGGAAGAGGAGGAAAGGTGACTCTCCCATGAAGGTACTGCCAGACATGTTAGTGGGTTGTCGACTTCAGGGGAGAGGTGGTGATGGCCTGAATTCAAATAACAGTACAGGGGTAGGACTGGGTGATGTTTGTCAGTAAGGTTGACATGCTTTAATGAGGTGCCTGCATGTAGAGATGAAGAGTTAACTCCTAGGTTTCTAACTTGGGAGACGAGTGGGAGAGGCCTTCAGCCAAGATAGGGGATATAGATTAATGGATGTGATTGGTGGGTAGGTCTGGGGCAGGGAGGTGGGGCGGGGAGGTGTGGAGTTCAGGCTTGAAGTGTTAGTTTGAAATGCTGCTAGACAGAGTTACTCAGTGGGTGGTAGGAAAAATGGGCCAGGAGCTTAGGAGATATTTGATTTTTCTCCATTTTCTAATGATGACGTAGTTCAATATTGCTGAGTAATTTTGTAAATTGATCCCCACACAGATGGTAATTTTGCTGTTTTCTTTTTTTCTGTGGAAATTGGTCAGTTTCCTTATTGATTCTTTGGAGAAAAAGGTCAAAAGGACTAACAGGTATGGCTGCTAAACCCAAATTAGCTGTATATCTTTCTTCCTTATTAGTGGTGTTCATGTGACTTGGGATGGTTTGCCCAGTTTTAAACTCTCTGGGTCTTTCCGTGTATAGCACATTAGGTGACGGAGTGATTGTATCTTGTTTTTAGTGGGATTAAAAAAATTATGTTAATATACAGAATGTAATGTTTGTTATGGGATAGGAACAGAGGGTTAGCATTTTGCATATTGCATATTTCCTCAATTTTGTAGATTTGAGTAGACACACCACAATTTAAGGATATTATTTTTCTGAACAGTGAAATTCTTGGTAAGCTTGAAAAATTGCTTATTTTAATTTGAATCTTGTAACACTATATACACAAACAAGTTTTAGATGCTAAATATGTTGAATAAATTTAATTGGCAAAAAATGTTACTGTAGCTGGCTGGGTACAGTGGCTCATGCCGGTAATTCTAGCTCTTTGGGAGGCCAAGGTGGGCGGATCACTTGAGGCCAGGAGTTCGAGACCACCTGGCCAACATGGCGAAACCTCTTCTCTACTAAAAATACAAAAATTAGCTGAGTGTGGTGGCACAAGCCTGTAATCCCGGCTACTGAGGAGGCTGAGGCACGAGAGTCACTTGAACCTGGGAGGCGGAAGTTGCAGTGAGCCGAGATAATACCACTGCACTCCAGCCTGGGTGACAGAGCGAGACCCTATCTCAAGAAAAAAAAAGAAGCTATGACTTTGTGGCAGTTCCCATGGCTGTCACATAATGAAGGCTGTACTTCTGAGTGCTCATACAGATGCCTCATCTTTCAGTTAAGATACTCCCCTGAGTCATTTGAAGCAAGCAGTGTTCTGTGCAAGCAGGCCTTCACTAATTGAATGACATTTAGAATTTACGATGGTTTGGGCAATTTCTATGCACACCCAAATTTGACAGTTACTGAATTAGTTTAAACTAAGTCTGAAATTATTTTAAAATAAGAAAATAAATATTGAGGAAAAGGCAAGTAAGTTAAGGATTCAAAATTGATTGTCCTTTGGTTTGGCATCCAAGAAGCCAGTAGTGATCCTAGAAAGCAGTTTCTCTTGGCTTTTGTAATATCCTTCCCTTTCTGATTATCCTTCTTGTTTATGGGTGGCGAGTTTTCACTTTTTTTTTTTTTTTTTTTTTTTTTTTTTGCCTACTTCCTCTGTTGTTTCACTGAATGATTGTATTCCTTAGTCTTTCTGTTCTCTCTCTGCAGTCTCACTAGGGGATCTGATCTCATCTATGCTCTTGACATATGCTTATGATGCCTCCATTTATGTCTCTAGACTCTTGTCTGTGCGTCAGTTTCATGAATCCCTCTGCTGTCGATACTGTGCTTCAGAGGTTCTAAAGCTTTAATGCACCTTTGAGCTCGTTAAACCTCAGAGGTGCTGTAGGCTTGGGATGGGGTCAACAATTTACGATTTTAGTAAGTTCCCAGTTAGTGCTGATGGTGCTGGTCCAGGGACCATGAATTGAGAACCTCTAGGAGGAAAACCACGTACCTGTGACAGTGGGAGTGAAAGAGGTGAGGTTGTGTTTGTTAGGCCTAAGTTTGGATGGAGGCGGGTGACACAGAGTTTGTGCCTGATGGTTTCTCCTTTTTTTTTTTTTTTTTAAAGACCTAGAAGGTCATTACAAGCAGAGATCTGACTTATAAATGTGGTTGGTAACTCCTGTTAACTGTGTTTTTTTCATTCTAGCCTGAAAACTGGTTTTTTAAAATGGAAGCCAGATTATGACAGTGCCGCTTCTGAATATGGAAAAGCAGGTATTTTTGACTATAGTCCAGTTGCTCCAGTATGTAATCTTAAAATAGTCTGATAACTTCATTTCACCATAATACTTACTCATATGCTTTCTATAAGGCTTTAATAGTTAAAAAACAAACAAAACAACTGTGCAAGCCCTTGAGTTTTTTTCCACTTGTTATTTTCAGATGTGTTGAGAGCTGAGTCAGAGTTCCTGGTACCTGCTGTCTATGACAGCAGGGATGGGGCGGGGTTGGTGATACACAGTAGTGGGTTTTTAGCGTTGCTTATATATTCTTTAACTCCAGTTATTTGAATACCATATCCATGAGTTTTGCCATATTTCTCTATTATACTTTCTATTGAATTAGGAGTTTGTTAAATTTTTTGTTAACTTAGCCTCATCTTAACCTGATACGCAAATCATATGTTTGCTTGGTATTTTATGTCTTTTATGAACCTCACTTTGAGTGTATCTGTTCAGTGTTCATGAAGTGTTAAGCTATATACATATTTTAATCAATTTATCTTTATATAAGATATAAACAATCTAAAATATGCAACAGAAAGGGAATTTACTAAAAATGTAGCATTCTGAATTACAGAATGATAGCTTTAAGCATACCTGTGATAATTTGCAGTATAAATATAACAAAATTTTGAAGTACCTTGAACACATTTTCAGTTGTATTTCAGCGATAGCCCTTATCACATTTGTTAGCCTAGCATAGAGATCATCTGGGGCAAGTGCTTTTGGTTAAACAGCAAATGAGTCTTCAGTACTTTTATTTAAATCTGAGTAAATTCTGTTTTTTTGCATCATGCAAATTGTTTATCTTATACTTGAAAATTATTAAAAGTTCAAACTTTGTATGAATTTTGTGGACTACTCATGCAAGGAGGCTTCTGTAGCAGAAGGGAACAACATTTTGCAAGTTTCCTCTGTGAGGGAAATTTAACACAGATTTGTTTTCTGCCCCTCTGAGATCATGAATTACATTCAAAAATAAATGTTTTAGATGAAATTTTCCCCCTGAAGCATCCTTTGTTTATTTTCTTTAAGGGCTTATGGAAAACCTATTTAATCAGAATAAATTTTTTAAAAAGCAACATATGGAAAAGCAGGGAGGGGAATAGCTTCAGTATTTGGTTTTCACATTTTATTAAAGAGAATTTTAAGAGTGTTTTTAACAAATAGCACTTTTCTTAAAGCATTATGCTTTTTGCTTCTTTGTAAGCAACCCTTGATAAGTTTTCCAAAATTTGTAAGATCATATGTTATAAGCACTCCTGTTTTGTTTTGATGATTACACTTTTAAAACAGCTTTCAGTATGCTTTAGCTGTTTGAACAGTGAGACATCTTTTTCATAGATAGTAAACAGTATAAAAGATTGTTTTTTTAAAAAAATGCATTGTTAGACATTTAAAGATTGTGCCAAAAGGAAGGTTTATTATAAAAAACTGTTAAATGTGCTTATTGGCCCTCAGTTTCTACCTAATCGAATGACCTATACCCAAAATACCGTTTAAAGGTAAAACTGGTGAAGTAAGGTGCTGTCTTTTGTGACTGAAGAATCTGCCGGTTACTGGGGAGTATTGGGGAGTGTTGGTGTTAGAAAGACTTCTTGATTTTGAGTGGAAGAAACACTGATTTGTTGCCAGTAGTCAACAATTAAAAAAGAAAAAGTTTTAAAAATACTCGTAAGTTACCAATAATTGGAAAAGTTGTAAGGAAATTGCTTTAGAAAAAAGTAATATTTTATAGTTTTAGGATACTTCCTAAGTATTTGAAGTAAGTATGTTTATAATACTTCATATAAAATGCAGATTTCAGTAATGATTCATTTGAGGTTTTTAATGATGGAAATAGTCAATTTTTTTTTCTATTTCAGCTGTTGCTTTTAAAAATGCCAAACAGTTTGAGCAAGCAAAAGATGCCTGCCTGAGGGAAGCTGTTGCCCATGAAAATAATAGGGCGTATCTTTTTCAACTTTTAAAAAGAAATTAAACAATTAGATGATTTTGACAAGCTGTTTTCTCTTGCTGTAAATTTACTTTACTACCTGTGAAGTAAAATGTTTTTAAATTAGAAAATGATTAGAAAAATTCTGTATTTTTAAACTATGAAGGAGCGTTTATAATGAAGTTTGATTATAAGGTCCACACTGGTTCGCAGAGCTACAATACTTACTTTCTATTGTTTGTGATTTTACTTGATGATGGTTTTACTTGGGATGAAGTAAAGTAAATCTGTAGACATGTGCTGAAGAATGAAGAAGTAGCACAGGTATTGAAAACACGTGAACTACTGTATCAATTTTTTTAAATACAGTTTTCCTTAGGTATTTGAAATAAAAATTATAAGTAGTTTAAAACAGTACATTTTCTTGAGGTGTTTGCAAACTTATCAATAAAAAATGTTTCTCTTATTTGCAAACTGTAGTCATAATAACTTTGTACTTCAGTAAAACTTCAGATTATTGCGTAATAGAAATAGTTTAAAATCTGTGCAGTGTTTTGTTAGTGGTTTTGGGAATTATGTAGTTTTAAACTATATTGACAGGTATTGAATTACTTCTTTTTTACCTGTTTGTAGGATTTGTCTTTTGGAACCAACTGGGTCAGTGATTTAGTTAACTGTCTTTAAATAGTTGATCTATAGAAACTATTGATTTTTTTCTTTTTTCCTTAACTTTGACTTCGTTACTTCCATTCAGTCTTTTTCATGCTGCCAAGTAAGTATTCTTCATGTTTTCATGTATTTGCAAATTATGTTTTAAATGTTGCTGTTTTTCTGTAGGTTGGTAATTTTTTCCCAAATTATAAATTTTGTATTGATTTAAATAATAATCATTTCTCTTTGCTTCAGTTTTTACCTAAACCTTAAAAACCAAGACTTACTCCTAACTGTAAGATGTAAAGAGTTTAAATTAAATTTGCCATAATATTTTATTAGGAGCATTTTGTTCAGTAGCCTATGGGAAAAAAATAAGTTAGGATCTCTTTTTTCCTCTGTTTGATAGTTAATGGTGCCTGTGGAGATGAAGCAGGAAGCTTTCTCTTGCCTTGTGGAGAGTAGTTATTTGTTGGCCGAGGCAGGCGGATCACTTGAGGTCAGGAGTTCAAGACCAGCCTGGCCAACTTGGTGAAAAACCTCGTCTCTACTAAAAATACAAAAATTAACTGGATGTGGTGGCACGTGCCTGTAATCTCAGCTGTTGGGGAGGCTGAGGCAGGAGACTTGCTTGAACCTGGGAGATGGAGGTTGCAGTGAGCTGAGATCGTGCCTCTGCTCTCCAGCCTGGGCGACACAGCAAGGCTCCATCCCAAAAACAAACAAACAAACAAAAAAACTTAGGTTTAGGTTTGTCAGATGGAAATTAATTTAACCTTACTGAGCCTTACTTAATTTTGCATCTGCAAAATAAAATCTCTTTAACTCAAATGTCTGATGTTCTAAGCCATTATTCCCCACAAAAAAAGAATAAAAAATTATATTGTGTGGTAATATAAGCCTGAAGTGATATGTTGTGCATGAGCCCATTGTAATTGAAGTCACTTTCCTTACCAGTAGTTCCTCACCAGAAAGTTTCTTCTACCCCTTATTTCGTTAAGATCTCATCAGAGAAATTATATTCTCTTTGCAGAGCTTATGAGCAAGCTGGAATGATGTTGAAGGTCAGTAATGTTATGTCACAATTGTTGTGTAGGTAAAATGAATTAACTACAAGGTGTTAAACAAGAATTTTTGTTGAAGTTGAAAAGCTTCCTTACTGTAAGGCAAGAGGTGCTAAGTTAAGATTTTCTGTCCACGGTAACGTTAATTGGACCCATAGAATACATTCTGTACGTCTTAAGGAATGTTAAAAGTGAAATTTAAGAGAAAATGTATTGGAGTGAACTGGGAACACTAATGTTCTAAGCTCTATAACCAGGATAGATGTGTATTGCTATAAAAAGAGCTCTATGGGAAGTTTCTCTACTTTTGAGAAGGACATCTAAATGTAGTAAAATTTTATAAATATTAAAAAATTATCATACATGGGTTATAGAAGAGATTTTTACTTATGTGAATAACAGTTGGCAGCAGAAACAACCACAGATTTAAGCTTTTGCTACTTTAATTCATTCTGCATGGAATATTCCAACTAATGTACCTGTGCCACTGTTTGTACTTCTGCTCCTCAAAAGCAGGCCAGGAATTAATGTCCTGCTGTGGTGAGACAGAACATACTACTTTATGATGCTGACTTTCAAAGTATGCCAGCTGGCAGTTGAAATGAAGTATTTGTCTTTCTTTTTTAAAAATGTTTTTTTCTAAAATGGTAAAAGCTACTTTCAAGTATTTATTATAAAGCTTTGTTTTTAAGAACTTTTACCTTAGTAAAGCTTTTGTTTTTAATTTCTATGACTTTTATAATGTGAACTTACTCATTTTTTTAGTGAACACATGCTCATTGTAGACAATAAAAAATACCGAAAAGTTAAAGAATGTTAGTAATAGCTGTTAACATACTTAGTTTAAAAGATTTTATAGTCTTTGACCCAGGAATTTCAATTCTGTGAGTCTATCATCGAGAGAGAGAGATCAAAGATTTATGCATCAGGTTGTTTCTTGAAGAAATGCCAATTATCTAAATTTTGAATAATAGGAAAGTGAGGTTGGATGTAGTGGCTCATGCCTGTAATCCCAGCACTTTGGGAGGCCAACGTGGGTGGATTACCTGAGATCAGGAGTTCGAGACCAGCCTGGCCAACATGGTGAAACCCTGTCTCTTCTAAAAATACAAAAATTAGCTGGGCATGGTGGCGGGCGCCTGTAATCCCAGCTACTTGGGAGGCTGAGGCAGGAGAATTGCTTGAACCCAGGAGGCAGAGTTTGCAGTGAGCCGAGATCGTGCCATTGCACTCCAGCCTGGGCAACAGAGCGAGACTCTGTCTCAAAGTAATAATAATAATAGGAAAGTGTTTAAATAAATTATGATGCTTCCTTATTATAAACTATTATATATCCATTGAAATAAAGCTTTTCTGGCCAAACATGCAACTGAATTGGTATTTGGTGCCGCAAGTTAGGTTATTAACCACAGTTCCTTTGAAACCATAGAGTTTCTCTTACGGCCAAAGAAGCTGGGGATCTGCTCTGGTCTTCTTATGTCTCATTTTCCTCTGAGAATTAGGAAGCTCCCAGGTGGCTGTTACATTCTTAGTGTACTTCATGCCTGTTTAAGAAATGCTCAAACACTCTAATTCTCACAGCCTCAGTTTATATTACAACAGCTGTACTAAGACTTGAATCTTCATCAAAAGTTATTATTCAGGCATCATTTCCATTGCTCAAGTATCTATTTAATTTGAGGGTTGGAAAGGCACTACTTTGAATGAAAGAAAATTAACTTAGTGGATAGGGAAACAGATGAAGGAAAATGCTTTCTGGCATTGTCTTATATTTAAATTAAATGCCTTTGGACACTGTTGGGAGCACAGGACCCCTGAGCTACGTGGTCCACAATTCTGTGGGCTAAAATTTCTACCAATTTGTCATACAAACCTTCACACTGATTCACCAGAAAGGCTTGGGGAGTGCCATTTTGTAGACATATGCACAAGGGAAGCCACAGAAACTTGTTGGATCAACCTTTGGTTCTGTCACTTGATGACTGCTGTGATTTCATATCCTGTTTGCTCCACTGGCACACAGCCATTGAAAATAGGCATATTTATGGTGGAGGGTATAACTTTCAAGTAGGCAGCTCATCATTTTTTATGGAGAAGTATCAATATTGTGGTTGGACCTCTTACTCACAGCCTCACTTGATTTTACGCAAAAACAGGAAGATGTAGTTGCTAATTTTTAAACAACAAATAGGACTCGGATGCCATTTTTACTGCCTTCTAATGTATTTTTTGCTCTATCTACTGGGTAAAACTCATGACGAATAGTTCCTGTGGTTTTTTTATCCTCCCAAATGCTTTTATGTTGTAGATTCACATTATATATGTAATTAGTGGGTAGGTATATTTGGGGAGGAAATACAGTTGACCCTTGAACTACCCAAGGGTTGGGATGCCAACCCCTTGTGCAGTTGAAACTCTACATATAACTTTTTACTCCCCAAAAACTTTACTAATAGCCTGTTTTTGTTTTTTTTTTTTGAGACAGGATCTTGCTCTGTTGCCCAGGCTGGATTGCAGTGGCACAATCATGGCTTACTGCAGCCTCAACCTCCTGGGCTCAGGCGATCCTCCCACCTCAGCCTCCTGAGTAGCTGGGACTATAGGTGCATGTCACCATGCCCTGCTAATTTTTTAATTTTTTTGGTAGAGACTGGTTCTCGCTGTTTTTCCCAGGCTGGGCTCAAACTCCTGGGCTCAAGTGATACTTCTGCCTCAACCTCCCAAAGTGCTGGGATTATAGGCGTGAGCCACTACCCTACTACTGACTGGAAGTCTTATAAATAATATAAACAGTCAGTTAGTACATATGTTGTATGTTGTATGGAATATGTTTTATACTGTATTCTTAGAATAAAGCTAGAGAAAAGAAAATATTAAGAAAATCGTAAGGAAGAGAAAATATATTTAGTGTTCTTTAAGTGGAAGTAGAGCATCATAGGGCTCTTCATCCTCATCATAGTCTTCACGTTTGGGCTGAGGAGGAGGAAGAGGAGGAGGAGGAAGAAGAGGGGTTGGTTTTGCTGTCTCAGGTGGCAGAGGAGCAAGACAGTCTGCGTATAATTGGACCAGCACAGTTTAAATCTCTGCTGTTCAAGGTTCAGTTGTATTCTTTAAAAGCCAAAATGACCCTCAGGACTAATGTGTCTGAGAGAGATTTTGTTAGGTTTACCTCCCCTGTTCATTCAGATATTTTTCAGCAGATATTGTAGACTCGGATTCTTTCATTGACTTTTGGTTTTATAACAAAAAAAGTATTGTTTTTATTTTTTCACTGAGGTTTGGAAATGCATTAGCATTTCATTCTGCTTGAGTGAATGATAGCAGTCTTATTTCATACAGTGTCTTTCAGTCTGTGTTATTGTTAGTTTCCATAGCTAAATAATAAAGTTATGTTTTGGGGTTGGCGAAAATGAGACCAGTTTTGTTAAGGGTATCCTAATGAATTTGTCAACTTAGCAAGGGACTGAATAGGCAGATTTGTAAACCACCCATGAGATGTCAGTGTGGAGCCTACCTTAAGATACAGCAAGTCAACACTAAATAAGTTGCTTATGTAAACTTTATAACTAGCTTTTAAACGGTGTTTTTTTTTAAGTTTATTTTTAAAATGTTTGATTTGGAGATATTAGACATTAGGACTGCATGATCCTGAGATGTGTAGATTAATAGTAAGATACAGAATTTATTAGTCATGGAAGAGGGTTGCAAACTCAGATGAACTCAGGGTGTAGAGGAATAACTAAAATGAATGAGCAGCTGGGACGTGGAGGGCATTTGGAAGTGAAGAGCGGGGAGAAGCGCCAGGAGGTGCATGCTCATGTGGCGGGACAGTGCTGCCCAGCCCCAGCCTGTTGCCATACAGGGATGCAAGCCTGCTGATGCCGTAGCTTTTGATATTTTTTTGAAGAAAGCCATAAAACAATTTTCATGAAAGTATCTAATTTAAAAATACTGCATGGATCAAGCAAAACACACTTGGAAGTGAGATAGAGTCATTGGGCTGCCAGTTTGTGATCCTTGGCATAGGTCTTGTATGTAGTAGGGACTTGGTAAATGTTTAAAGAATAAGAAGTGCTTAGAAAACAGTAAAGAGCAAGGTTTTTGGTTTTTTCTATTTTCATAGATTTCCCAAAGGTCTGTGAAGTGATGATGAACTCTGTGTAGAAATTACCTGGTACCTTTTTGATTGGGTTTAATGAAGCTTGATTGGGAGAGTAATCATGTGAAGCATTTCATTTTAAATATCTTTATTGCTATACAATGTATTTGAGTCATTTACTTTCATGAATTAGGGATAAAATAATTGTATTTCATATCCTTTGCCCACTTTTTGATTGGGTTTTTTTTTTCTTGTAAATTTAAGTTCCTTGTAGAAAAAGAAGACATACAGCCAAGAAACATGAAAAACAGCTCATCATCATTGATCATTAGAGAAATGCAAATCAAAACCACAATGAGATCTCACGCCAGTCAGAATGGTGATGATTAAGAAGTCAGGAAACAATAGATGCTGGCCAGGCTGTGGAGAAATAGGAAAGTTTTTATACTGTTGGTGGGAGTGTAAATTAGTTCAACCGTTGTGGAAGACAGTGTGGGGATTCCTCAAGGATCTAGAACCAGAAATACCATTTGACCCAGCAATCCCATTACTGGGCATATGCCCAAAGGAACATAAATCATTCTATAGAAACGTATGTTTATACAGTAAACACGTATGTTTATTGTAGCACCATTTACAATAGCAAAGACATGGAACCAACCCAAATGCCCATCAGTGATAGACTGGATAAAGAAAATGTGGTACATATACACCATGGAATACTATGCAGCTGTAAAAAAGAATGAGATCATGTCCTTTGCAGGGACATGGATGAAGCTGGAAGCCATCATTCTTGGCAAACTAACAAACACAGGAACAGAAAACCAAACACCGCATGTTCTCACTCATACGTGGGAATTGAACCACAAGGACACATGGACACAGGGAGGGGAACATCACACTCCTGGGCCTGTCGGGGGCTGGGGAATAAGGGGAGGGAGAGCACTAGGACAAATACCTAATGCATGCGGGGCTTAAAACCTAGATGATGGGTTGATAGGTATAGCAAACCACCATGGGACATGTATACCTATGTAACAAACCTGCACATTCTGCACATGTGTCCCAGAACTTAAAATAAAAAATAATTGCATTTCAGATTGTTAACTCTGTTTTTCTTTAATTGATGCATTTGCTGACCTGTCTACTGTATCCTTTGCCCAAAGGAGATGCAGAAACTACCAGAGGCCGTTCAGCTAATTGAGAAGGCCAGCATGATGTATCTAGAAAACGGCACCCCAGACACAGCAGCCATGGCTTTGGAGCGAGCTGGAAAGTGAGTGTGAGATGGACAAGTCTCTGCATAGAAGTCTTGTCTTTTTGTTTTAAAGAGGTCCCTGAAAAACAAGTTTTCCATTTCTCATATAAGACATGTTTTCTTGTCTGATTCAGGCTTATAGAAAATGTTGATCCAGAGAAGGCTGTACAGTTATATCAACAGACAGCTAATGTGTTTGAAGTAAGTTTGAATCTTATTTTTTTCTTTAATTACTTAGAATGTTTAGATTAATAATATATAGGAAAATAGAGAAGTGCAGTGGCTACTTTTAAAACTTTTCCCTGCTCACAGTTGCACGCTATTTCTTTTCTGTTAGAGAGTAGTGAAATGAACTAGCAGCTTTCGTGTTCCCCCCTTGATCCAGTGCCATTACTTCTTTACAAAATAAATATTAGGGGATAAAAACATTTCAACATTAAAGCAGCCAACACTTGTTTTTCTTTGATTCCTTCAGAATGAAGAACGCTTACGACAGGCAGTTGAATTACTAGGAAAAGCCTCCAGACTACTAGTACGAGGACGTAGGTATGTCTTTAAAAACTATTGCTGTGTGTTTAACTATACTTTGAATCCACATTTGGAACTGGAAAGTAATTTGGGGGATAGCTTGTTAATTTTTTGGTATAAGCTGTAGACACACCAGGCCACACAATAGAATATTAACATTTACTAGACAGTAGGCACACTGAATTAGATATTAAAAGATCTGCTGTTTTTTGAAAGTGTAATGCCCAAATTTATCATGCACTGTGCTTTTATTGGTTGAACCCTGGCTCAGCAACATGAAAGGGAACAGTTTCCTTCATCTGTTACTTGGTTGGATTATAATATCTCTCTCAAGGAAAAATAAGAATATTAGGATAAATGACAAAGATGCATAAACACTCACCCATGAAAACTGACAGGTTCTTGACAAATAGTGTCATTATTAGAATATTTACCTTGTTATCGTTTCACATATGACCTGAAGCACAAATAGTTGAACCTCAGAAAGCTAAAATCCTATTGGGATTTCCTTTTGTTTTTTTACTTTATCTCAGTTTACTTTTAGTAAACAATTTTTTTCATTAATAAAATTCTGTCTCAATAATATTTAAGATAAACATCTCTAGGAGATTGTAAGTCTGCAGATATCTTAATTGAAATTTGTCCAAAGCTTCCCAGTAACAGAAAACACCCAAGATCCATTTAATATGTCAAGGAATCAAAATAGAAATGACTGATGAATCTATCCTATCTGAGACTGAATTAAATTTTTTCTTCATGAAGACTGCAGATTCTGAAATACAATTTAAACCGGTCTAGAGTAATATGAGAATAAATTAATCTAGAATTAACTATTAAACAATCTCATTTAGATTAATTTGTTTATAGGACCTTCCTTCACTGAGGAGTATTTTTTTGTCTAAATGGAATAGAAATTTCATTTTGTTTTTAAATTAGGACTTTAATCATGAAGGAAAGTTTAATTTAAATGTCAGTCCGGGGTCATTATCTTTATTCATCTTATTACTTACTCGTCGCTTCCCAGAAATCAGTGAATGAAATGCTAACTCTGACAAATCCCAACTTAAAAATGGTTCACTTTAGTTTCTGAAAGTGTTTGTTACAGCAGCAGAGCTGTTCTTGGTGATGGCGTTATGGCTGTGGCAAAATAGCTGAACTGTGAGGTGATACCAAGGTTCTGACTTGTGAGCAGGGGCCCCATGTCTTAGAAACAGTGTCCTTCATTCTTTTCAGGGCAGCTAGGAGGCAAGTTTTAGCATAGTTTACCTCCTTTCTCTTCTGTTCTCATCTCCTGATGCTCCCCGACAAGACTCCCAGTGCCTTTCTAGAGCGCTAAGCCCCTTACTATAAGACCCCATGGAAGGTGAAGGAAGTGAAGTTGCAGGAAGGGGCAGAAGTTAAGGACAGCCCTGTGTGAAAGTCCAGACTGCATCAGCTCCCCTGAAGTATTTCTGCTTTCCACATCTTCTTTCCTTTTGTTTCTCAAGGTATAGATTATCTAAAGCTGTGTTGTAGAGGGAGTAGCAGGAAAGGAGAGAGGCCAGGATCTTTTCGGGGGAGGTCAGATGAGGAACGTTTTCCAGCTGCCTGTGCATATTCCTTTAGAAAGCTCCACTAGGGATGGGGGCCACCATCATCCTCAAAACATTACCAGTGTTGCCAGTCGGTTTGGACACATCTGATGAAAGCCATTGTTTTAAAGCAATTACTGTGTTAAATTCTTCAAAGCCTCAGCAGAGGGGAGAATGCTAGTTGAGTGAGCAGCAGAAGTGAGAATGCTGCGTAGATGTGCTCAAAGGGCACATTTATAAATCCAGGGCTTTTATTCGTGACTTTGTTTTATTGGTTTTTTTTTTTTCTTTTTAGGAAAAATGTATTTTAAAATGGTACTTTCTACTGTGCTCAACAAAAATGTTATGGAAATATATTTTTGAAGTGTATTAACAATATAAAAATTAATTTAAATTTGTGCAGGAACATGAAGGAATTTGATCTTTTGAAAAGTGTTGCTGGGTATCTTGGTATGAAAAAATTAAGTCTACTGTCATGGTACTTCTATTGGGAACTTAAATAGTGCAGGATAAGAAAAAACATGCAGTGTTTATAGTGATGGAGACATTATTGAGATGATTTATGTGATAATTGAAAATATTAACTATGTGCTTAGATTATTATTTGATTGCATCTGTTGCCTAAAAGAACTAAACAGGTGGTAATTTTATGCTTCACACAAGCAACATCTACTAATAGACTGTGTGGCATGGAGTCTAAAGTTTTATGTTTGTTATATTTAGTTAGTGCACTTATGTTTTTACATTAACATGAGTCCATAAGATGTCCTAATTTAATACTTTCTATGTTAGTGTAGCAAAGAATCTATTTAATATATTAATCTCTTGCTTCTCCTTCAGTTTTGGAGAGTCAAAATTCAGAAGTGATTCGTAGTTTCATTTAGATTACATCTGGGAAAAGTCAGTCCAAGGCCAGTGCCCTTGTTCCTTTTTAGAAAAGGCCTTTCCAGGCTGGGTGCAGTGGCTCATGCCTGTAATCACAACACTTTGGGAGGCTGAGGCAGGCAGATCACCTGAGGTCAGAAGTTCAAGATTAGCCTTGGCCAAATGGTGAAACTCCTTCTCTACTAAAAATACAAAAAGTAGCCGGGTGTGATGACGCACACCTATAATCCCAGCTACTCGGGAGGCTGGAGAATCGCTTGAACCCAGGAGGCACAGGTTGCAGTGAGACTCCCATCTCAAAAAAAAAAAAAAAGAAAAGAAAAGAAAAAAAGACCTTTCCAGCAAGTTGATCATGACCTTGTGCCTCTGAGAGAAGGTCTATGCCTCTGAGACAAGGTGTGTGGTCTCAGTGAACCCAAATCCCTCCTAGAAGACTCACTTAGCAAAGAAAAGAGCTGCTTCTCACCAGTTGTCTGAGACAGTCACTAGATCCTAAACACAAGGAGGGTTGGGTGTGTATATGTTCAGGGGTGGGATGTGTGCTATTAAGGAGAATCACTGGGTTTCTGTCTTGCATAACTGTTCTGTCCATGGTGCCATCAATAACTGAGATAAGGAATATAGAAACAAACTTATCAGTGATGATAATAAACTTAGCTGGGAATATGACACATAAACTAAACATTTCTGTAGGTAGTTAAAAATAGGTTTTGGAGTTCAGGAAATAGTTGGGGCCAGAGGAACAGTTTGAGTTGTGGTGTAGAAGGTGTCTGTTGAAAGCTTGGGGATGAATGAGGTTCTGTGACAGTTTTCTGCCATTTGCACATAACTTCTGTGGGGTTTCAATTTTGTTACATTTGGGGAAGATAAAAACAATTTATTCTTTTTTCAGCAAAACCAAATTCTTGTCATTTTGTTAGGAATATTAAGTATTACCTGATGGAAAAGTTGAAAGCATCTGTGTTTCATTATAATAAGTAACTAATACTTTTCTGGATACATTTAAAAATAGATGGCTTTGTATGCTAATTTCATGGCCTTTTAGCAAAGTCGATCAACTTTTTCGACTACAAACTCATGTAAGGGCTTGGCTCTTTTGTTAGGTAACTATATATTAGCACATAGAAATGCTAATATTATGTCAAGGAAATAAACAGTTTATGCGTAAAGAATGCACCCTTTATAGTTAAATATATGAAAAGTTTAAAATACTGAGATTGCTAATAGAATGATATAATCTAGACACGACGGGCACAGAATATTCTGACCATAATTTATTTTATAAAACAGGATCTGTTATAAGCTCAGGGTCACAATTATAAATGATACAGATACATGTAGCTGTAGTCCGCCTTGCATTAATTTTTTATTTCTGCATAGCAGATTGCTACAAACTTAGCAGCTTAAAACAGTACTCACTGATTAGCTCACAGTTTCATGAGGCCAGAAGTCTGGATACAGTGTAGCTAGGTCCTAGTGTAGCTAGGTAGCAGAGCTAGGGTCTCACCAGGCCGAAATGAAGGTGTCGGAGGGGGCTGATCTCACCGGAGGCTTGGGTCCTTTTCCAAGCTCATTGATTGTTGGCAGAATTGATTTCCTTGCAGCTGTGTGGAAGAGATTCCTGTTTTCTTGTTGCCTGTTCGCCAGGAACTGCTCTCAGCTTTGAGTTTGCCTTCAGTTCCTGGCCGTGTGCCCCCATTGGTGGTTCACAGCATGGCAGTTTGCTGCTAATTCGAGACATCAGGAGTACTCTGGCCTCTAACTTAAGGAAGGGCCCACCTGATTAAGTCAGGCCCACACAGACAGTGATTCACTCGAAGTCAGCTGATTTGTGTCCTAATCACAGGATGGCCCATCATATTCCGAGGGTCACACCTACACTTAAAGGGGGATTATAGAGGAAATGTTTACAAGGGGCAAGAATCGGGAGCACTCTTAGAATTCTGCTACCAAACCCAGCTTATAAATTGACTTTGTTCCAAAAATTTATCAAGTTGACCTGTGGAAATTCAGAATGCATTTCTCCTATGAGTGTCATTTTATAAGGCACTAAGTTGCCAGCGTGCATCCCATAAAGATTCAGTTTAACTCATGATGTAAGTAGCCATAATAGCATAAGCCAAGCCACTGTGTGTGTGGTGTGTGTGTGTGTCTGTGTATACATGCCACTATTTTTAAAAAGATAACATACAGGCTGGGTGCGGTGGCTCACGTCTATAATCCCAGCACTTTGGGGGGCTGAGGCAGGTGGATCCCCTGAGGTCAGGAGTTCGAGACCAGCCTGGCCAACATAGCGAAACCCCATCTCTATTAAAAATACAGAAATTAGCTGGGCGTGGTGGTGGGCGCCTGTAATCCCAGCTACTCGGGAGGCTGAGGCAAGAGAATCACTTGAACCCGGGAGGCAGAGGTTGCGGTGAGCCGAGATGTCGCCACTGCACTCCAGCCTGGGCAACAGAGTGAGACTCCGTCTCAAAAAAAAATAAAAAGACAGAAAAATAGAGCATATAGCATAACAAGCATAACATTTTTGTATTTTTACTTTGGTTTACAATACCACTTACCTCCCTTTGAATCCCGATAGTACAGACTCTTGCCCCTTTTGGCTGTTGGTTGTGTGTATTCCCAATGCCCAGACCCTGGTAGTTTCTCCCATAACCGTGGACTGTTATTGGGATGAGAGCAGTGGCTAAAGACTGTACATTTCACTCAGTCTCAAGTTGTACTACTGAGGGAGTCCTGGCATTTGGAGTATACTACAGCTTTGCAGGGAGGGGAGGTTCAATTAGGGTTTGATGGAATTAGGGCTGGGGGAATGAGAAAGGGGTAAGGGCCTGGAGGGTTTGGGGGAAATGTTTTGGTGACCCCTTTCCTTGCTTTCGTCTTCATTCTGCCATTGGGCAAAATGGAAGAAAAGGAGAATGTATGAGGGTCAATGGAAAAGATGAATGTTGAAGACTGAAGATGCAGGAAGGCTTTTGTTTAGGTCTCTAACTTGCCTCCCCTCTGCTGCCCTTTTAGGCACCTCAGAGCTTGCTAGGGCCACTGGGGCAGCAGCGGAGTATGTGATGGAGGGACACAGTCGGGGGAAGGCACCGAGTGCCTTGGGTGTCTGGATGTTCTTTCAGTCGGGAGGAAAGAAATCTTGGGTGATTTAATCGAAGATCGTCTCAAGTACGTATCACGAAGAAGTCGTGACACTCGCTATTGGACAGTCCTTACTAAGCTTAAAACTCCCCGTTTGACCTAACCCATCCTTGAGTTCTTTTGCTTTTTCTGTCAGCGTGCAGCCTGAAAGTGGGGAGTCAGACATTTGAAAGGTAAGCCAGATGAGCAGAGCATGTGGAAACCTGGGTCCTGGGGCAGCTGCTAATAATACCTGTCCTCCTGGTGTCTCTACAATCTATGATGTCAAGTACATTTCACAGGGGACCTCTGCTATAGATCATTTAGACCTGCTTTTTTTACATTTCTGTGTTTTGTTTTAGGTTTGATGAGGCGGCACTCTCTATTCAGAAAGAAAAAAATATTTATAAGGAAATTGAGAATTATCCAACTTGTTATAAGGTATTCTTTGAAAGTGTTTGTTTTTGGTATTACATTAGATGATTTTTTATACTGGTATGAATAAGTACTTAAGAAAGGATTCTATGGGTATTTCTATGTTTTTGTAAAATAATACTTCATGGGCCTCTATTTTTGACCAAGATAGAGTAAGCCCACTACAGCTTGTTTCTCTGCTGATTACAGCTAAACTACTGGATAAAATACAAAAGCAACCACCCTTGAACTCTGAAAAGTAAATAAAAAGAGACTAAGGAGAGGAGCAAACACGTGGAGAAACAACCACCATGGGAATGAGTTTCTCGGGTTTTTTTCCATTTCCTCTTGCAGCATTCATTGCCCTGCCCTGAGAGAAGCCCACAGTTGTGGAGCTGGGCAGCAAAGGCTGCAACAATGAAAACTCCAAAAGAAACCCCGCCTTTCTAACCAGCAATGGGAGAAGAGGTCCCATTGTTTTCCTCTCCTTTGGCTTTGCTCCAAGCTTGTCCCAGGCATGGAGCTACACTGTGATGATGGCTCAGGTTGATAAAACTCCACAAGGACCCCAGTCTCTTTTGCCAGAGGAACTAGGAAAATGAGCTAGAGAGCAAGGAGAAAATTCCGGAAAGGAGAGAGCTGGAAACGGAGTCCCCTGAGTGTGGATGTGGCCCACACAAGTCTTGGGTTTACTCTTCAGCTGTGCTGAGACAGGCCTCAAAGTAGCAGTGCAGCGCAAAGCTTGGAGAGCTAAGATTTCATCACTGTCGAAGTGTTGCACTGCCCTCTGAAGGGCTTATGCATGGAACAGGCCCAAAGCCACATAGCAAAGGATTTGAATTAAGTGTAGAACTTCCATCCACCAAAAACAAGGCACCACATGTAGTCTGAACCTAACTGGGGTGATTACCTGCTGAAAACATCTGTACTCTCCTGAAAATTAAGCAGAGGCTGTGCAGCATCACATTCACAGTACAATCCAGAATTACTCAACATGCAAGAACCTGGAAATATGACCAGTTTTCAGGAGAAAAGACAACTGATGGCAACCCGGCAGTGACCAGGGTTGTTGGCATTATCACATAAAGACTGAAGCAACTATAAGTTGCTCCATGAGGTAAAGATAAACACAATTAAAATGAATAGAAAAGAGGACCTGTTGTTTTTTATAGGAAAAATTATTTTTATAGAAACTATAAAAATGAACTAATTGGGAATTTTAGGACTGGCAAATACATTATTGAAGTAAAATAATTGGATAAGCTTAATCTCAGAGATGACAGAAGGAAGACTTTGTGAACTTAAAGATAGATCAGTAAAAGTTACCTAAACAATAGAGACACCAAAAGATGGAAAAATACTTCATGAAGACCTATTTTTCCAGTAATTTATCAGTCATATCCTTGATCTTATTACTACTTTTATTGTTGACTTATCAATACTATCATTGTTTCTGTTATCTGAAGTTTTCACTCATACATCTTTTTCCTAGTTTCTTTTTAAGGATTCTAAGTATCATTGTGGTGTTACGGGTCCCCCCCACTTCTTTTTTATTCACTTTTCAAGATTGAATCTGTGTAGATATTTGAAAGAGATCTCTTTAAAACGTGGTTGTGATCTAAGGCTTGTGTCAAAGTGCGGTCCCCAGACCAGCAGCAGGAGTGCCCCCTGGAATTTGTTAGAAATGGGTGAATCCCAGGCTTGCCCCTAGCAGCCAAATTCCAGGACATGAGAATTGGAAAAGTACTGTTCTAGGATATTTCCCCTCAGGTGTCCCGTGGAAGTTACTATAGCATTTATAAATCTCTGTTTATACAAACAAAGACTCTGAAAGTTAAACTCCAGGTGTTTTCAATACTGCCAGGTTATTGACTTTATTAAACAGATGTAAATTTGACCATGATCCTCTCTTTTGTTTTAGAAAACAATTGCTCAAGTCTTAGTTCATCTACACAGAAATGACTATGTAGCTGCAGAAAGATGTGTCCGGGAGAGCTATAGGTAAGACGTTGTCTGGGCCCTCTTGACTTGCAGTGGCGACACCTCTGTGTCTACAACTAAGATTGCTGCTAGGACACATGTTCCTGGCCATGAAACTGTCATTTCTAAATCTTAGGAGTGCTCATCTACCATTTCATCTTTTACAGTGGGTGTTTTACACCTTTTTTTTTTTTCCCTTTCCTGTATTTTTCTCTAGGGGACCTCCATGGAAGTGAATGACTTTAGTCATTTTAGTCATTTTATTTGCCTTCTAAGAAAAAAAGAACAAGAAAAAGGGGGAAAAAATTATCAGATTTATGTTACAGAAATCAAAATGAGGAATTTTCTCGGTGTTTAACATGAGCAGTCTTAATCTCAACACTGTTAACATTTGGGCTGGATAATTCTTTGTGGTCGGGCCTGTCCTGTGCACTGTAGGCTGGTTAGCGGGATCCCCGGTCTCTGCCCTCTAGATGCCACTAGCATTCCCACACTTTTAAGTACCAAAATGTCTCCAGACAGTGTCACATGCCAGGGGCAGAATCATCCCTGCCTGAGATGTGTTCTTTTAAGGAGAAGGTGAAGACGTGTGATTTGTGCTTACTGCAGCATCCCTGGGTTCAATGGCAGTGAAGACTGTGCTGCCCTGGAACAGCTTCTTGAAGGTTATGACCAGCAAGACCAAGATCAGGTGTCAGATGTCTGCAACTCACCGCTTTTCAAGTACATGGACAATGATGTAAGTGGACCCATTTGCATAGCTTTCATCTTTTCTCTTGAAAGAAAGAGGTTTCTAGTGAGATTATTTTTTACCCATGTACTTAAGAGATTTTTTCCTACCTCTTTTTTTCTTCTCAAGCTACTACTCATAAGGAAACTGACCACTTGCATTGAATTTCACCATAGATTTAGATAAAATAGATGTTAGTTGTGTGGTGTATAGCCATTTACTCACCCATCTAACTCTGTTGACCATATACATATTTTAAAATTGAGGCTCATTTCTCCACTTTTCCTCTATCTGTTGTCCTCTGTAGGTTGCTTTTATTCATTTCTTTTAGACGGACTCTCTGAAAGAGGTCCATTCTGTAGTGGCCTTTGTAATTCAGTAGACCTATGAAAATCTGTGAGGACTAGCTGTGTGTTGCAGGTCATTAATTATCTCTAAGCCTCAGTTAATTCATTTGTAAAAATGAAGCCACTAGTACCTGTCTTGCTGGACTGTTGTGAAGAATACATTAGTCAGTGTGTGAGAAATATCCTCACATGATGTCTTGCACATAAAGTGAACCATGACTATAAGTTTTTATTTTTTCTCATTTGTCTTTTTCAGTAGATTTGTAAGTACCTGTTTGGCCTTAGGCCTTTAGAGTATCATCATAGTATCAGATCAACTTAAGGCCTTCAGTTGTTTATTATAATGATATATGTAGATAATTTTTTTTCTAAATAACGTCTTACATAGGTTTTGAAAATATATATATTTCTAAAGTTTTAATTAAAAAAAATTTATAATTGAAACTTTTACTAGTTGTGTACCTGTCCCACCATGGTCATGAGGCATCTGGGGAGCAGCATTGTTGGGCTTTGTTTTTCCATCTGAATGGTAGAATTGGTGTTCCTGAGGGTGGGGAGCCAGGCTGTGTCTTTTTAGAGCTGAGTAAAACATGTTAGGATTCTAGTTATCCAGCTTTTAAGAACATGTTCTGTTGTTGACAGTATGCTAAGCTGGGCCTGAGTTTGGTGGTTCCAGGAGGGGGAATCAAGAAGAAATCACCTGCAACACCACAGGCCAAGCCTGATGGTGTCACTGCCACGGCTGCTGATGAAGAGGAAGATGAATACTCAGGAGGACTATGCTAGTATTTTGCTTGCTGAAAAGAAAAGGGAAACAAAGGTAAAATCCTGACATGCCATTTCAAGGACTTGGGAATAGATTAGGGATATCCGTACTTCATTACAGTCATGATTTTGGATCCTAATAAAGACTAGTTTTTAGTTACCATCTTCCCAAATCACTCATTGTATCCATTACCTGTGAAGCATATCTTTTTCTTTCCATAAGAGCTTTTCTAAGACACCAGCAGGAATTAACAGAAAATGTACTGTCATGTTTTAATACATTGATTAAAAAATTTGCAAGCCAAATTATACATAAATTATGTTCTAAACAAAAGGGGTAATAAGCATAGGTATTCTCTCTTGGACACTTGTAAGTTACTGTTAGTGAATTGTTTTTTACGTTTCATTTAATAATTGCTGCTAAAGGTGATGTTTACTGATAAATCATTTTAAAATTTTTTTGTTTTGAAAAGTAAATTTATCCCCCATGATGTTAGATACATTTAAATTATTAAGTCTTTTCAGAGATGAGATGGGGACAGGAAGTTATTTTGAGCCTTACAATATTATTTAGCCCAATAAAAGATGCATTGAAGCTCTTATATATTATGAGTTTGAAAAATTTTGAAGGTAGCATATTGAAGTGATCTATAAATATCTTCAGTCCTCTCTGAAGTGTGGGTATTTCTTCTATCTAAAAAATACATACAGTGACTGTCTTCAAATCTACTTGGTTCTTGACCAAATAGGAGCTAATGGGTAATGAATACCTTTTTGTTTGTTTGTTTGTTTGTTTTGTTTTTTGTTTTTTTTTTTAAGGGTCTCACTCTTTTGCCCAGGCTGGAGTGCAGTGGCACAATCACGGCTCCCAGGCTAATGTTTTTATTTTTAATTTGTAATTTTTTTTTTATTTTTTTTGTTGAGATGGAGTTGCTCCATGTTGCACAGGCTGTTCTCAAACTCCTAAGCTCAAGCCATCTGCCTGCCTTGGCCTCCCAAAGTGCTGGGATTGTAGACATAAGCCACCTCACCCAGCCTATGAATATCTTTCTAACATTGTAAGAATGAGGTAATGTTTCCATCAGTCTAATACAGATATATTTCTTCCCTCCAAAACAGTTTATTTTGATTGTTTATTTTATTTTGATTGTAACTCCGTCATAACTTGACATGGAAAATGCTATATACTATGAAAACTTAGCTGAAAGGGAAGAATTGTTTTAGAAAGACAATATTTAAAACACCGCACTGCCAATATATTGATCCTTTATAGTTATTTCCTAAAATGCTGTTTTCGAAACATTCCTTTTTCACCCTGTTGTGTGGCTTAGACCCATCTCGTAATCTGTTAATTGGAAAGAGGCTACAGACACCAGCAGTGTGCGTTCTGCAGGTACACGCTGCCAAAGTAATTCCTGCTCATCCATGCCCTGTCTCTGTCTCTTTTAGAGTCATACCTTATTTGAGTATAGGTTGCTTAATTTTGCTAGACTTCCTGAAAACACTAAGGTGGAGTATCAGAAGTGATTTTAGTCACAGTTCTGCGGGAGAGCTTAGAATAACATCCTCCTTTGGGAGGTGGTCTCGGGTGCGTGGATGTTGGTATACAGTCTTTATTGTAAGTCTGATACAAAATGCTAATAAATTTAATGTTTTTCTTCCTTAATTTATTGGCATAGTTCTTCAGGTAGCACCTCATTTTTATTAATGATATTGGGATTAACTATGAACAAGCTATATGTAGACATTTGCATTTAAGGACATTGCAGTGTTTCAAAGATCCCATCATTGCAGCTTGTATCCTTTAGATCCAATCGGAAACTTCTGGAGTCTTACATTAATGCTCATTTGAGCTAATTAGTAATCTGTTTAAACAGATTTGGCAATACTTTAAAGATACTGTAGACTATTTATGTATAGATAGATCATATTACCCATTAAAGTCTGGGGGAAAAAATTTTTTAATTTTACTCTTCTTATGTACTGAAAACTTTTTTTAAAAAAGGTGATGATGAAGTGCATTCTGTAGCAGCAGCGCAGCTATGCTTTAAACCACACAAAAGGCTGTGTCCAGGTGCAGCCTCCTTCACCCTTCCTGCCCACGGTGAGGATTGAATAACCAGGACTTGGGGATATTGTTTGTTGTCAGGGTTATTCTGTGTGGTAAGGAATATTTGTTTCACATTTATACATTTTCTTTTTCCACTCACGTAAGTTTCTATCTTGAGAGCATAGTCCAAAGTGCAAAACTTGGTGTTTACAAGGAAAATTGTCTTCCAGAACTCCACTGTCATCACTTTCACCAAAGTGGAAGTTTGCATGAATATGCTCAGAATCTAATATTCAATGTTCTGTTACATTGTAAGTGAAGTCCAGCTACAAAATAGATTTAATATATTGAATTTATTTGTACATATGCAGAGTACGGTATTTCTGTATGGAATCTGCTTTATTCCTATTTTTCCCAACTCTGATGAGTAGAATATTAAATGTGTTGTTATGGAAATACAGATTATTGCTTCTATAGGAAGATAATTATGAAAATAAAACCTGAAACTATATAAATATAATTGTTCTTTGTATTATTTATTTTGTTTAGCTTGTTTTAATTTTCTTTTTTCCAGGGACACATTCTCTTAATTATATGACTTCAGCATTATTTTACAAGGACAGTATTTTGTTATCTGCAGTTGTCTTTTCTGCTCTTTGGGAGTAAGGTACCTTTGGGAATTTAAACTGTTTGAGCTTCTTAAAATACCAGTCATTCAGTTATTGTAATACTACATATACTGCTGTTTGGTGAGATGAAAGACTAATACCTCTTCCAAGAGAGTAATTCTTTGATTGGGTTAAGTGAGATAAAACCATGTATGATTAGGAGGCTAAGAGAACTGATGTGAAATTGTTTACATAATTAGCACCTTAAATACTAGCAGATTTACTTACAATCAGACATTTATTGGATGCTAACTATGTAATATTATCCCTGTCTTTCATGGAATGGAAATTAATAATATAATTTGATACCTGGATTCAGGAGAAGTTGAAGTAAGAAAGAATGCAGAACGAGTGGCTGTTGGACATCGTGTGATTTTGTGTTTCTTCCAGGACACCTTGGAGTGTCTTGAATGTGGTTTGTGGTCACTATTGTGTTTGTAGCAGCAAGAGGAGATAGCCAGGAAGGATAAGCAAAGTCCACCTGCTGCTGTCACCCCTCGTGTTGCTTTCATTCGACTCATCAAGAAACCCTCAATAATGACTTTAATGTGATGAGTTAAATTTAAGGATATTAAAAACGTCTTGAAGGTAAGAAGGACTGAGGCAAACACCAATTTTGAAAAAGGAAAACAAACTTTCCACTGAATTGTTTTTATTCCAACAAGGTTTTGTGCATAGAAACAACTTACATGGCTTTTAATTAATACTCAAGGACACTGAATAAAATGCCGTTAGATAATTACCTCCACTTCACAAACTTGGCTAATTAGCTCCCATAGAGTTACATTACCTTGATAGTTTTTTAATATCTGACTCTCTTAAATTTTTCAAGGAGCCTAATTTAAACAGCCTTAAAACTTTAAAAAATTTTTCCCACTACTTAAGTAACTCTTGTAAAGCTAGTAAATCCAACATACACATAATGGTAATTTGAGCTTTCAGATTTTCAAATACTGTTTGTGAAAAATTCTCAATCACAATTAAACATTGAAAATCAAAAGATTAATATGTAAGATTTTGTTAAATGTTTTAAGAACCTTAAATATAAACCTGCACAGATTATCATAATGATCATAAAATTTATTCCTAAGCACAACTAGAAAGTATTATCACTAAAGTTGACTTTATCGATATGAAATACTTATTTCTTTACTTAACCCAGGGGTAAGTCATTTAATTTAGCCAAATAAGAAGAACAAATTTACCTTCTTGGGAGGGCCAGAATGCTGTTGGGACCACGGCACAGTTGGAGCACGAAGACTGAGATGTGTGCCATGAGTGCTAAATTCTTGCAGGAGATTCTGTGCATACTTAGGTGAGCATGGTCGGCCTTCTTTTTTACTTTAGTTTTTGTACCATGTCAGTGGGGGACACCAGGACTGTGCCTTTCAGCTTGGAGTTCAGTTTCACAAAGCAGTAGACCATGGCATTTTAAAGTCTTTGTCTTTGGGTTTATTATTATGGTTTTTTGTAACCTATTTTAACATTCTGTAGTGGGATTTGGATGGAAAGAATTCTGCACCTACAATCAGGTTGAAAGTACTATCTTCCCCTACTTGATTTGGATTGAAGTATCTATTATTGTTCAGTTGGTTCCCGTGTCTTTTCATGTTTCATGCATTTTAGGTCACGATTTAGTGGTCATATTGATAAATTCATAATTCAGTAGGCTTTATATTGATAAATTTAATGGACCAACCACCACTATAGATAAGATGGTCTTATTACCGGGAAGCTATGACTTCATAAAAAGTTGAATGGTCAGGAAGGACTGTGTTATGCTGCAGTAATAACCCTCAGATCTCTGGTTTAACATGACGAAGGCTCATTTCCATTCGTGCCACATGTCCACCACAGGTCAGCTCTGCCCCATGTCTGCTGCTCTCAGGGCAGAACAAGGGACCACAGATCCCGGTGATAGGAGAAAGGAACTCAAGATGGTCTTGTACCAGCAATGTGCTGCTCATCCCAGAAGTGAGACACCTGACCTACATTCGTTCACCAAATCATAAAGGGGCCAGAGCCTTTGGGCGCCTGTGGGGCAGAGGGAGAGGAGAACCAGCTATGCTAGGGATGATACAATCTACTTACATCTTAAAGCATTTGAGGTCAATCAGAAGTTATTTTTTATTAACTTTTCCTAATTCTCATTATAGGACTTTAGTAGAAAACAATATAGGCAATCATACAGCAGTCGCTGTTACGTTGTTACACACATTCCGGGTGGCTTCACCATATTATTACATGTAGCCCTGACAGTCATTCTCTTATCCCCATTTTTCAGGTGAGTAAACAAACTCAGAGGAATTAATTTACTCTGAATGTTTCTGATGTTAATATTCCTAATAGGAGATACTGTTTGAACTGGCTTCTTGGTTTTCTGTCATTTATGTTAAATGAAAAACAACAGTAGGCCAAATTGGAGGTTGAGCTTTTAATTTGATTTTTAAATAGGAATGTGAGCATTTGGTTGTTAAAAACTAAGCAGCGTGGTTCAGACTGGCTGGTTTCCTAGATCAGATGCTATGGCTTTCATCCTGTGGTAATCTCAGGTCTCAGATTTTCCTGCACTAAGGAGTTGGAACATCCAGGAAGATTGAAATCAGGGTCTCTGTCATAGAGATTTCTTTCTCCCTTTGCTTTTTCATGTCTCATACTTAACATTTTTCCATCAGATCTCAACATTTATCTTAATTCTGATCCAAGTAGTAAACCATACCGTGGGGAACATCAGATGCAGGGCCTGGCTGGCTGGGGAGCATCCTTGCAGAAGCGGCATCGGTAAGTGAAGGTTCAGGGCCTGAGCATGTAAAGGACAGCCCAGGATTTGGACATCACTTGACTCTTACTAAAGAAGTTCTTCCTTTTCCCCATGTGTAAGAATATGAACCTGGGTTAAGGCACCTTTTGTTGTAAACTATTCTAATATCTCTTAAAAAGCACGTTGGGCTTTCCTGTTGGGATTCTTTGAAGCCGATGGCAGTGGTATTGTGTGGTGCTGGAGAGTGTGGCTCTGAGCAAGTCTGCCTGCCTTGGATTCCTAACTGGGACCGCACAGCAGGCTGTGGGGTCCAGGCAGGCTGGCTTCCTCACCTGATAACCTGGGGACAACGGTACTTGCTGACAGGGCAGTTGTGGGGTTAGAGTTCACAGGTGCAAAGCTCTTGTAAAGAGTGATTTAAAAATGGTAGACAATAAACATTAGGATGATGGCTGAGAGAGTGAACTTAGTTCCTGTTCTGACAGTCAAACTTTCCTGATAACCAGTGCAATGCATTTCAGACTAAAGCCTAAGTCATTTTAGCAGACTTCATTTGGTTTTCAACATGGCCTGATGGTGGCTGAGGACAGTCTGTGAGGAGCTATCCTGTCCCCATGCCTGGGCACTCCCCAGTTGGCCACAGGATCTGCCTGTCTAGGTCCCTGCCTAGAGGCCGTTTTGCAGATTTTTGTCTGGGTCCTTCCCCACTCGGGGATGTTGCCTCGAGGCTGACATCTGCTATGCCCTAGCTTCCTCACCGGATAACCTGGGGACAACGGTACCTGCTGACAGGGCAGTTGTGGGGTTAGAGTTCACAGGTGCAAAGCTCTTGTAAAGAGCGATTGAAAAACAGTACACAATGGCCAGGTGTGGTGGCTCACGCCTGTAATCCCAGCACTTTCGGAGGCTGAGGTGGGCGGATCACGAGGTCAGGAGTTCAAGACCAGCCTGGCCAACATAATGAAACCCCATCTCTACTAAAAATACAAAAAATTAGCCAGGCGTGGTGGCAGGTGCCTGTAATCCCAGCTACTTGGGAGGCTGAGGTAGGAGAATCGCTTGAACCAGGAGGTGGAGGTTGCAGTGAACCAAGACCGTGCCATTGCCCTCTAGCCCGGGCGACGGTGCAAGAGTCTGTCTCACCAAAAAAAAAAGTATACGATAAACATCAAGACTGTCCTCAGCTACTCTACCTGTAATCGCCTCCCTCCACCCCAGATTGCTCTTGCTCTTGTTTGATTTGACTTTATAGCACTCCCCGGCTCTGGAAGTTGTGCTGTGTGTTGATGTTTTCGTTGTGTGTCTCCCCCATTAAAATGTGCTCCACGAGAGCCATGGCACCCTTTCTCCCTCTTCCTAGAACAGTGCTTGGCACATATTACACTTTCAATAACTGTTAATAACTACATGAGCAAAAGCACTCAGCAAATGCTATTCTGTTTTGATTGAAATTGGCAGGCCTTTAGTAATGTGGTTCCCACTCATTTCTACTCACCAATACTTACCCAACACTTTTAAAAACAAATAGACGCCATGCTACTCAGTTCATGAAGAATTTTATTTAACTTACGGGATTCTTTGTTTTCCCCAGCCCTCCATGCCTACTTTAGAGACTGAACATACCCTACTAGATAGTAGGCCAAGGCACATTCAGGATTTCAACATGTGCTTTGAGAAATACGTAAGCACATGGAAATGCTTTCAGCTACCTGCCTCTCAGGGCCCAGCATGGATCTCTTCCATGATTCTTGGGTGCCACCTTTTCCAAATCTCAGAGCCAAACCAAAAGCTTTTATTGCCTGAAGCTAAGATGAGATTTGGCAGTGATTTCACAGGAATGATACGTGAGGTGGGCAGTGATTGGGAAAGAAGAAATTAGAAACAAAATTGGTCTGAACGGCCCTGTTCAAATATTTGAACCTATACACAGAAATCTTGCTTCTCCTCTTTACTGAAAGTACTTCCGTAGCCCTTTCTAGAGGTTGGGCTTTACAGTTCAAGAAGTGGAACAATCTACACCTTACATGATTTGCACCGAAGACCTTGACGGGGACAGTCAGCACTTCAGTGGCTTATCACATAGACTGCTTGTTGGATCCTATCTTTGAAAGGGTTGTGTTAAAAATTGAACTCATGTTTCATTTTTTAAGTGTGATTTAGGTTCAGTCCTAAATAAAACAATGATATGTGCTTAGTTCTGCAATAACAAAGTCAAGTGTCCTTAGCTGAAGGACCACAAAACCACCATTGCACCTATGATTCAGGCCCATAAGTGAAGGACGGTCTTGCGCCCTAGCATTGTGACCCTGTCAGTCTTTGGGATGCTTTTGGTCATAGATAATTGAGAACAAACCTATTTGGAACATCTCATTCTCTTGTTCATGTCTCTGGAGGCTTCATTCTCCAGAATGGGAAGCAAATCCCCTAGCCAGCCCGAATGCCTCTCTTCCAGGATCTATACAGGAGAAAGACCAGAATTTTCCAAGCACCTGGCCTTTTTTTCTGAGTGCTTGTATGTTTCTATCATTGACCTAAATGATAGGATGAAATTAGAAGTGACACCAACAAAGTTTTGGTTTATGATGAAAGAGCACTTGTTAGTACTGAAGGACTGAGTGCGCCCCCACCACCATTCCTATTTTCAGAGCTGAGCATCATCTTAAATAATGTAATGCTATGATCCTAACTGATTGATTCTCTTGACAAAAAGAGTGAGTTAATGTATCCCTATTATCAGAGAAGAGAGTGGACAGTACAAGAAGAGGAAGTGAGTGGGGCAAAGGTGTTAGCATAGTCCCACTGAGACACATGAGGCTCCTCACACCTCAGTCCTTGTTCTTGCGGTGAGCATGGGCTGAGAGTCTCCATATGGACAGAGTGGCAAGCTGTGACCTCTGGCCCACAGGGACTCACTGGCCACCAGACCCTGGCTCTGTCCCCATCCTCTCAGCTCCTTACCTCCTCCATGTGCCTTGTAGACAGCTACAGGAGAGACAGAAAATTCACAGGCACAGATTGCTCTGATGGTCACCAGAAATTCCAGTGAGAATAGGGACAGGATGACAGAAGTTACTTGACAAGTGGAAATCAGCGTGGCCCAGGCATCTGGAGGGAGTTCCCTGACATCTCTGAGCTGCACAGCCACCTGGTCCAGGACATGCACGTACATGTTCCCCAAGTGAGCTAGAATGGTAGGGGTGCCAAAAGTTTCCAGAAGCTGCTGGTAATCCATCCTGGTCCGGGTGACTCCAGCCGGCAGTGACCCTGGAGTTAGGGGGTGCTCTACAGCCAGGCTGGCTACATGATTTGCAGGGCCCAGTGCAAAATGAACATGCAGGAAATGCAGAGACCTCCCTCTGCAGTCACTCTGTTGACCTGCCATGGTGTTTTTCGTTTGCTATTCCATGTCTTGCTTCAGGAACAGACCTGCGTGGGTGTGTGGACCCATGCCTTGTGACGTGGCACAAGGTGTGCATCCAGCCCAACCCTCCCTGTGCCCATCTCTGATGGGGAGTGCAGCTGCACTTTCTGGGCAGGGTCGGGGAGTGGGCTGCCAATGGCCCATTATTGGATGGACCCTGCAGGAGGATGCAGCCTCCACTGTCCCATCAGACTTAGCTTACAAAACATAAATTCTAAGATAGTTGTTGAGAACTTCAAGACATCCCCACGTGCAGGGCCTTCAGAGTGTGGGCCTTGTACATTTGCACTGGCCACCTGCCTGTGGAGCTACCGGGACTCCAGCACAAGGTGTCTGAGCCAGACTTCAGCATGTGGAAGCCAGGTGTCAGGGGCTTCAGGTGAGGCATGAATGGCCCCCTCTGGCATGCAGCTTTCATGTCTAGATGTGCACCTGGGAGCCCCTTGCACCCCTGACCCTGGCTTTTATTCCATCCTGGAGGAGTTTGCCATGGGCTGTGAGGATCTTAGATCCAAGGTCCACCCTGGGAGGGTGGCAAGGGTTCTCACAGGCCACGCAGTCATTTGCTGAGGCCTTTGAGGTTCTTTACTGAGGAATCAACAGAGGCAGATAACATTTCCTATGCTGACACGGGTCCCTTGTCACAGTTGAGCGTGCTTGAATTATTAAGCTCAGAGATTCCCCCTGGGAGTGAGGGGAGGACACCATTGTGGGGAGCAGGGGGAGGCTTAAGGAAGCCCAGGATGTTCTCAGGCTGCAGTAGCAAACCCTGAGACCCCATAAGAGTGCATAGGAAAGGCTGCTGAAGTTAGAGCCCAAGTTCATCCAGACATCTCTGACTCGCCTCTGAGCAGCTGTGACCTGGCGTGCCTGTGTCCACAGGCTTCCTTGTTCAGCCCTTGCTCTCTAAAGTACAGGGCATGTTTGGCTTGGTGACGACGCCACAGGCTGTCCATGTTGCCCTCTTGAAATGCCCCCTCACCCTGCCCCTCCCCAGCCTAGGCTGTGTGTCCAGCAGCAGCCATGAGCCCCCTGCTTACAGACGGAATGAAGGAAACAGGGCAGAGAGGGCACATTGCAAGTCTGTGGAGAAGCAGCCACAAGGGGTGCGACATGAGTAGATCACAGAACAGAAGGGAAACAGAGAGTGAGGGAAGGTGAGATGGAGGGAAGCCAGCAGCCCACGTGAGAAACGGGCAGGGAGGGAGGGAAGATGGTGGAACCCAGTTAGGTCTGTCCCGAAGCCTTGAGGGGGCTTTCCTGGGAGGGAGCTTAGCCGGGGCGTCCCCTGGGAGGTGCTTGTGCCTGGTGAGCTCTCGGGGCGGTGAGGCCCTCTCGTTGTCAGGGTCTTCTCCAGAGCGCTTCCCTGGCATCGGAGCTTATAACCACCTCATGCTGCCTTCCACTAGCAAACGTTTTTGGAATGGAACGAACACGTTTATTTGCAATTTATTCCCCGCCTTCCCTCTGTTTTTGGCATAAGAAACAATTCAGGTTTATCAAGGAGAGTCCAGGGTCAGAATTTTTCTAACCACCAGGTGGCGCAGAGCAAGCTTACAGATTCCAGAGCAGGGAGAAAGCTGGTCCTGACTAAAGCACCAGGGCCCACTGCGACCAAGACTTTACGCGGACCAATCCCAAGCCTACTACCCTACCGACAGAGAGTGAGGATAAATTATAGAATTGGTGCATAGGATTTGCGCTTACCGATCAGATGAAAACTTGCAGCCAGGGTGTGTTCTTTGAAGTACACATGCATGTACACAGACACTCGGCGTGCAAATGCTTATTCTATTCACCCCTTGTCCCTTTCCTGGCCCTGAGCCGTGACAAAATGACATGGTGGATAACAGCTGTTCTGAGTGTGGCTGAGGCTCTGTCCTGGGCACTGCTTCTCTAGGGCGGTTCTCTGTGTGGTCTGTTCTTTCACTGCCCATCATTGAGCATCCCTGGCCCTACTCAGGAAATACTCATGGCATCCCTCAAGAACCATGATAAGCCAAAAATGTCCTCACACGTGTGCAGGGGCTGCACCCTGGGTTGGGGTATTGTCCCCTCCTGGGAACCACAGACAGATTTGAAAATGCAAGATCCCTCTTTTTCACCCCTCTGCCGTAAACACTTAGGAAATGTCTGCACACACCATCATAGATCTGCGCTGTCCTATGGGATAGCCAGCTGTTAGGATTTCAGTTAATTAAAATGAAAAATAAAATACAGTTCCCTTCTTTGGTCACACTAGCCATATTTCAAATGCTCCATAGCGCCATGTGGCTACTGGCTACCATTTTGGACAGTGCACACATACACAGAAGGCATCTCTATCACTGCAGAAAGTTCTATTGGATAGCCCTGGTCTGGAATATTCTTTTGAGGCACATCTAAGCACTGTTTTAGCCCCAAGCCACAGAACCCTGCATTAGAGGACCCAGTGCAGGAGTGTCTGACAAACCAACCCTGGCAATTTAGCAGCCACAGCACTCAGAGGACCCCTTCCCCCCACAGGTCATGTAGGATGGAGGTCTGCTCTGAAGCTCTGGAAGCAGCTCTTACCGGTCACCCCTCATTTGTCTGCCTCTCTCTGAGTCCTGGAATCCTACACAGGCTACATCAGGGTGTGTATTGTCTGGGCCCCCAAGCAACCTGTCATCTTTTTTGTCTGACTGACTGGATTTATTCTCTCCTCCTTGAAAGTTCACAATGTCACCGAAAGACAAAGTCCTTGGCTCTTTTTTCCCTTTCCAACTAGATTATTGGAGTAGAGGAAGGTTTTCCTAGTTTAGCTTCCCAGAGACATTCAAAAGTTTCTGATAGGAATACCCGCTACTGGCCGGGCGCGGTGGCTCACACCTGTAATCCCAGCACTTTGGGAGGCCGAGGCGGGCAGATCAAGAGGTCAGAAGATCGAGACCATCCTGGCTAACACAGTGAAACCCCGTCTCTACTAAAAATACGAAAAAATTAGCCAGGCATAGTGGCGGGCACCTGTAGTCCCAGCTACTCAGGAGGCTGAGGCAGGAGAATGGTGTGAACCCGGGAGGCGGAACTTGCAGTGAGCTGAGGTCACGCCACTGCATTCCAGCCTGGGTGACAGAGCCAGACTCCGTCTTAAAAAAAAAAAGAAAAAGAAAAATACCCCCTGCCCTACCCTACCCTCCTCTGAGTTACACAGAGATCGTTAGGCAGTAAGTGCTTGGAAGCAGGGAGGCATGAAGGTTCCTCAGTAAAACACTGTGGGAGTTGCCTTCAGGATATCCACCACCCTGCCCAGACAGGCTTTGCTGCTCCCAGTAACAATGATATGTAAGCGATTAGTGCACAGAGAAAGAGCGAGAGGGGGAGATGGATTTGCACTAGAAGCTCCACAGGTGAAGGTATGAGCCTTCTGAAGAATCGAGGGCCCACCCAGTACTTTTTTCATCTCAACTGTTTGTTTCTTAACTCTTTCCAGCATGCGGCATTTCTCAGAGTGAGTCACAGATGGTTATTCTGAAGAGATGCTCCTTGAAAAAAATTCCAAAAAAAAAAAAAAAACCCAGCTGAAAATGTTTAAGAAACTCTATGTAATATTTTCTGGAACTACATGCCACAGCCTATTAAAGGTTTTGAGAAGTGCTATAGACAAGAAAGCCCTTGAATATTGTTTGACTCAGCACGTCTGTAACACACTGGACTGTAGTGACCTCTCAGAAAACATCCACTCACACTCTGTGGACGAAATCCCAGGAATACACAACCATGATATACTACCCGCAGGTTGTCCACCCCACACCTCAAAGGCAGTGATGTGAAGGTTTTCTGAGTTCAAGCTTCTGCTGCACAGCAGCACTGAGCTCTTGCCTGCCCGAGAGAAGGAATTTTTACCATGGTGAGAAATAGCCATTTCATAACCCTCATAGCGCTAGTGAGAAAAGATATCTTATTATCATTGGCAACCACAACTGCACTGGCAGCCACACAGCACTTTACAGTTTACAGAGGGCATCGTTAGTTTTCAATGCCTAACAACCCTGGGCAATAGGAAGACCATTATCAGGGTAGGATCATTTCCACAAATTTAAGAAATTTACCCTAAATCATTGAGTTGGTGGAGTAGAAATTCACAATGAAATCTTTTGCTTCTAAGTCCCTGGTGTTTTTCTCTATCAAGTGTGATCCAGGGTGGCGTTTGCTGCCAGGGGCTTCTTCCAGCCACATGCTGTAGTTCTGCTCCCTAGACCTAGGGTAAAAGTCTACTTCTGTTGCTGTTGTTAAGGCCCAGGACTTGGAATTAATAGACAAGGATTCCAATTCCAGGTGTGATATCAGAAAACCCATAAACCCCTCTACACTAGCTTCCTCTTTGGTGATCATTCCTCTTCGGTGATCGTTCCTGCTTAGCATGGTTGTCAGGATGTGCTAAGACGGAAGAGAATAGAACACGATTTACGCTTCAAGGAGCTTAAGGACCCCAAATGAGCTGATCCACCCTTGACAGGCAGCGTAGTCCAGTGGTTACCGGAGAGGACTCTGGAGGCGCCCTGCAGGGGTCAATGCCAGTGCCCCGGGCCACATGACCTTGGGCAAGTGACTTTCCCTCTCTGGGCCTCTGTTTCTCCACCTTTACATGGGGTTCTTTGGAGTCCTCACAGCTGAGTTGTTGGAGAATTGAATGAGGAAACATATGCAAGCCACTTAGAATGATGCCTGGCACACGTTTGGGAAGTCACTTTAGAAGGGCCTTTCTGGGAAGGATGTAGAAGGTGAACCCAACAACCCTGACGTGGTCAAGTCCATTTGCCAGGCTGAGGCTGGGTGGTGGCTTGGCAGCTTCTGGACGGCAGGGAACCGGTTTATGGACAGGCTGGCACTGCTCTTTCAGTTTTATGTTTCAAATTCCGAATTTCCAAAGGAAAACATCTGGTCTCTCAAAGGAACCAATGAAGGTGAAACGGCTGGCATTTATCCCAGGTGACGGTGGCAAGAGTACAAATCTGAAGTCTGACTGCATTGCCTCTGACTCAGCAGACCTGTCCTCAGCCCAGAAAATGCCATGTCCTCGCTGGGCTCAGCTCAGCATCCCTGAGGGTGAAATCCACCCCTTTTCTATGCTTGGTCCAAGCGTCTATGTGTGGTGTGCCCTGCCCTGGGCCCTGGCTCTTGGCCTCAGGCCGTGATTGCATTTCCACCGCCAGGAAGGAAGACCTGTGCTCTCGTGTGAGGACCAGCTGGCATGTACTTAGCGTAGACACAGGATCTATCAGGGCAGGGCTCGCAGAGCAGAGCAGAACAGGGGGCGTCTGCTCACCCTCCCAAAGGTATCGGTCCCATCCTGGCTCACCTCATCCCTTTTTTGGGGGCCCCTTCTCCTCTTCCAGACTTTTTAAATAGGGGTTGGGGCTCCCCCTTTCTCTCTTTTCTCTCTTTGTGGACACAGTACTTCCTGTGGGTAATTTTTCTGATGATTCTTGAATTTCAGCCTCTGCACCAGATCCGCCTCCTGAGTCACGCCAGGCCAGGGTACAGGGTCCCTGGGTTCTCACAGGCTCCATCTTACCTGGGAAACTCTATCCTCCCTTCACCTACTTTGGGGATGACCACAACACAGACGGCTCAGGTCTTGGGGGCAGCACTGAAGGGGGATGGGGAGACACCTTCTTTCAGGTGTTTTCTCCACAGCAGCCTGGCTCTCAGCCCATCTCCACCCACCCAGGGGTGCTGGCCCATGGCAAGCACAGGGATGCCTGACACTGTCATCGGCCCCCAGGATGCACCCCAGGGCTTGGATGGGAAGTGGGATACAAGATGTTCATAGTTCACCATCAGGGGCTATAGTCTGGGGGCTGGAGGGACTGGCATTGACTTGATGGTCATCAGAGACCTGGACCTCAGTTCCAGGGGCCCTGACCCACCTGCCTTTCAAGGGACCCTAGCTCCCAGGCTCTGTTTCTCCCTACACCTGCTTTTAGCCCCAGTTTTTCATGGCTTTAATTTTTCAACTCTGGGTTGGTGCTTTTTCAATCCCTATCTTCAGCCATGACTCTTCTAAAATTTCAGCCCCACCCAGTTGTTTATTATCTCGTTGACGTGAAGCTCCATGAACCCAACTCCCTCCTCCCATTCCTCTACCTCCTACTTAATTCCCTTCATGTTGTGTTTGGTTCTTCCAATCCTTCCTTGTCCCAATGATCAAGTCTTGATTGTTGTCACCATCTCTGTCATTGTGAAAATATCATTTTTATCATGGTTACCATAGGCTTGACTGATAGGAATTGAGCACATCAATACACTTTTTTTTTGGTTTTTTTTTTTTTTTGGAACAAGACACCCTGCTGAAATCCAGCCTTGTGGCCAGGAGGATGTGGCTGTCGGTGAGGAGGCCCTGAGTCTGGGCTCTCATGCCGGTGCCCGCTGTCTCATCTCTTTACATTACTCCATGTGCTTTTCTCAAACCACTCCCTGCCTTTGGCCCCACAGCACCCTAGCTGTGCGTCCGCCTGGCTCCCTCTGCCCCGCCCCTCATGTCCACACACCCCAGCCCTCCCACTGGAAAGGTCAGGTTCGAGTGCCCCTTCCAGCCCCTCCTGCCATGTCATCTCCAGTTCATTCCACCCCGCTCACTGGGTGCCAAGCCCACTGTGACCACTGGAAACAGGGACCCATCTGCCTGTCACTTTAACCACCATGACCCCTGGAAACAGGGGCCCATCTCTCTGTCATTTTAACCACCGCGACCCCCAGAAACAGGGACCCATCTGCCTGTCACTTTTGTCTGGACTGTGCTTGTTTCAGGTGCTTGTATTAACTCCCCTCCCAAGTTCTAACCCCTTGTGACCCAGCAAACTCCTTCTAATAAAGTGAGCTCAGACATCTGCTACTGGCTGAACAAAGGGAAGTAGGCAGATTCCCTGATGTTCTCAGGCAAGCAGTGGAGGTGGAAGCTCAGAAGCAAGGCTGCCCACGCGTCCCGCTTCCCGCGGTCTGGACAGCTGGCTGAAAGTGGTGTGAACACAGCTATGTGTGAGCCAAAAGTTCTGTAAATGAGGGAGTTTCACCCTTTAAAGAAATTGTTCATGAAGAAAAGAGTCAACTTCATTTGTCTTTGGTTTAAATCTTGGCCTTACATTAAAGTGAGGTTCAAATATATTTTCAAATCTTCTCATATTCACTCCTGTGCGCATGTTCTTCACATGAGTTTGTGTGTGACTGTGTATAAGCACATGCATACATAGCTCCTAGCTGCATCAGAAAGACAACAAAAACAAAAACTGTCCCACGCAGTTTTTATTTATTTTTTTTTAGGAACACGTCTAGAGTCCTTCCTATGTGCTAGGCACTCCCCGAAGTGCTTTTGCAGGTATTAACTCATTTAACCTTTGTAAGGATCTTACGAAGTACATACTGTTACTACATTTGATTGGTAAATGAGGAAACTAAGGTACAATAATCTTTCTGTTAACCAATTCATTACTCATTCATTGGTTAACTTTGACTCACCTCGATCCATATTCTGACTCCCAAAACATCAGGAACACTGTTCATGTGTAAGTCATGGAAGAGCAGGACTGCCTTCAGACAGGGCATAAACACAACTTCATTGACTTTCCTGGGTAAAGATTGAAGGCTCATCACCATTACAATTTCCATTACTTAGCCAATTGTACTTTGATCCAGGAGGTGGGGTAATTTGCAACTGTTCTCATAGGTTTTCATTGGATTTACATATTTAATCTAATATATCATTGAGAAAGAGTTTACCAATCCACCAGACATAGGAAAAGAAAGCGAGGGGAAAACCACAAATACTGTGGGAATTCTCTGAAGAGTTAGGGTGACCAGCCATCTTGCATCTTGGTTTGTTTGCCTGGGCTGAGAGGTTTCTTTCTTTCTTCTTTTTCTTTTCTTTTCTTTCTTTTTTTTTTTTTTTTTTGAGACCGTGTCTTGCTCTGTTCCCCAGACTGGAATGCAGTGGCCTGATCACTGATCATGGCTTACTGCAGCCTCCACCTCCTGGGCTCAAACAATGTTCCTGCCTCAGCCTCCCAAGTAACTGGGACTACAGGTGTGCACCCCCATGCCTGGCTAATTTAAAAAAAAAAATGTTTGTAGAGATGAAGTGTCACTCTGTTACCTAGGCTGTTCGTGAACTGGCCTCAACCAGTCTTCCTGCCTCGGCCTCCCAAAGTGCTAGGATTAAAAGCATAAACCACTGTGCCTGGCCACTACCTTTTTTTTTTTTTTTTTTTTCCAAAAAGGTCCTTGTGAGGATTCAGCTGCCATGCTGTTTAACTGTGGAGCTCTGGCTTACATGTCATCCCTAAAGCTGTTTCATATAGGGGTAAAGTAGATGCCAGGTTTACACCTTCTCCTCTGGTTAATCTCTGAAAGCAATTACTTGACATGCAGGGACTTCTCCTGGCATGACAGGAAAGTGATGGCCTGGGGGTCAGGCATGAGGACCCAGTGGGCCCTGCTGTGACATAAGCAGGGTTTTCAGCCCCTCTGCATTTCACTTTTCTGTGATGAGGGGGCTGGGACCAGGTGCACTTCAAGGTCTCTAAAGAATGGAAGACTCAGTATTTATGAAAAATTACTTAATTACCTCTGCCTGCAGGTTGTTTTAAATTTATATTTTCTCCACTTTCACAGGTATAAAAATTCATTATCTTAGGTCTCATACACATTTCCTGCACCCATAAACCTTGCTATGGGAAAATGGAAATAGGCATTAGGCCTCAAGCCAGTTTTCACAACGTTGATGGCTACATCAAGTCTGCTCTAAAATCCATTGCACTAGGCCGGATGCAGTGGCTCACACCTGTAATCCCAGTACTTTGGGAGGCTAAGGTGGGGCAGATCACCTGAGGTCAGGAGTTTGAGACCAGCCCTGCCAGCATGGCGAAACCCCGTCTCTGTTAAAAATACAAAAAATAGCCGGGCGTGGTGGCAGGCGCCTGTAGTCCCAGCTACTTGGGAGGCTGAGGCAGGATAATTGCATGAACCTGGGAGAGGCAGAGGTTGCAGTGAGCCAAGATCATGCCATTGCACTCCAGCCTGGGCGACAGAGCAAGACTCCATCTCAAAAATAAATAAATAAATAAATAGATTAAATAAATAAAAAAATCCACTGTGCAAAAAGGGAACACAGCCTTCTCCTGTAGAGACAAGTTTTCTGAGTGGGGACTCAGCTCCCCTGGGGCATCAGAGCACACTACTCTCAGCCTTGCAGGAGGGAGGGTGCCTCTCGCTTGTTAGAACTTTTCTTTCCTTGGCTGGGTGTGGTGGCTCATGCCTGTAATCCCAGCACTTTAGGAGGCTGAGGCGGGTAGATTGCTTTAGACCAGGAGTTCAAGGCCAGCCTGGGCAGCATGGCAAAACCCCATCTCTACAAAAACATAAAAATTAGCTGGGTGTGGTGGCAGGTGCCTGTAGTCCCAGCTTCTCAGGAGGCTGAGGCAGGAGAATCGCTTGAACCTGGGAGGCAGAGGTTGCAGCGAGCCAAGATTGTACCACTGCACTCCAGTTTGGGTGACAAAGTAAGACTCTATCTAAAAAAAAAAAAAAAATTAATTAATTTAAAAAAGAAGTAGAACATTCCTATCCTTTAGGATTTTGGTCTTCTGCTGCCCAGTCCTGGGAGGCTCCAGCAGCTGCTGCCCAGGCTCCCCTCTTCTCTCAGCTCCCAGAGCCTGCGCTAATGGGCACTCGATGGCATCTGTCTCATTCCACTGTGCTGTACAATACAGCCAGCATCTCTTCTGCACTGTCAGTTATTAAGATTTAGGGATAAGGACTATATTTTACATCAAGGTTGCTTTTCATCCATCCATCCATGCATCTATTCTGAGCATCTGTTTGTGGAGGATCACATTTCATAAATGGTCCTGTGAGTCCTGGCAACACAAATGCCTGGGCTGTGCTCTGCAGCTCACCCGGATGTCTTCAGAGATGGACGCTTGGTTCTGTGGTGGGCGGACCCTAGCCTGTTCCCTCAAGCAGCCATGCATTGGCAACTTCTAGGACTGAGAAGAAGCCCCAACATCGTGTTCATATATGGTTGTGTAAAATGTTCTAATGTAAGCCAACCTCTCTTCCCATCTCAGATCGCCTGTGTGAAGTATATGGCTGGAGAAATGTTGGTGTCCGGCTGAGGGGAGTGTCTGGAGTCATGTATTAGGGCAGCTGTAACAGTGCCACAGGAAGCTGGAGACCAAGCGTCAGAAGGGCCACACTCCTTTGGAAGCCTCTCGGGGGAGACCTCTCGGGGAGGACCCTCTCGGGCTGGCCTCTTCTGGCTCCTGATGGTGGCTGGCAGTCCTTGGAGCTCCTGGGTTTGCAGCTTCATGGCTCCAATCTCTGCCTCTGTCCTCACTTGGCCTCCTTCTCTCTTGTCTCTGTGCTCTCTCTCCTCTTCTTATAAGGACTCCAGGTCATTAGGTTTAGGCCCCACCCTAATTCAGTATGACTTCACTTTAACCAATCATAGCCGCAAGGATGCTATATCCAAATGAGGCCACGTTCTGAGGTTCCAGAGGTACATGAAGTTGGGAGGGACACTGTTCAACCCAGGACAGGTCAGTTGTCTGGAAACTGACTTGGAGATGGAGATCTGTGCATAGGAGGCTTAGGGGAGGGTGTGCTGGCAGCAGGACATGAGTTAACTGAGAGGCAGCTGCGAATTAAGGGGAGTGAAGCACGCTAACATGATGGGTGATGATTGAGGTTTTATTTTTATTTTAAATTTAGGGGTACATGTGCAGGTTTGTTACACAGGGAAACTGGTGTCATGGGAGTTTGTTGTACCGATTATTTCATCACCAGGTATTAAGCCTATTATTCATTATTTTTCCTGATCCTCTGCCTCCTCCCACCTTTCACCCTCCAGTATGCCCCACTGTGTGTTGTTCCCCTCTATATGTCCGTGTGTTCTCATCATTTAGCTCCCGCTTATAAATAAGAACATGTGGTATTTGTTTTTTTGTTCTTGCGTTAGTTTGCCAAGGATAATGGCTTCCAACTCCATCCATGTCCCTGCAAAGGACATGATCTCATCCCTTTTTTATGGCTGCATAGTATTCCATGGTGTATGTACCACATTTTCTTTATCCAGTCTATCATTGATGGGCATTCAGGTTGATTCAATGTCTCAGACTAACAGCGGACCTCTCAACTGAAGCCCTGCAAGCCAAAAGAGATTGATTTAGATTTCTGGCTGATTTATTGAAACGCTGACATCATTGATACTAACAAAATTTGTAACATGCCATTACAATGAGAACATCAATGACAAACTGGTTAATAAACATTGATAATTTAAAATATGTTTGTTGTTAGCTACTATGTAAGAAAACTTGAAATGTCCTGAAATCTTACATTTTATGTATAAAATAAACACGCTAGAAGTTTCCCCAAATTTGACAAAATTTGACATGGCATTACCCATAATAAGCTGTTAGGTCAAAAGGAGCTTTTCTAAATGATCAATAATAGAAAATAAATTTTGACCGATCATGCTACAGAAGACTATCTATTCTCTTTATAGAAAAATAGTATAAAATCATTGTCATATAAAAAGAAGAACAAAGAGTATGAAATCCTAGAATATAAGGGAAATTGTTACAAAATTACAGGCTGGGCACAGTGGCTCACACCTGTAACCCCGGCACTTTGGGAGGCTGAGGCAGGCAGATTGCTTGAGCCCAGCAAGCAATTCAAGACCAGACTGGGCAACATAGCAAGACCCCATCTCTACAAAGAAATTAAAAAGTTAGCTGGGCATGGTAGCATGTGCCTGTTGTCACTGCCATGCAGGAATGTGGGGCAGGAGGATTGCTTGAGCCCAGGGGTTCAAGGCTGCAGTGAGCCATAATTGCACCACTGCACTCTAGCCTGAGTGACAGAGTGAGACAGTCTCAAGAAATACAAAAATAAAAAAATTATAACACGGAGTAAATTAAATTTTTTTCTGGATGTTGTGACATTCATGGTACTTGTTAACTTTTTAAAATTTTTGAGTGCTGTGATTTTTTTTCTCCTGCCAAATAAAGATGCACTTGTACCTAATTTTGTATTCTTTTTTTTTTTTTTTTTTTTTGAGATGGAGTCTCGCTCTGTCGCCAGGCTGGAGTACAGTGGCGTGATCTGTGCTCACTGCAACCTCTGCCTCCCAGATTCAACTGATTCTCCTGCCTCAGCCTCGCGAGTAGCTGAGACTACAGGCACATGCCACCACGCCCAGCTAATTCTTGTATTTTTAGTAAAGACGGGGTTTCACCATGTTGGCCAGGATGGTCTCGATCTCTTGACCTCGTGACCCACCCACCTCAGCCTCCCAAAGTGCTGGGATTACAGGCGTGAGCCACCGCGCCTGGCCGTTAATTTTGTATTCTTATTTTTATATTTTTCTTAAAGACACTTTCAAATTGTATAAGCTTCAGGTCCTACAGAATTTGGATGTCCCCTAATCCTCAGAACTAGGCAGCTGTCCAGCCAGAAGAGAGGGCCAGGATGATCAATGGATCTAAACATAGGAATTGAGGGTTCCTAGAATCTCAGGCCATGGAGGCCCTGAGCAGGCAGTCCAGTGCCTTGATGAGGAGGCTTGAGTCCAGGTCCTGGAAGTGTGGATCAGGGTAGAGCTATGCATGGACTTGCCCACAACAACCCAAAGGCTCTCTTCTCCAGACACTCCACAGCCCCCTCTGGGAGTGGAGGCAAGTATCGACCTCCAGGCTTGGCTGTTTTGGTGGCTGGAGGTGAGGTTTGGAAGCAGGAGGAGGGGATAGCCTTCCTAAAGGGACATATTTAAGAAATTTGGGTGTATCTGTCGTCTGTAGTAAGCTTTAAATAACCACAAATGGGGAATCAGGCCAAAGACATGGGGCCAGGAAGCTGCTTCTGGGAGCACAATGTGGCCATCTCTGCCAGGGTGGAGACCCCACAGGCAGCTCCAGAAGGCAACTGCATCCTGTGCACACTCACAACTCCCAGGACAAGAATGGATCTCTGGCCCCTTGGGGACCATTCTGTTCCTGCCCATTCACTAGGTAAAGAAAAGCCAGCATGTGGCTGCAAAACTGGACAAGGGCCACAGTGACCCTGCTGGGTTGGTACCAGTGCTCCCAGCACAGGCAGGACCATGGCCAATCTCACCCCTGAGCTTAGGAATTCAGTCTCATCAGGTCAAGACTAATTGTTTTGGAGAACTGGTTGTAAGCTCTTTGTTGAAACTGACCATGGGACACACGCGGGGCTGGTAGAATTCCCTGCATCCCAGAGAATGAGAGTCCCATTGGGGGAGCCTCCCGTACCCAGTCTGGGGGTGCACAGCAGTCTGTGCCAGTTCCCTGGGAAGCTGGGCCTGAGGATGGAGGGGAACATCTCAGGGTCAGGATGGCATTGCACTTTGCTCTCTGTGCCTGCTTGCCCTGTCCTCACCCAAGCCAGGTGACTCACTGAGATTTCCTCTCATAGACTCCCCAGCCACAGCAGGGGCAGTAAGGTCCCAGCACACCTGGATTTGTTTCCAGACACTTAGAAACTCTTGGCCAGCACTGTTCTTTATTGCGCTAGGGTGCCACCGTCTTATTTTTTATTTTTTTTTATTATACTTTAAGTTTTAGGGTACATGTGCACATTGTGCAGGTTAGTTACATATGTATACATGTGCCATTCTGGTGCGCTGCACCCACTAACTCATCATCTAGCATTAGGTATATCTCCCAGTGCTATCCCTCCCCACTCCTCCCACCCCACAACAGTCCACAGAGTGTGATATTCCCCTTCCTGTGTCCATGTGATCTCATTGTTCAATTCCCACCTATGAGTGAGAATATGCGGTGTTTGGTTTTTTGTTCTTGCGATAGTTTACTGAGAATGATGATTTCCAATTTCATCCATGTCCCTACATAGGACATGAACTCATCATTTTTTATGGCTGCATAGTATTCCATGGTGTATATGTGCCACATTTTCTTAATCCAGTCTACCATTGTTGGACATTTGGGTTGGTTCCAAGTCTTTGCTATTGTGAATAATGCCGCAATAAACATACATGTGCATGTGTCTTTATAGCAGCATGATTTATAGTCCTTTGGGTATATACCCAGTAATGGGATGGCTGGGTCAAATGATATTTCTAGTTCTAGATCCCTGAGGAATCGCCACACTGACTTCCACAATGGTTGAACTAGTTTACAGTCCCACCAACAGTGTAAAAGTGTTCCTATTTCTCCACATCCTCTCCAGCACCTGTTGTTTCCTGAATTTTTAATGATTGCCATTCTAACTGGTGTGAGATGGTATCTCATTGTGGTTTTGATTTGCATTTCTCTGATGGCCAGTGATGATGAGCATTTTTTCATGTGTTTTTTGGCTGCATAAATGACTTCTTTTGAGAAGTGTCTGTTCATGTCCTTCGCCCACTTTTTGATGGGGTTGTTTGTTTTTTTCTTGTAAATTTGTTTGAGTTCATTGTAGATTCTGGATATTAGCCCTTTGTCAGATGAGTAGGTTGCGAAAATTTTCTCCCATTTTGTAGGTTGCCTGTTCACTCTGATGGTAGTTTCTTTTGCTGTGCAGAAGCTCTTTAGTTTAATTAGATCCCATTTGTCAATTTTGTCTTTTGTTGCCATTGCTTTTGGTGTTTTAGACATGAAGTCCTTGCCCATGCCTATGTCCTGAATGGTAATGCCTAGGTTTTCTTCCAGGGTTTTTATGGTTTTAGGTCTAACGTTTAAGTCTTTAATCCATCTTGAATTGATTTTTGTATAAGGTGTAAGGAAGGGATCCAGTTTCAGCTTTCTACATATGGCTAGCCAGTTTTCCCAGCACCATTTATTAAATAGGGAATCCTTTCCCCATTGCTTGTTTTTCTCAGGTTTGTCAAAGATCAGATAGTTGTAGATATGCGGTGTTATTTCTGAGGGCTCTGTTCTGTTCCATTGATCTATATCTCTGTTTTGGTACCAGTACCATGCTGTTTTGGTTACTGTAGCCTTGTAGTATAGTTTGAAGTCAGGTAGTATGATGCCTCCAGCTTTGTTCTTTTGGCTTAGGATTGACTTGGCGATGCGGGCTCTTTTTTGGTTCCATATGAACTTTAAAGTAGTTTTTTCCAATTCTGTGAAGAAAGTCATTGGTAGTTTGATGGGGATGGCATTTAATCTATAAATTACCTTGGGCAGTATGGCCATTTTCACGATATTGATTCTTCCTACCCATGAGCATGGAATGTTCTTCCATTTGTTTGTATCCTCTTTTATTTCCTTGAGCAGTGGTTTGTAGTTCTCCTTGAAGAGGTCCTTCACATCCCTTGTAAGTTGGATTCCTAGGTATTTTATTCTCTTTGAAGCAATTGTGAATGGGATATCACTCATGATTTGGCTCTCTGTCTGTTGTTGGTGTATAAGAATGCTTGTGATTTTTGTACATTGATTTTGTATCCTGAGACTTTGCTGAAGTTGCTTATCAGCTTAAGGAGATTTTGGGCTGAGACAGTGGGGTTTTGTAGATATACAATCATGTCGTCTGCAAGGGACAATTTGACTTCCTCTTTTCCTAATTGAATACGCTTTATTTCCTTCTCCTGCCTAATTGCCCTGGCCAGAACTTCCAACACTATGTTGAATAGGAGTGGTGAGAGAGGGCATCCCTGTCTTGTGCCAGTTTTCAAAGGGAATGCTTCCAGTTTTTGCCCATTCAGTATGATATTGGATGTGGGTTTGTCATACATAGCTCTTATTATTTTGAAATATGTCCCATCAATACCTAATTTATTGAGAGTTTTTAGCATGAAGGGTTGTTGAATTTTGTCAAAGGCTTTTTCTGCATCTATTGAGATAGTCATGTGGTTTTTGTCTCTGGCTCTGTTTATATGCTGGATTACATTTATTGGTTTGCGTATATTGAACCAGCCTTGCATCCCAGGGATGAAGCCCACTTGATCATGGTGGATAAGCTTTTTGATGTGCTGCTGGATTCGTTCTGCCAGTATTTTATTGAGGATTTTTGCATCAATGTTCATCAACGATATTGGTCTAAAATTCTCTTTTTTGGTTGTGTCTCTGCCCGGCTTTGGTATCAGAATGATGCTGGCCTCATAAAATCAGTTAGGGAGGATTCCCTCTTTTTCTATTGATTGGAATAGTTTCAGAAGGAATGGTACCAGCTCCTCCTTGTACCTCTGGTAGAATTCGGCTGTGAATCCATCTGGTCCTGGACTCTTTTTGGTTGGTAAGCTATTGATTATTGCCACAATTTCAGATCCTGTTATTGGCCTATTCAGAGATTCAACTTCTTCCTGGTTTAGTCTTGGGAGAGTGTATGTGTCGAGGAATTTATCCATTTCTTCTAGATTTTCTAGTTTATTTGCGTAGAGGTGTTTGTAGTATTCTCTGATGGTAGTTTGTATTTCTGTGGGATCAGTGGTGATATCCCCTTTATCATTTTTTATTGCATCTATTTGATTCTTCTTTTTTTCTTTATTAGTCTTGTTAGCGGTCTATCAATTTTGTTGATCCTTTCAAAAAACCAGCTCCTGGATTCATTAATTTTTTGAAGGGTTTTTGTGTCTCTATTTCCTTGAGTTCTGCTCTGATTTTAGTTATTTCTTGCCTTCTGCTAGCTTTTGAATGTGTTTGCTCTTGCTTTTCTAGTTCTTTTAATTGTGATGTTAGGGTGTCAATTTTGGATCTTTACTGCTTTCTCTTGTGGGCATTTAGTGCTATAAATTTCCCTCTACACACTGCTTTGAATGCATCCCAGAGATTCTGGTATGTTGTGTCTTTGTTCTCGTTGGTTTCAAAGAACATCTTTATTTCTGCCTTCATTTCGTTATGTACCCAGTAGTCATTCAGGAGCAGGTTGTTCAGTTTCCATGTAGTTGAGCGGTTTTGAGTGAGATTCTTAATCCTGAGTTCTAGTTTGATTGCACTGTGGTCTGAGAGATAGTTTGTTATAATCTCTGTTCTTTTACATTTGCTGAGGAGAGCTTTACTTCCAAGTATGTGGTCAATTTTGGAATAGGTGTGGTGCGGTGCTGAAAAAAATGTATATTCTGTTGATTTGGGGTGGAGAGTTCTGTAGATGTCTATTAGGTCTGCTTGGTGCAGAGCTGAGTTCAATTCCTGGGTATCCTTGTTGACTTTCTGTCTCGTTGATCTGTCTAATGTTGACAGTGGGGTGTTAAAGTCTCCCATTATTAATGTGTGGGAGTCTAAGTCTCTTTGTAGGTCACTCAGGACTTGCTTTATGAATCTGGGTGCTCTTGTATTGGGTGCATATATATTTAGGATAGTTAGCTCTTCTTGTTGAATTGATCCCTTTACCATTATGTAATGGCCTTCTTTGTCTCTTTTGATCTTTGTTGGTTTAAAGTCTGTTTTATCCGAGACGAGGATTGCAACCCCTGCCTTTTTTTGTTTTCCATTTGCTTGGTAGATCTTCCTCCATCCTTTTATTTTGAGCCTATGTGTGTCTCTGCACGTGAGATGGGTTTCCTGAATACAGCACACTGATGGGTCTTGACTCTTTATCCAATTTGCCAGTCTGTGTCTTTTAATTGGAGCATTTAGTCCATTTACATTTAAAGTTAATATTGTTATGTGTGAATTTGATCCTGTCATTATGATGTTAGCTGGTTATTTTGCTGGTTAGTTGATGCAGTTTCTTCCTAGTCTCGATGGTCTTTACATTTTGGCATGATTTTGCAGCAGCTGGTACCGGTTGTTCCTTTCCATGTTTAGTGCTTCCTTCAGGAGCTCTTTTAGGGCAGGCCTGGTGGTGACAAAATCTCTCAGCATTTGCTTGTCTGTAAAGTATTTTATTTCTCCTTCGCTTATGAAGCTTAGTTTGGCTGGATATGAAATTCTGGGTTGAAAATTCTTTTCTTTAAGAATGTTGAATATTGGCCCCCCACTCTCTTCTGGCTTGTAGGGTTTCTGCCGAGAGATCCGCTGTTAGTCTGATGGGCTTCCCTTTGAGGGTAACCCGACCTTTCTCTCTGGCTGCCCTTAACATTTTTTCCTTCATTTCAGCTTTGGTGAATCTGACAATTATGTGTCTTGGAGTTGCTCTTCTCGAGGAGTATCTTTGTGGTGTTCTCTGTATTTCCTGAATCTGAACATTGGCCTGCCTTGCTAGATTGGGGAAGTTCTCCTGGATAATATCCTGCAGAGTGTTTTCCAACTTGGTTCCATTCTCCCCATCACTTTCAGGTACACCAATCAGACGTAGATTTGGTCTTTTCACATAGTCCCGTATTTCTTGGAGGCTTTGCTCATTTCTTTTTATTCTTTTTTCTCTAAACTTCCCTTCTCACTTCATTTCATTCATTTCATCTTCCATTGCTGATACCCTTTCTTCCAGTTGGTTGCATCGGCTCCTGAGGCTTCTGCATTCTTCACATAGTTCTCGAGCCTTGGTTTTCAGCTCCATCAGCTCCTTTAAGCACTTCTCTGTATTGGTTATTCTAGTTATACATTCTTCTAAATTTTTTTCAAAGTTTTCAACTTCTTTGCCTTTGGTTTGAATGTCCTCCCGTAGCTCAGAGTAATTTGATCGTCTGAAGCCTTCTTCTCTCAGCTCGTCAAAGTCATTCTCCATCCAGCTTTGTTCCGTTGCTGGTGAGGAACTGTGTTCCTTTGGAGGAGGAGAGGTGCTCTGCTTTTTAGAGTTTCCAGTTTTTCTGTTCTGTTTTTTCCCCATCTTTGTGGTTTTATCTACTTTTGGTCTTTGATGATGGTGATATACAGATGGGTTTTTGGTGTGGATGTCCTTTCTGTTTGTTAGTTTTCCTTCTAACAGACAGGACCCTCAACTGCAGGTCTGTTGGAGTACCCTGCTGTGTGAGGTGTCAGTGTGCCCCTGTGGGTGGTGCCTCCCAGTTAGGCTGCTCGGGGGTCAGGGACTCACTTGAGGAGGCAGTCTGCCCGTTCTCAGATCTCCAGCTGCGTGCTGGGAGAACCACTGTTCTCTTCAAAGCTGTCAGACAGGGACATTTAAGTCTTCAGAGGTTACTGCTGTCTTTTTGTTTGTCTGTGCCCTGCCCCCAGAGGTGGAGCCTACAGAGGCAGGCAGGCCTCCTTGAGCTGTGGTGTGCTCCACCCAGTTGGAGCTTCCTGGCTGCTTTGTTTACCTAAGCAAGCCTGGGCAATGGCGGGCGCCCCTCCCCCAGCCTCGCTGCAGCCTTGCAGTTTGAGCTCAGACTGCTGTGCTAGCAATCAGCGAGACTCCGTGGGCGTAGGACCCTCTGAGCCAGATGCGGGATATAATCTCGTGGTGCGCCGTTTTTAAGCCCGTCGGAAAAGCTCAGTATTCGGGTGGGAGTGACCCAATTTTCCAGGTGCGTCTGTCACCCCTTTCTTTGACTCGGAAAGGGAACTCCCTGACCCCTTGTGCTTCCCAAGTGAGGCAATGCCTCGCCCTGCTTCGGCTTGCGCACGGTGCGCGCACCCACTGACCTGCGCCCACTGTCTGGCACTCCATAGTGAGATGAACCTGGTACCTCAGATGGAAATGCAGAAATCACCCGTCTTCTGCGTCGCTCACGCTGGGAGCTGTAGACAGGAGCTGTTCCTATTCGGCCATCTTGGCTCCTCCCGCCGCCACCATCTTATTATAAAAACCAAAGCCGCAGCTCAGTGGGGCAGGAGGAATCCATCGCACAGAAATATCCCGCAGACCGGGGATGTGAGAGTAATTGATTAGTGAATTAATTTCTAGCACAGCCAGTGCCTGCCTCAGAACTAGTCCCTCTTATGAATCAATAGGTTCCACAAATGGGCAGCATATGTGTTCTGTCTGCCCCTCTATAGCAGGGATGTGGGGATTGCAGACAGACGCTCAGGACCCTTGGGTTGGGGTGGGTGAGATCCTGTTACTGGCTGCACATGTGGGGCCCACAGAGCTGCTCAAGTCATTCAGGGGGGCTGGAAAATGGACAGCTTGCCAAGCACTAAAGCTGGATGACTTTGCTCTTCTAACCCCCCTATACTCATTGCAGACAGGCTTCTTCACGCTTTATTCTGCTATTAGGTAACTTTTTTTTAAAGTTAAGTTTTTTGTTCTCATTTGGAGCTACACAGTTCTGTTTTGATGGCTAATCTCCCTTCCTGCTGTTGCTTATCCCAGAAGCCCCTTGGACAGGCTCCTCTCCAGCTATAGGTGATTTCCACATGGCTGCAGTTCCCTTGCAGGTGGCTGGATAAGGACAGCGGCCACAGAAGCAGGGCGAGGCACGCCTCAGCTGTCAAGGCTTAGGCGTGATGGCCCCCAGAGGTTACCCAGGTGCTGTCTCTTGCCTGTCTCTTCATTTTCCAGGATGGCAAAGTCCTGAGCAAATGTAAAGGCCTCCAGAGGTGGCCGTGAGGGATCACTTGCTTCCCGGGATGGCTGGTGGGGGACAGCCTCTGCAGGCAGGCCCGGGGGGTTCCCATCCTTGCTCCAGGCAGCACCACTCCTGAGTCTGTGTGATCTGGGGTTGTGTTCCTTCATCTCCCGCCCCAATTCCACCTCCATCTTTCTAAGGTCTCTAATAAGAGGAGTTATTGTAAAATTTGCCTACAAAGGAATCCACTGACTCACTCATTTTATTCATTTAACAAACATTTGGGAATCACATTCCACGTTTCAGACAACGTGCTCTGCAGTAGGAATTTGAAGATAAACAACATGAGTTATTTGTCTGAGGAACTCATGGTCTTCAGAGGAGGTCGACTTATAAATCAAGGAAATAGACTGTCCCAGCTCTCTCCAGCTTTGGGGCACAAATGACATCACATTAACACTAATGTCCAAGCCACCATGACTTCTTGGATGGCTCCTGCAGAACTGCAAAATCTTAGGCTGTTCTCCACCAGCCCCTTCCACTCCCAGTATTATTTCCACGAGTACCCAAGGGGCAGCATCCTGCTCCTCTCACAGCTATCAGAGCAGTTCCAGTTTCTATACAGGAGGATGGGGTTAGCCAGCCTCCAGCATGACAGCAGGAGCATTGCCAACTTGGACAAGCACCATCATTTTAAAGTTCACCTTGATCAAAAACTGCCTAAATCCAAAGGACATCAGCCTAATGGCTCAGGTCAGCATGACCATAAACCACAAATGACATTTCCGACCGGAAACATTCCAGCCATAAGATAAACCCCTCCCCTACCTGAGAGATGTCAGCCTTAAGATAATCTCCCCTCCAGCCACAGGCATTACAACCCCACCATAAACTTTTCCTGAGAGAGGGCTCCTGACGGAAAGTGGCCAGAAGCCCCTCTCAAAAATAAACCTGTCTTTGACTGTTGAGCCACTTCATGTGTTTCTTTCCTCTTTCTTTAACTCTTACGCAAGATGCTTCTAAATGGCCTTGCCTTTTAGTGTTCATGCCCTCACACAGCCCTCTCCCATGGCGAATCTGGGCTGACCCAAAACAAAAGCCGGTGGAAGAAATGGTGCCTGCCTTTTGAGGCAAGGTCATGGAGGCATATAGCTCCCACTTTGCCTGTGGGATCACTCATCCTGGGCCAGGCCACTGTGGGAGGGAGCCATTCGGAAGCAGGTCCTTCAGCCCCGCCCAGGCCTTCAGATCTGCAGGAGCCGTTGATATTTTCACTGCCGCCTCATCAGAAACCCAGGCAGAACCACACAGCCAAGCTTTTCCCAAATGCCTAATCCACAGAAACTGTGAGAAATAAAAATCTTGTTTTGTTTTAAGGCACGAGGTTTTGGAGGGATTTGCTATGTAGCATTCTATGACTAACACACATTCTGTGGAGCAAACCCTCTAGCACTTGTTGTGTCTCATTTGGGCCCCAAATCAGTACCACTGGAGACTCAGCCTCCTACAAAGTACCCAATAAAAACAATTTCTTCTGCTCCTTGTTCTAATTGCTGTCTACATAAAGGCACAAACCCAAGGCATCAGAAGCTGCGCCATCATCCTGTCTGCTGCCTAGACTGTGGGCGTTTCCTTTCCTCCCTGTGAATCAAACCCCACTTTGTCTAGTTGGTAGTGGATCTGACTTGATTGCAAGAAAGGGAAGCCCTTCTTCCACTTAAGAGGATGAGTTGTGGTTGGTCTAACCAAGACATGGTCACCTAATCTTTTTTCATCCAAGACAGGATCACTGCCTCATGACGGGCAATGCTGTGGAATAAACGTGCACTGGGGATCCCCTTCCTTCCCCCATACTAAAGCATAATCTCCCTTGGAGAAAGCTCCTTGCTTCCCTCCCTTTCAGCTGTCTCCCAGTCTTGACCCTGGAAGTGTCTGAAGGCCTAGCCTGTGTCTTACATTCATAGGGCAACATGTCAACGTTTTTAAGAATGTTACAGCAGCTGGGCAGGTTGGCTCATGCCTATAATTCCAGCATTTTGGGAGGTTGAGGCGGATGGATCACTTGAGGTCAGGAGTTTGAGACCAGCCTGACCAACATGGTGAAACCCAGTCTCTACTAAAAAAAAATACAAAATTAGCTGGGTGTGGTGGCACACACCTGTAATCCCAGCTACTTGGGAGGCTGAGGCAGGAGAATCACTTGAGTCCGGGAGGCGGAGGTTGCAGTGAGCTAAGATTGCACCATTGCACTCCAGCCTGGCGACAAGAGTGAAACTCCGTCTCAAAAAAAAAAAAAAATTTACAGCAGAACTTCATAATGTTTTTAAGCCGCTGTGTCAGTTCATTTCTAACTACACTCAAACTTCCTGTTACAGGGGAAAAAGCAAATATATCCATTTGTTTATGCAACTTGTATTGCTTTGTCTTTCTGGTAATTCTGCTCTCCATTCTGTGGTCATGCTCCTTCCTGGGAATGGACTTTGTCTTTTCCAAAATTCCACAGAAAAATGCTGAAGAAATAGAAGATGAGGCCAAGCATGGTGGCTCACACCTGTAATCTCAGCACTTTGGGAGTGCAAGGCGGGTGGATCACTGGAGGTCAGGAGTTCGAGACCAGCCTGGCCAACATGGTGAAACCCTGTCTCTACTAAAAATACAAAAATTAGCTGGGCATGGCGGCACGTGCCTGTAATTCCAGATACTTGGGAGGCTGAGGCAGGAGAACCACTTGACCCTGGGAGGCAGAGGTTGCAGTGAGCAGAGATCGCACCATTGCACAACAAGAGTGAGACTCCATCTCAAAAAAAAAAAAAGAAAAAGAAAAAAGAAACAGAAGACAAATGTGCTTTCAATCCAGCATTCCTCAGAGTCTGTAAGTTGGCTTTTCAACAATTTATCCACTTAGTTTTCCATTTTGATGGGGTGGCATTTCCGGTTGTGTGTCCACATCTGTATGGTTTCTGTGTTCACAGAGGAAGAAGGCAGGGCTTGGGAAGAGGCAGCCATCACTGCACATTCCCTGGGAGGGATTTTCGCATGGCCTGTGGGCTTTTGCTTGCTTATTCGGATCAGAGAAACAAATACATAGAGACTAAGGACAATTTTCAGTGTTATATTGCCCGCAGCTCTCACTGCTCGCAGAAGAGTGAGCGGGACTGTGCATGGGGCCTGGGAGAGGATATTTTCTTCCCATGCATACATGAGGGAAGGCTCTTTATTTCGAACAACTCAAAATTTAAGGGGTAGAGTTGAACACATACGAGATGAAGCATGAAAAAAAATTACTGATTTTATTTCTTTGACTTCCTGAGCACGTGCACACCAGAATGAACACTACAGCAGCCGGGAGTGTCATGGGGCCCCTTGAAAGTGAGGTGCCCCTCATCACCCACACTGTGGCCCTCCTCCCTGGCTCAGCTTCCTTTCACCAGGTGAATGGTGGCGATGGCCTCTTGACCTGAGAAACCAGCCTTCCTTTTATGCCTGTGTGCCTAAGCTAAAAGATCAACAGCTGTCTCCCCTTCAATGTGTAGATATTACAATCTGAAAATAAAATCCTCTTTATCAAAACAATAATCTGAAAATTAGCATAACGTTAGGTTCCTGGTATTATAGATGAAGAAATTAGAGAAACATTTTAATAATAGCACTGAGGAGGGATATTTTACTGCTCAGTTGGTGAGTTAGAGGATACAGTTACTGCCAAGAAATCTTTCTGCTTTTATTTTCCTTACTGAACAAATCAATGAATAATACAGATATAGATGCAAGGTGTTCTGGCCCAGTATCCCTGTGACATTCTGTATTTCCTTATCTAATTGGCTGCTTAGCTTTTTGTCCATCACGTATCTTTACTGTGTATCACCTATTTATCTCTCTGTAATTCCATCATCATAATTCCCATCCCCATCAATGTTGCCTTTCCAACTAGAAGTCCATGCAGAGTTCCACAGTTCTTAACCACACATAATGTCTCACACAAAATAACTGGTTTAGTAAATATTTCTTTTTAGTTGTTGTTTTGTGGAAATTCTTTAATTTTTGTTCATTTGAAAAGAAAAGAACATCAAGCAACCCAAAAAGTGCAAAGGAAAAAAAATTCATTCAAATTTTATTATTCAGAAATAAACGTTACCTTTGTGACTATCACTCCAGTCTCCTTTCCGTGTGGATACTGGTGAAAGGGTCAATAGATAAACACATTATTATATAGGATTCTGTTTACTAATTAAAAATAAAGTTATAACAATCGCCATTGAATTTAATAAAAGAAAAAAATGAAATAATTGTTGAAATTCAGATAAATGTTTCTTCATCAGAGGTATTCATTTCTGTAAGATTCTTCTCAAATTTAAAAAGGATTGTTTATGCTTGTATTTCTAACTATTTTAAGCATTTTTAGGCATTTTCTGTTGATTCTCAGCTCTGAAATATGGGGCAATTGGTACAATCTTGGGTCCTTGAATAGTTTTTCTTAAAATGTCCTGACTTTTAAAAAGTTATATAATCATGCCTGTAATCCCAGCACTTTGGGAGGCCGAGGCAGGCGGATCACGAAGTCAGGAGATCAAGACCATCCTGGCTAACACGGTGAAACCCCATCTCTACTGAAAATACAAAAAAAAAAATGGTGTGAACCCAGGAGGCAGAGCTTGCAGTGAGCCGAGATCGCACCACTGCACTCCAGCCTGGGCAACAGAGGGAGACTCTGTCTCAAAAAAAAAAAGTTATATTAAAATTTTTCTATTTTCAAAGTTCCTAACACTTCTCTTTTTTCACCAAAGTTTTCTAGTTCTTTAGTCTTAGTTTTATAGTTGATAGATTTAGAACTCACCACCAGTCTTTTTTTTTTTCTTTTTCTTTTTAGTTGACCTGGAATAAGTGTACATATTTATGGGGTAAGAGTGATATTTTCATACATGTATACGATGTGTAATGATCAAATCAGGGTAATTGGGATGTCAGTCACCCCCAACATTTATCTTTTCTTTGTGTTGGAAACATTACAAATCCTCTCTTGTAGCTATTTTGAAATATACAATAAATTACTATTAACTATTATTTCCCTACTCTAATATTGAACAGAAGATAGTATTTTTTCTCTCTGTGTTTTTCTACTCATTAGCCAACCTTTCCTCATCCCCCTATCGCCTCTACCCTTCCCAGCCTCTGGCAACCACCAATCTACTCTCCACCTCCATGAGATCCACTTTTTAGCTCCCACATATGACAAAATATGATATTTGGCTTTTATGTCTGGCTTGTTTTACTTAACATAATGACCTCCAGTCTCATACATGTTGCTGCAAATGACAAGATTTCATTCTTTTTAATGGATGAATAATATTCCGTTGTGCATATGTATCCTACTTTCCTCGCTTATCCTTTGATGGACACTTAGGTTGATTCCATATCTTGGCTATTATGAATAAAAGCTGTAATAAATATGGGATGCAGATACCTCTTTGATACAATAATTTCCTTTCTTTTGGATAAATACTCAGCAGTAGGATTGCTGGATCTTCTGGTCATTCTATTTTTAGTTTTTTGAGAAACATCCATACTGTTCTCCATAGTGGCTGTAGAAATCTACATTCCCACCAATGGTGTATAAGAGTTTGCCTTTCCTGCAGCCTCACCAGCATTTGTTATTTTTTGTCTTTTGGATAATAAACCATTCTAATGGGTGAGATGATACCTCATTGTGGTTTTGATTTGCTTTTCTCTGATTAGTGATGATCAGCATTTCACCACTAGTCTTTGACTACAGTTTTTCCTTTTTTAAAAAAATTATTTTGATTCATCTTTCAATTGGCTAAATTTCATCATTCAGTTTTTCTTTTTCCAATAAGCGCTCATGGAATTCTTGAAGTATTGCCTGCTTGACAGCATCTGCCTTTTTTTTTTTCTACGTTATATACAACTTGGCTAAGTATGAAAATTTTGGGTGACACTCTTCCCACTCAAAACCTTTTAAATAACACTGCACTGGCTTCTGGCATTGAATATTGCACTGGAGGAATCTGAGCCCAGCCCAGTTATTCCCCTTGTATGTCATGTGGATCTTCTGCCTAGATGAACATGTAAATCTTCTGTACCCTTGGAGTTCATTGTCTACTCTGCACCAAACTTGGTGTTGATTCCATTTCATGTGTGTGTGTGTGTGTGTGTATGTATGTGTGTGTATTGAAGGCTGAATTTTAACAAGCTGTAAAATCAAGTATGTCATTATTTCAGGACTATTTAATCCTTAGTTTCTGTTGATACTTTGTGAGTCTTTAAATAATGAATTTATTATTTTTGTTAATGTAATATATGCACATAATTTTGGAGTTGAATATTCTTTGGCCCACACTTCTCCAGTTCCCAACCCTATTTTCCAGAGCCAACCAATTCATATGTTTTGTTTCTTTTTATATTTCTATAGTTCTAAATAACAAGCTTATAATATTCTTTCTTGATTTTTAGACTTTGGACATTACTTAATAACTTCCTTTGGTGAATGCTGAGATTTTTCCCTCTTAGTCTATGCACTCACCCTCAGCTAACCAACATAGTTATAACCTAATTTTGGTTGAATTTGTGCTTTGAGTTTACATTATTTTAAGTATATAAACAACATTGATTGCTTTTCATCTCTAATGGAGACATGTCTCCAAGCAACCAGCACTTTCCCCATCTTCCTTACCCTGTTGTATTTTTTTTTATTCCACAGCCTGTACTTGTCTTTCCTCTCCTAAAGAATGCAATCAAAGGACTTCATCTGTTTTGTTCCTGCTTCACTTCAGAGCCTAAAACAATGCTTGACTTGAAATCATTACTCATCCAATACTTGCTAAGTGGGTAAATGCTGAGAAGACAGAGTGCCATAGTTATATACTCTTTGCTGTACAACTTTTTGTTTTTCCTTAAATTAGTAATTGCCTCACTTTTTTATTTGCTTGTCTTTAATCATGTAATCATAATTACATGTAATCATAATTGATCCTTCCAAAATGTCCAAAGGAGTTGTAACCCCATCTTACAATTCTGCTTCTGTCTTTTGTAACAGTTCACATAATCTCCCCTCCACACCATGAGCCTCCCTGGTTTCCAGGGCTGTGACAGCTGTATGCTGGGCTCTCACCTCATCATCTAAGATTCTCTTTGCTCTTCTCCCTGCTTCCTGTTTCCTGTTTCTCATTTCTCCTCTTCTTGATTTACTCCCTCACTTTTGTGGAGCACACCTTCCCATGATTCCTGGAAAATGGGGTAGAGATACTGTTTTGCCCTGTTGCACATCTGAACTGTTTTTATTCTCCTATTTGTTATTTGGAAGGGACTAGAATTCTAAATCAGCAATCCTCTTCCTTTGGAAATTCGAAGGCATTGCCCCATTATCTTCTAGCTCCCGTCGTTTCTGTTGAGAAGTCCGTTGCCATCCTGGCAATTTCTCTCTCTCAAGCGTTCTCTCTGGAATTGTTTAGAATGTTTGTTTTAACTCTGGTGTTCTGAAACTTCATTATTATGTTTTGTGGAGTGGTTCTTTTCATGAATTATGCTGAAAAACCGAGCTCTTTATTTCTGGAATATTTTCTTGTTTTTTTGTTTTTGTTTTTGTTTTTTTTTAAAGTAATTTCCTCTCTTCTGTTGTCTCTTTTTGGGTTTCCTACTAGTTGGATATTGACTTCCGATTTGACCCTCTAATGTTTTAATCTTTCTGCTCCTATTTTTTTTTAATCTCTCTGCCTTTTTTCTGTGTATTGGAGAATTTTATTAATTTTAAGTTTTAACCAACTGGTGCATGTTTCATTTTAGCTATCAGTATTTAATTTCCACTGAACCTTTTCTTCATACCTTCTATCTCATTTGTTCCTCTGCTCTCACCCCACTCTTATTAAACTGTTTCTATTTTTTGAGTGCAATATAGTATATTGTCTTTTGGAAAATTCTAATTATTGGGCTTTTCAAAACTGCTTCTACATTCCATTTTCGTGTATGTTTTGGCTTCTGTCTTTCATGCTGAACGACCTTAAATGTCTGGTGGTTCTTTGTGACTCCCTTAACTCTAGAGGGGCATACCAAAAGGCTAATGGGAAGAGCTGTTGATGGGCAAGGCTTGTGGATAAATGGGCTTTGCATAGGGTGATTTGAATAGGTATCCAGAAGCTTCTTTTCGGAAACTCCAGATGTTTGGTATCTGAAGGTCATTTCTCTGGGCCAGTGGTCTTTCTGGAGAAGACCCTCCCCCCATGTCCTATGGTGGCCCATCTCCCATGAGCAGGTAGCAGGGTGGAAAGTCCTGCAGGCAGGAAGCAGACCTCATTCAGTCCTCCCAGGCAGTCCTGTTCTCCTGCTCCCAGAATCCTGAACAAGAGGTTTTCACTCAACTGAGCATAATGGGCCGCGGGCTATGGGGCGCTAACTGCTCTGCAACCAGAATTTGGACCCATTTCCCTGTTGTCCACTCTTACCTCATTTCTATGACTCCTGGCACATCGAGTTTCCAGACTTTCTGGGGCTCTGTGGGGGTGGAGTGGCCCCTTCCTGTTGGTATCCCCTTCCATAGGCACTTAGATTCCGCTATCTCGGTCCTTCTCCGCTCTCTGCTTTCTGACCTGCTAGACGTGTTACCATTCCTTTCTTTGTACTCCTTAGTTTGAGGATTTCACCTGCTCTACTCTTTTCCTCTCCTTTCCACAGTTTTGTTCGGGGGCAGTGGTAGGAGTGTGCATACCCACCCACCGTGCTTGTCCTTTGGCTCTTTGATAATTTTGAGTCTTTTCTGTTTCATTTGCTTCACTTTCTTCTTTGGGAAGAAATTGTGACCATGGTGCATTTGCGTTTGGGTCATCCATGACATCTTCTATCTGATCGTTTTTTTTTTTGTTTTTGTTTTTTTTTTTGAGACGGAGTCTCGCTCTGTCGCCCAGGCCAGACTGCGGACTGCAGTGGCGCAATCTTGGCTCACTGCAAGCTCCGCTTCCCGGGTTCACGCCATTCTCCTGCCTCAGCCTCCCGAGTAGCTGGGACTACAGGCACCCACCACCGTGCCCAGCTAATTTTTTGTATTTTTAGTAGAGACGGGGTTTCACCTTGTTAGCCAGGATGGTCTCGATCTCCTGACCTCATGATCCACCCGCCTCGGCCTCCCAAAGTGCTGGGATTACAGGCGTGAGCCACCGTGCCCGGCCGATCGTTTTAAGAACTGTCCTGTGATGCTCTGTCCTGCCTACTTTGCCTCTGTGTTTTAATTCGTGGTTACTCTTTGCATGTTTGTTACTTGCAATGCCACTTTCATCTCTTTCGCATTTAAATTTTTTTTATTTTTTCTTTAGAAAATTGCTTTGAACTCTAATATTGTTTTCGTGTGTGTGTGTGTGCACGCGCGTGCATCTCTGTGTGTAATTTCTTTGACTATGGATAAGTACTTATCTAAATTCTCCCTCTTTCTTGTGTAGTATCTCTTATGACACACATTTGTCCTCTGCTTTTTGCTTATGTTGATTTCCCACTTAAAAAATCTTTCTACTTGGGCCCTATGTGTGGTTCTTTCTGATGATTCACCTTTGACTATTACTCAAGGCTTACAAGGGGGTCGCATCACCTTCCAGGCTGTTGTTTGCTTCTGAACATGGCTTCGTGTGTGACAGGAGAGAGGCTTGTGTTTCTCGTGTGCTCCGGGAGTGTGAGCCCCAGCTTCTGCTTTCACTGAATTCTGCTGCCAGCCACGTCCTTGATACTTTGTGGGTGATTTATTTCATTGGCTCGCTATTACTTGGCAGCGGCGGTGGCTCCTCAAGCCAGCGTGGGCTCCAGGTGGCCCCGGGCCGGGAGGCGATGGCCCCGGGCCAGGAGGCGTGGCCACGGCCGCTCGCCGGCGTCCGTCCCCAGGAACGGCCAGCACTGGGGCAGCGGAGGAGGCAGCGGTGGTGGTGGCACCGGGTAGAAGGCGGTGGCACTGGGTAGAAGGCACCGCCGCCGCCCGCCGCGGGAGGCTTCCGCGGAGACTCAGGGCTGCAGAGCCAGCGGAGGCTGAAGGAAGAGAAAGGTAATTTTCCTACTCGCATATATTAATTTCAGTAAACAGATAAAACAATTAGTAAATCAAACATATAAAACAGAATTTTTAAAGAAAATAATCTCCCAAAATATATAAAAGTAGAATAGTTAAAAAAACAGAACCGAATATTTTAATGTAATTTCTAATTTTCAATTAATGAATATTAGGTGGTTTTTTTTGTTTTTTTTGTTGTTGTTGTTGTTTTTGTTTTTATGGAGTCTCACTCTGTCGCCCAGGCTGGAGTGCAGTGGCGCAATCTCGGCTCACTACAACCTCTGTCTCCCAGGTTCACGCCATTCTCCTGCCTCAGCCTCCCAAGTAGCTGGGACTACAGGAGCCCGCCATCAGGCCAGGCTAATTTTTTCTATTTTTAGTAGAGACAGGGTTTCACTGTGTTAGCCAGGATAGTCTGGATCTCCTGACCTCATGATCCGCCCGCCTCGGCCTCCCAAAGTGCTGGGATTACAGGGGTGAGCCATCACGCCTGGCCAAAAGGTACTTTATATTATATGAATAAATTACCCACATTTTGTCAAATTTGCTAAAACTGTCCGGGCGTGATGGCTCAGACCTGTAATCCTAGCACTTTGGGAGGCCGAGGTGGGCAGATCACTGGAGGTCAGGAGTTTGAGGCCAGCCTGGCCAACACGGTGAAACCCTGTCTCTACTAAGAATACAAAATTTAGCCAGGCGTAGTGACGGGCGCCTGTAATCCTAGCTACTCAGGAGCCTGAGGCAGGAGAATCACTTGAACTCGGGAGGCGGTGGTTGCAGTGAGCTGATACTGAGCCATTGCACTCCAGCCTGGGCAACAAGAGCAAAATTCCGTCTCAAAAAAAAAATTGCTAAAACAACATTAAAGTCCATAGTTTTAACTAATTTTATTAGTTGACTTTTAATGCCATTAACCTTTTTTTTTTTTTGAGACTGAATCTGGTTCTGTCGCCCAGGCTGGAGTGCAGTGGCATGATCTCTGCTCACTGCAACCTTCGCCTCCCGGGTTCAAGGGATTCTCATGCCTCAGCCTCCGGGGTAGCTAGGATTACAAGCGTGTGTCACCATACCTGGCTTTTTTTTTTTTTTTTTAAGAGACGGGGTTTCCCCATGTTGGCAAGGCTGTTCACAAACTCCTGACCTCAAGTCATCTGTCTCAGCCTCATAAAGTGCTAGGATTACAGGCTTGAGCCACCACACCCGGCCTACTTGGGTTTTTTGGTTTTGCTTCTTGTGTTGCCTGGGGTGGCCTCAAAGTCCCGGGTTTAAGTGATCCTCCCATCTCAGCCTCCTAAGTAACTGGGACCAGAGGTGTTCCCCAATGTGCCGGGCTAGCTGGTTTCAATTCTATAGAGTACTCTTCAAATCACTGTTTTCCTCTCTAACATCTTCAGTTTCATATTGTACTTCACTGTCTTGTAAACTACTTTTCTGTGGGAGCAGCTATAGTGGATAACATTGTGGTATACATAGTGGTATATACATTGTTGTGATACACATTGTTGCGTTGTGGTAACATTGTGGTATCCTTGCCACATTGTGTTTTAAAAATCCTGGCTTACACTACGGAAGCCTTGGAAACTCCAATATAAAATGGTGTTTGAGAGCCTCATAGACAAAACTGAGAGATTTTTTCTTTTTTAAAAAATAGAATCAGACTAGGCTAAGTGGCTCACGCCTGTGATCCAACACTTTGGGAGGCCCAGGCAGGCAGATTGCTTGAGCTCAGGCGTTTGAGACCAGCTTGGGCAACATGGCAAGACCCCATCATACAAAAAATACAAAAATTAGCTGGGCGTGGTGGCACGCACCTGTAATCCCAGCCACTAGGGAGGCTGAGGCATGAAAATTGCTTGAGCCTGGGAGGAGGAGGTTGCAGTGAGCCAAGATTGTGCCACTACAGTCCAGCCTAGGCAACAAAGTGAGACTCTATCACAAAAATAAATAAAAATAAGGCTGGAGGTGGTGGCTCACGCCTGTAATCCTAGCACTTTGGGAGGCTGAGGTAGATGGGTCACCTAAGGTCAGGAGTTCAAAACCCAACATGGCAAAACACTGTCTCTACTAAAAAAAAAAAAAAAAAAAAAATTAGCCAAGTGTAGTGACACATACCTGTAGTCCCAGCCACCCTGGAGGCTGAGGCAGGAGAATCGCTTGAACCCAGGAGGTGAAGGTTGCAGTGAGCCCAGATAGTGCCACTGCACTCCAGCCTGGGTAACAGAGCAAGAGTTCATCTCAAAAACAAAACAAAACAAAACAAAAAGCAAAAAACAAACAAACAAAAAAACGTCTTGTTCTGTGGTCCAGGCTGGAGTGCAGTGGCGTGAACACCTCCAGACTCACAAGTGATCCACCTGCCTCAGCCTCCCGCATAGCTAAGTCTATAGACATGTGCAACCATGTCCAGCTAATTTTCAAATTTTTTGTAGAGACAAGGTCTCACGATGTTTCCTGGTCTCAAACTCCTGGGCTCAAGTGATCCTCCCACCTTGGCCTCCCAAAGTGCTGGGATTACAAGTGTGAGCCACCTGACCAAGCGGAGAGACCATTCTTATATTTTAACCATGTTTGCTGAATTATTGTAAGACATTTGCCTGCATTGTGTCAGTGAGCATTATGGGAGGAAATGAAACTCAGGAAGCCGAGCACTCCTCATCTCATGGCATTCAGCCTTCTCACATCCTAGGTGCTGAGTAATCTCATCTACTTGGTATTTTCAAAGATCATTCTAGGGACAGTGCTGTGGACATGAAGATGAAGCTGGGAAAAGGGAGAGTAGGATCCTAAAATCCAAGAGATTAACTTTTGTGGAGAATTGATGTATTCGCTTTAAATTGTCATGCAACAAATGACCACAAACTTAGCAACTTAAAACAACCTTGGCCAGGTGCTGTGGTTTATGCCTATAATCCCAGCACTTTGGGAGGCCGGGGTGGGTGGATCACCTGAGGTCAGGAGTTTGAGACCCACCTGGCCAACATGGCAAAACCCCATCTCTTCTAAAAAATACAAAAATGAGCCAGGTGTGGCGGCACACACCTGTAGTCCCAGCTACTCAGGAGGCTGAGGCAGGGGAATCACTTGAACCCAGGAGGCAGAGGTTGCAGTGAGCTGAGTTGGTGCCACTGCATTCCAGCCTGGGTGACAGAGCAAGACTGTCTCAAAAAGCAAACAAGTGGCCAGGTGTGGTGGCTCAACGCCTGTATTCCCAGCACTTTGGGAGGCCGAGGCGGGTGGATCACGAGGTCAGGAGATCAAGACCGTCGTGGCTAACACGGTGAAACCCCATCTCTACTGAAAATACAAAATAATTAGCCAGGCGTGGTGGCGAGCACCTGTAGTCCCAGCTACTTGGGAGGCTGAGGCAGGAGAATAGCGTGAACCCAGGAGGCAGAGGTTGTAGTGAGCCGAAATTGCGTCACTGCATTCCAGCCTGGGCGACAGAGCAAGACTCCATCTCAAAAAAAATAAAAATAGAAAAAAAAAATTAGCCGGGCTTGGTGGCATGCTCTTATACTCCCAGCTACCTGAGAGGCTGAGGTGGGAGGACTGCTTGAGCCCGGGAGGTCAAGGCTGAGATCTTGCCACTGCACTGCAGCCTGGGCAACAGAGTGAGACCTTGTCTCAAACAAATAATTACAGAGAACTATGGGGGGTGGGGAGGTTGTCACATGATACATTTTAGTCAGTCTGCACTGAGATGTTAAATGATTGATACATTTTATGTCATTATAATTTACAAATTATCTTCCTACCTCCTGTGTCTAATACAATCCCAGACAGATTTGAAACTCCCTGAGAGAAGGGCCAAGCTTCATACTTATTTATAACCATGATAGCATTTAGTAGAATCCAACACATCACTAATTCTCAATCAAAATGTATGGAATGAGTGGAAAACAGTAAGATGTGCTACATGGTTGTCAGAGATTCTGGTTTAGGGAGCCTTGATTTAGTTACTTTTCAGGGTAATTCCTTTTAAGCAGCTTGGTTATTAGAACTTCCTTGGGAGAGTTACTGTGATTATTTTGCATTCATGTGCTTAGTTCAAGACAGAGTCCATAGTTCAAATCATTGAAAATGACTCATTAAAATTTTCCTCTTTTTTTTCCTAATAAACATGGAAGAAGAGCCATTTATCCATTAGATGCTATGGATCGAGCAACTAAATGGCAAAAGTAAAAATCCCTACACAAGGTTTAGAACAAAACTAGTTGACAAGGTATCCCCACAAACCCCAAATGTAAGAGGCGTGAGGAGGAACCACAGACAGCTGCAAGACCTGAGTGAAGTCAGCAAATGCACAGATAAAAACAAGGGCATGACAAAGCATGTGGTGGACATGAAGAGAGGAGAATCCAAAAATAGCATCAGGTTCCGCCAGGAAAGTGTGGCAAGAACAGCAGCTGAAAACAGGAAGGATTTCGCCCCATGCAGTAGTGAGTGAGTGCAAGGGGCCCATGGTGAGAACTGAAAGCCTAGAGCAATCCTTCCTTCCGGGATTAAGACCCCTCACAGAGGGGAGACTCTTAAGATGGAATGAGAATTTTGCAGATGTAGACTAGAGAAATGTAAGAAAAAGAAAGTGCAGAAAAAGGTGAGAAAAGGGAAATTTCCTAAGGCAAGCTTCCCTATTTTAGCACACTAATTAAAACAACAGAAAAGTTTGTGAGGTGCTATGGTCTGATGTTTGTGTTCACTCCTCCCAATGCACGTGTTGATATCTCATCACCAATGTGATGGTATTAGGAAGAAGGGCTTTTGGGAGGTGATTGTGTGTTGGTGGTGGAGCCCTTACAAATGGGATTAGTGCCCTTATGAAAGAGGCCCCAGAGAGCTCCCTATCCTTTCCACCACCGCCACCTGAGGACACAGCAGGAACGCACTGTGTGGACCAGGAAGCAGGACCTCACGAGACACTGAATCTACCAATGTCTGTATTTGTCAAGTCCAGTCTTGATCTTGGACTCCCCAGCCTCCAGAACTGTGAAAAATAAATTTCTGTGGTGTATAAGCCACCCAGTTTATGGCATTTTGTTAAAGGAGCCCAAATGAACCAAGACACTAGGTGAAGTTGCAAAAGCTCTCCGGAACTCTGCCTCCTTCTAGGTGTTAAGGAGAAGTAACCTGCCTAAGGAGGAGCACTTGAGAAGAAATGACATCAAAGATGTACAAAGTTATCATCAGAAAAACAATGAAGGCCAGGTGCGGTGGCTCATGCCTATAATCCCAGCAATCTCATCTCTACAAAAAATAAAAAATCAAAAATCAGCCAGGTATGGTGGCATGTACCTGTAGTTCCAGCTACTCAGGAGGCTGAGGTGGGAGGATACTTTGAGCCTGGGAGGTTGAGGGTGCTATGAGCTATGATTGCGCCACTGCACTTCCAGCCTGGGCAACAGAGCGAGACCGAAAGAAAGAGAAAGAGAGAAAGAGAGAGAGAAAGAGAGAGAGAGAGAGGAAGGGAGGAAGGGAAGAGGGGAGGAAGGGAGGAAGAAGACATTTGCACACACAATGAAAGCATACCACAGAGACATGACCACGAAACAGATAAAAGCTGTAGCCTACAGTTTCAGAACAAGCTCAAGACCTGAAGGGAGTAAATAGAACATATGAAGTAATAACATAAATCTAAGTTAGGAAAACTTAGAAATTAACACTTCAGAAAAGAATTAAAAATAAAAGGAAAAAGGTAAGAAATATAAACTAAATAGCAGTACCTACTTCACAATATTGCTGTAAGAATTAAACACTTTACTATATATTAATTGTTGGACATGTGTCTGCCACATAGTTAGTGCTCAGTAAGGATTACCTGTTATTCTGATTACGTTGTCCAGCCAGAGACAGGACCATAGGCTGGGTGGGTGTCCCGTGTGCCAGCAGTGGCGGGGGGCCTGTCTTGTCTGCATGTGTTTGCTCCATCCGCAGGTGGCGTGTGACCTCCTGCAGCAGTAGGGTTTGGGGAGCGGGTGAGCTATGGCAGTGAAGACTTGAGATGACCACTCCACCACTCTTTGTCACAGCATACTAACTACTGTGGCCCTGGCCTCTCCACCCCACCAGTCACTTGACTTTTAGCAAATGCCAAGCGCAAATGTCCCCCAACACCTAGACTCAACACACACCCCACAGTGGGCACATCCTATATATACATATATGACTTACATGTGCTAAATGTTACACAAAACAATAAAACTTCCACACATTTTGCCCAACTCACAATGTAGAAACACGATCCCTACTTCATTATTTTTACTTAAATTTTACATTTTTATGGCTATCTTAGAAGTCCTGTGAATTTTGTGAATTTTCTTTTTTTTTCTCTCTCTCTCTTTTTTTTTTTTTGGCAGATATGGGATCTTGCTATGTTGCCCAGGCTGGTCTCAAACTCCTAGCACCAAGCAACCCTCCTGCCTCAGCCTCCCAAATTCCTAGGATTACAGGTATGAGCCATTGCACCTAGCCAAAGTCCTGTGAATTTTAATGCATGTTCCTTTTTTTTTTTTTTCTGCCAGCAGCAGAAAAAGAATGACTTGTGTTTCTTTTTCTTACCAGTTTTTCTATGACTCTATATCAATATCCTAGCCAGGGACCTGCTGCCAGGACTTCTCCCCGGGCTCTAGGCAAGAGCAGAGGAATGATTCAGTTCTCACCCAGCCAGAAGAGTAGCATTTCCATGTACTACAGAGGGAAGGCGTGTAGTACAGAAAGAGAGAAGATAGAACTACTCATCACACCAGGGTGTGCCCTACAGGCTTGAGATGGACAGAATCTAAGAAAGGCTGACCTGTTTCAGGATTTTTGTTTGTTTGTTTTTTGAGATGGAGTCTCACTCTGTCGCCCAGGCTGGAGTGCAATGGCACGATCTTGGCTCACCACAACCTCCACCTCCCGGGTTCAAGCGATTCTCCTGCCTCAGCCTCCTGAGTAGCTGGGATTACAAGCATGTGCCACCACGCCCAGTTAATTTTTGTATTTTTAGTAGAGATGGGGTTTCACCATGTTGGCCAGGCTGATCTCGAACTCCTGACATCAGGTGATCCACCTGCCTCAGCCTCCCAAAGTGCTGGGATTACAGGTGTGAGCCACCGCGCCTGACTTGTTTCAGGATTTAAGGTCAACTAGGAAAGATTTTAATTTCCTAAGGTTAAAAAACAAAACAAAAAAAAGCTGCTCTTCCTCCCAGCTGCCACAGAACAGGCCACCGCACTGTAATATGTCAATCCTGCCAAGATATACTATCTTTTTACAAATTGTCAGCATCAGTTCTGGCAGGTACAGAGTCCCCTCTTCGAATCCTGCCTGTGCCATGTCTCATCTGAGGGCTAGTCTGCCTAGCTGCCTGCAGATTTGCACCACCCCATCTGAGATGATCCGCCCTGCTCTGAGATGAATAGTTGAGATCACAAAGACAGTGATGCTGTAAGTAAGCCAGGCACTGTGCTTACTCCTGTGTGAGCAGCATGTACATCCTATGCAGGGGTCCCTGGCTTCCAGTTCCTTTGTCACTCACGGAAGATCATACCATTAATACATTCTGGAAATGACAAAAAGAATAAATTTCTAAATAAGAAAACATAAGTGCCCACAATTCACTAAGGATTTTGCAGATTTCCCAATTATTATACATCCACGCCACCAGGAATATGCCCATCAAATAATAAAACCCAAAATTATATTCCTCAGTATGCTGGGTCAATCACTGCCATCCTAAGAATTCCATACATCCAGACCAGCCTGGGCAACAAAGTGAGACCCCATCTCTACAAAAAAAAAAAATGGTTTTAATTAGCCAGGTGTGGTGGAGTGCTCCTGTAACCCTAGCTACTTGAGAGGCTGAGGTGGGGGGGTTGCTTGAGCCCCGGAGGGTGAGGCTACAGTGAGCTGAGATTGCATCACTGTACTACAGCCTGGGTGACAGAGTGAGACCCTGTCTCAAAAAAAAAATTAGCCGGGCGAAGTGGCGGGCACCTGGTGAGGCTGAGGCAGGAGAATGGCGTGAACCCAGGGGGCGGAGCCTGCAGTGAGCCGAGATCGCACCACTGCTCTCCAGCCTGGGCGACAGCGAGACTCCGTCTCAAAAAAATAAATAAAAATAAAAATAAATAAATAAATAAATAGAAGAAGAAGAAGAATAGAAAAAAAATGTTAGTGGACAACTTAGAATGGGTGGGGCAGTACATAGTTTTTCAGCATTCCTTTAGTGTTATATAAAATAAAAATTTGAAAATTACTGAGCCGCTGAGCTAGATGACAGGAAACATTCTCCCGACCCAAAATGAGAATGTTGAGCCCTTGATCTTTTAATGTAGACATGTTCTAATTTTTTTCATACAAATTTAGCTTATATAAGCTATACAGTTATTAGGGAACAACATATACGGGAATATTCTCAATCTTAGTTGAATCAGATTTGGGAGGATATTTACACAAGCCAAATAAAAAATCATTGCACACTATGCAAACTATAAAACACATGTCACAAAATTAGCCGGGCATGATGGTGCATGCCTGTAATGCCAGCTACTCAGGAGGCTGAGGCAGGAGAATCACTTGAACCTGGGAGGTGGAGGTTGCAGTGAGCTGAGATTGTGCCACTCCACTCCAGCCTGGGCAACAGAGCGAGACTCCATCTAAAAAAAAAAAAAAAAAAAAAAACCAAATGAACAAACAAACACATATCAGATAACTTCACTGGAAGAAAAGTTAGGTTCTCTTCTCTCTCTTTTTCACAGTGAATCAGCAGGCAGTTATTAAGCATTTTCTATGTGCCAACATTGTGTTAGCTTGTACTGGGGAATACAAAATACAACCATTTCTCATGGTAGTTTTGTTCTAAAAGTTGCTGCAAACAGTGAATTAGTAAATACTAAAACCTTTGACCCTAGAGGAATTATAGGGTTAGGTTCCTGCAAGCCTCTGACCAAGACATTTTCATCAGCCAATCAATGCATAACCTTGGGGTATTTTTTGTTTTGTTTTGTTTTGTTTTGTTTTGAGATGGAGTCTCACTCAGTCACCCAGGCTGGAGTATAGTGGTGCGATCTCAGCCCACTGCAACCTCCACCTCAAGGGTTCAAGTGATTCTCCTGCCTCAGCCTCCTGAGTAGCTGGGACTACAGGCGCGCACCACCACGCCCAGCTAATTTTTTGTGTTTTTAGTAGAGACGGGGGTCTCACCATGTCGGCCAGGCTGGTCTCAAACTCCTGACCTCAGGTGATCCACCCACCTCAGCCTCCCAATCATGCCTGGGATTACAGGCATGAGCCACCGTGCCCAGTCCATAACCTTGTTTTATTTGTGTTTCTGTTTAAAGACACCTTATTTAATATATATTAACATTAATAACAGCCAACAGCCCTAAAACTCATGCCTAAACCAAGCTTATCTAACACACGTATTTTCTCTGTAAGGCACATCACAGCCTTCTTGCTCTTAGGAACACTAGCCAGCACGAAATCACTGTGCTTGGGGCCTTTTCAACAGCAAAATCAACAGGAAGCACAAAAATGTGGCAAAATGACACTAACTAGACCATGCTAAGGAAGCTTGTTCACAGCGTGAGCCAAAACAAGAAGGCCGAGCATCGCCTTGTTCCACCTCAGCTGGGAACGTGCATTTGAGCAACTCAAATCTTGTGTCACTCATGCATGCCTGTGAATTACCTCAAAAGCACTGTGAGTATTGACTTTGGGGTTACATGTGAATTTTGGCGAGTAGGCAGATTTGTCAAGTCCAAATTTATGAATCATGAGAGTCAACTGTAAATGCATGCTTAAGAAGCATTACTCTAGCAGGAAAGCAAGACACAAAATACAGTCATGCATCAGATAACGTTTTGGTCAATGATGGGTTGCACATATGAACATGCAGTCCCATAAGATTATAATGGAGATGAAAAATCCCTATTGTCCAGTGATGTCAGAGCCATAGTAAAGTTGTATAGCAATGCATTGCTCATGTGTTAGTGGCGGTGCTGGTATAAACACACTTGCTTCATGGCCAGTCGTGTAAAAGTCCAGCACATGTAATTATGTGCGGTACATCATACTTGATAATGACAGCGAATGACTTTCACTGGTTTATGTATTTACCATGCTATTTTCCTTATCATTATATTAGAGTATATACTCATTCTACTTATAAACGAAAGTGAACAGCCCTACCAGTCTTCAGTTCTTAATCTTATTTTAAAAACTGTGGTCATGGGATCCTCAGCTGGGTCATAACATACATCAGGTTGGTCATTTCCTGGGCTACGTACCTTGCATAGAATAACATTATACAAACAAGCTTTGTTTTTAGAGTTCCAGTACTCTTATAATAACCATAAAATAATAGGACTGTAGCGACTTTTTGTCCTACCTCAGTGACTTGATGTATACACTGGGAACAGCTCTTAGTCTGAGGAAGGTCAGTTGAAGTCCTTACTGTACAAGTCCAAGTTTTAAGGAAAATGAGTCCCGCGATGAGTTTTCTCATGCTTCGGCTGTGCATGGACCAGTCAGCTCCCGGGTGTGACTGGAGCAGGGCTTGTTGTCTTTTTCAGAGTCACTTTGCAGGGGTTGGCGAAGCTGCTCCCATCCACGTACAGCTCCTAGTCTACTGATGTTTAAGGTTGGTCTCGGAGGTCGGGCCCACTGGAATAAACTGAGTCCAGTACCTCTACATAGTTATGTTCAACTGGGCTGTCTGATACCAGGAGCAAGGTGGTGGGGTTTAGGGTGTTGCAAACTTCACTGGTTATGCGGGGATTTTCACAGAGCAAGCTTTGGCATCTAGTTAGTCTAGCATTCATTAGCTAATAATGTCCTTTGCTGTTTATTAAAGTCACCACAGCATGGGGGACTTAATGTTTAGGTTTTGCCTAAGAGTGAGCTTATCTGCTTCTTGTGCTAACAGGGCCATTGCTGCCAGAGTCCTTAGACATGGGGGCCAGCCTTTGGAAACCCCGTCTAGTTGTTTTGAGAGATAGGCCAGTGGCCTTGGCCAGGGCCCTACAGTCTGGGTTAAAACTCCAACTGCCATTTTTTCTCTTTGTGATACACAGGGTGTAAAGGGTTTTGTCAGGTCAGGTAGCCCCAGGGCTGGGGCCGACATGAGTTTTTTTTGTTTTGTTTTGTTTTGTTTAAATTCATGAAAAGCTTGTTGCTGTTGGTTGTAATAGATGTAATTTATCTAATCTAGATTTTTATTAACTGTCACATACTAAAATATTGACTTAAATCCTGTAGCTATTTGATTTCAAGCTTTAAATTGATCTGTTATTCCTTGTGGGGCTCCAATTGCATCTAAATAGATGTGAGAGTTGAAAGACCCATAAGGGGCTTCTCTCGCTTTACGATGTCTTATTTTTTTCTCCTTCTGGTTGATGAAATGCCAGGGTGAAAGGGATAGCCAGATGGACTAAACCACAAGTGCCACTCCAGTTATTCAGCAGAGTGTCCAGTAAAGGTTCACCACAATACCACCACACGTCCGCGCAGGGATGAACAAGGGCTGACTGATTGATAAGCTCTTGAAAATTCTTAAGCTCATTGCATCCCTTCAGGTCTCCAAGGAATGCTGTTTCCTGCCTGTCGTGAGAGACACAAAGTGAACTTAGTGTTGGGAGATGGAAGCTGGATGGCTCTCAGGGGCTGACCCGCAGGGTGCCGGACTTCGGGATATAGCAGAGAGAGCTTGGCATGACTTATTACTCCAGGCTGTAGAATCCTGGAAAAGAGCTACCATGCAGCCTACGCCTGGTCAACTGGAGGACCACCTTAGTGGAAACGAGACAATCTGGGCCTCTGGCCTGCCATGTGCACAAGAATAACAATTGCTTTTGTTTAACATGCAGAAGGAATATTTGATCAATTTTAACCAGGTATTTGCATCTTGGTATGCTGTCTTAATTGCCAAAGTTTGTTTTAAGTCTTTAACTTCTATGATCCTCTAGTAAAATGAATGTATGATTTTAGGAAATTACAAAAACCGGTTGGGGCAGTCCATCCTTGCTCTTTAGTGGTCCACAGAACATTGGACCAACTAAGGCATTAAAGCTCTACATTGGGGGTAAGACTCCTGGTTGGCACTGGGGTCTTTATTGAAATCTGCCCGGATTAAATGGTCCTAGTTTACTAATGCCCAGTCTGAGGAGAGTCAGGAGGGACAGAGGTACTTTTCTGAAGTAGAGAGCTGTCTTCGACTTGGCAAGTCCCCACAGGGTCTAACAAGACAAGCATTAAATGCAATAGTTCAAGGTGAAATTGACTTGGTTATGTTAATAACCAGATGGTCAGCAACAGAGCAAGGAAAGAAGAAAGAGTAATAGAATAGATGAAAAGAATTAAATTTTTCTCAGCTTTAGTTTGGTAGGGTTTTCCCCTGGGACTATGGCCCACGACTCTGGAAGGGGTGGCGCTTTCTTGACTCGGGTGTGGTGAGTCCACCCTTTTTTTTTCTGTACAAACAGCAGTCTTGGTGGTTAGCAGCCCAAGGTAGGGTCCTTCCCAGGCTGGCTCGAGTTTTTCTTCTTTCCACCCTTTGATAAGAACGTGATTTTCAGGCTGGTGCTGGTTTACCGGAAATTCTAGGGGTGGTACCTGTACTAAAAGACTTTTAGTTTTTGAGGGAAAGGAAAGTGGAAGATACACCGAGTATATAATTTCTAAGAAATTGACCTTTTGTTTTAAATGTGGGGACCTTGGCAGTGGACTTTATAGTCCTTGGTGCCTTCTTACTGAGAAATTTCCGTTAGCACCTATTTTTATTAGTTTTTAAACCAAAGAAAGGCAAATACCACTTTACATTTAGCAATGCTATTTGTATGATTTTTATACCAGATAAGCTAAATTTTACCTTTATATTAGTGTGTTATTAATGTTAAACCTAATTTTAATAAAACCTTGTAGACATATTTATCCAATTTTTAATGTTTGACCATAAGGTAAGATTTTATAGACTCTTTTTAACCTTTTATAATTTTTGCTAAAGAGCAGGTTGGTGCTTTAAGAAAAATCTGCTATGCTTTTATTTTAATGTCCAGTTTACAGCAAAACTGGATGATACCTCTAACTTTAGCCAATGTTTACACACAGAATTTTCTTTTCAGTGTACATTTTAAAACTTGATTAAACCTTTAAAACAAAGTATACACATTTTTAACCTTCTAATATAGGTAAAAATTTATATTCTTATGCCTCCTTATAATTCTTTTACCAAAGGTATATTTTAATTTCCTTATACACCTTGCACATAAACTGTTTTTTCTTAGCTACTTGTATATATCTCTCTTTCTCTCTTTGACTTTGTCTCTCTCTCTTTGACTTTCCTTTTGCCTCTGTCTCTTCCTCTGTTTATCTGCTTCTCTCTCTCTCCTCTCTGCCTCTCTCTCTCTCCTCTCTCTCTCCTTTCTGCCTCTCTCTCTCTCCTCTCTGTGTCTCTCTCTCTGCCTCGCTTATGCTGCTGTTCTCTCAACCACTGTGGAGAGATCTAAAACCAGCTGTAACCAAGCGTCTATGTATGGGAACTGATCTGGGTGCCCTGGCTTACAGGTTACCTTGTGCCACACCTTTGAAACAAGGGACCTGTCCAGGCTTCCTTCTGATGGCCAACCCACCTCTAATGCTGGTCAGTCTATTTTACACAAAGTTTTAAGTTTTCCTGGTGTCATAGTACTCCATAGTCTCCCTTAAATCCTTTTTTGAAATTTTTCAACATGGTTCCTAGTAGGATGGGCTTATTTGTGCCTGACCCATGCTTCTTCAAGACAAAACACAACACTCACACCACACGCACACCACAAAACAAAGAACAGGTAAAAAGGGCACACACACACTTTTGCAGTTTACACCAAACCAAAATCAGAGTATCCAGAAATCTAAGCCAGGTCAAAACCAAAACCAAAGTATCAAGCAATCCAAGTCAAGTCAAAAACAAAAACCAAAGTGCCAATAAAGGCACACTGTGGGTGATCAGGCCACGCTTCCACTCAAATGGAGTAGGCAGGTTTGCAGGTTCCAAAGACTAGTCTTACCAAGTTTCAGATGTCTGCACTGCAAGTACCAGTTCCTTCCCGGTGTTCAGCCACTGCATTGATTCTCCACGGGGGCCTGCTACACACTGCTCTGGCGAGGCGTCCCACTGGGGCAATTGCCTGCCCAGGATGCTCTCATGATCCACGTCAGAGAGCGGAGGGCTGGTCGGAGTCCCCCGCAGGGATGTTCCACAGGGCAGGCTTAAGCCACCTAAGGAGCTGCTTCAACCATCCGCCAATCACCTCGCTTCCTGGTCAGGGAACCAAGAAATGTAGCAGGACGAGTAGCAGACAAAACTCCTCAGACACCAAGTTAAAGAAGGAAGGGCTTTATTCGGCCGGGAGCATTGGCAAGACTCCTATCTCAAGAGCCGAGCTCCCCAAGTAAGCAATTCCTGTCCCTTTTAAGGGCTCACAACTCTAAGGGGGTCCGCATGAGAGGGTCGTGATCGATTGAGCAAGCAGGGGGTACGTGACTGGGGGCTGCATGCACCGGTAATTAGAACGGAACACAACAGGACAGAGATTTTCACAGTGCTTTTCTACACAATCTCTGTAATCTATAGATAACATAACCGATTAGGTCAGGGGTCTATCTTTAACTACCAGGGCTGGGCTGTGTGTGGTGCTGGGCTGTCTGCTTGTGAATTTCATTTCTGCCTTTTAGTTTTTACTTCTTCTTTCTTTGGAGGCAGAAATTGGGCATAAGACAATATGAGGGGTGGTCTCCTCCCTTACTATCAAAGCAGGAGTCAGCAGAGGGGGCAGAAGCACTAAGTTGCTGCAACAACACCTGAGAGTGCAGACAGGAGGGGCCCAGTCCCCACCCCCACCTGAGAGTGCAGACAGGAGGGGCCCACCCCCAACCCCCGCCTGAGAGTGCAGAGAGGAGAGACTCACTTCCTCTACCCCCACCTGACTCCCAGTGTCGAGTGCCCTGGGGAGAGCTGCACCCACGGACATCCTGCAGGGTAGGCCAGCACCAAAACCCAGTCTCTTGTTGCATTTTATTCTAAGCAGTCAGGAGAAACCAAGCCGATTCTCAAGAGATGATAACCAATAGAACCCAAGTGTTTGGGATTTGGTGTGGAAGAGGCAGAAAATAGCAGGTCCCGAGGGAAAGATAATGTTTGAGAAGCAAAGCAAGAAAAGATGATGACAAACACAACACTCAAAGGCCCTAGACATAATCACTTTTTTTTTACTGTCATGAACATTTAAACATAACACATTTTCTTTTTTTCTAATTTCATCTCCCTCTTCCTTCCCTGGTCTCCAAAGCTGCAGGCCTGAGTGGACTGCTCCCGGGAAGCCACTTTCATGGCGTCCCCTCTCAAGGGTGCCCATCTACCTGGAGCGTCATCATCGTCACTGCTGGAGTCATGTCTCCTGTTGCCAATCCAAGCTCTGGAGACACAAGTACCACAAGAAAGGTGTTACCCAGAGGCACTTACCCATCCTCCCTGCTGCAGGGGAGGCCACACCAGCTGCCACAGCAACTCCCTGCTCCGTCCTCTGCTTTCTCAGAACTAACCTGGGCTCTCTGGAATCAGAGACCTTCAACAAGTCACTGCTCACATTTGCAAACGTTCACATCAAGAGAGGACCCCCTTTCCACGTGCCACTCCCCTCTCTTCCGGATCATTGCAGCTCTCCCTACCAGCCTTATCAATGTGGGGCTCCAACCCTACAGGTCGGTGATTCACAAACACACTGTCCCAGGTTGGAGCCACTGCCACGAGCCTGTTCTGCACAGACGGGAATATTCCCTCTGCCTTGTGAGCACAGGGCTATCGGGCACTGGAAATATGCCTGGTGTGATGAGGTACTGGAGATTACATTTGAAAATTAATTTAAAATACAGATGCACGTGGTTAATGACTGTGGCACCAGGGAGCCCAGAACTGAGATTCAGAGATGAGGGAGACGTCACCTCCCTGCCCCTGGGTTTTCCTTCCAGCGTAGCCATCAATGGCCTAGTGTTATCTTTCATCCAGTACGTACTTCCTGGGCACAGGCATAAGTATCCAGTGCTCTGTGAGACCCTAGGGGTGCTGAACACTGAGTCACATCCAGGTCCTAGAGGGGTTCACAGCTGGGGGCGATGTGTAAACAGAGTGAAGGGCATGGCCAGCAAATCCTGTGCTGGAAAATCAGGGCAGCTGGAGTGAGGGGAGGGGACACCCCACTGTCCCCAGGAGCCCACACACCCAGCCAAGTTTGGCTTTTAATTCGCCTTTCTTGTGATGTCTTTTGCTGAATTTGCTGTCATGATTGTCCCGATTAAAAGAGAGAGCATTGTGTGTTCCCTCTATATCCAGAAGTGTGCATGCAAGATTGGAGTTACTTCTATTTAAAATATGTGATGGACTCAGAGGGGACAGTAAGGATGGAAGTTTGCGTATGGAAAAATAGTTTGTGTTACTTTGTTTTTATTTGATGGTTGCTTTACTTGTGGTGCAGTGCACAGTATATTACCTGTACAGATTGTTGCCTTCTGACAAACACTGTGTTACCACCGCCCAGATATGAACACCCTGGCAGCCGCTCTTTGGCTAATTCCTAGGCAGTAACTTCCAAGAGACACTCACTATTCTGGTCATGATCAACATATTTTAAATTTATTTTTAAACATTGTATAAATGGAAACCTACAGTATGCACTCTTTTGTGCCTGAATGAAAATTACACGTGAATATCATGTAAATTTCACCTATGTTCCATTGTGATGACACATTCAGCATTTTGTACTGCTCGGTCCTGTCCATATATAACATCTACATTGTAGGAAGTTGGCACAATGAGTTTTCACCCTCTATGTTTTACATTCACTCTGTTTATCATGATGGTTATAAGGGAGGAGACCTCCCCTTATATTGTCTTATGCCCAATTTCTGCCTCCAAAGAAAGAAGAAGTAAAAACTAAAAGGCAGAAATGAAATCCACAAGCAGACAGCCCAGCACCACACCCTGGGCCTGGTAGTTAAAGGTTGACCCCTGACCTAATCGGTTATGTTATCTATAGATTACAGAGATTGTATAGAAAAGCACTGTGAAAATCCCTGTCCTGTTCTGTTCCATTCTAATTACCGGTGCATGCAGCCCCCAGTCACGTACCCCCTGCTTGCTCAATCGATCATGACCTTCTTACGCAGACACTTTTAGAGTTGTGAGCCCTTAAAAGGGACAGGAATTGCTCACTCGGGGAGCTCAGTTGTTGGAGACGTGAGTCTTGCCGAAGCTCCCAGCTGAATAAAGCCGTTCCTGCTTTAATTCGGTGTCTGAGGGGTTTTGTCTGCGGCTTGTCCTGCTACAGTTACATGAAGTGACGCTGCTATAAAGCCCCCCAGGGGGACACCAGCATCCTTGCCTCATACATGTATTTTGGACATAGGTAGCAGGAGTGGGACTGTAGGGTCACAGGTACCGATTACTCTAGTACACCCTAGAAAGTCATTTATCAAAGTGGATGAAATTAAGTATGTTCCCAGAGTCACATGTGATAGCTCCAGTTCCTCCACAACCTCACCAACCCTCTGCATTTTTCTCTCTGATAACGTGTCTATTTTGGTGGGTGTAGAAGTGAGAAACTCTGGTTTGAATATGCATTCTTCTGATCATGTGTGATTGAGTGCACTTTCATATGCTTTACTATGCCAAACTTGCTGAGGTTTCTGTGAATTTGACAGACGAAAGTGAGTACATGGTGTGTTATTCTGTCTGAGAAACCACATAACCTTGTGAGTTCCCGCACGACTATTATTTAAGGTGTTTTGTTCAAAGAAGGATTTAATAGGTAAAATTGCACAGGGTATCAAACAATGGAAAGATATTTGCAAGGACTACCGAGAATTCTGAAAAAAAATAGAAAAGACAAATAAAATGGAAACCTAATTAAAAATGGACAAATATTACAACAAAGCAATTACAGAAGGCAAATGTGGATGAATAAAAGTCATATGAACATAGGTTCAGATCCACCTGAGGCAAAAGCAGTGGCTGTGGAGAAGCCCAGCACGTCTCTGTGGGAGGCTCCCTCCACGAAGGGCAAAGGGAAAGCAAAGGGGCTTGGGGCGGAGCGCGATGGGGCTTGGGGCGGAGCGCGATGGGGCTTGGGGCGGAGCGCGATGGGGCTTGGGGCGGAGCGCGATGGGGCTTGGGGCGGAGCGCGATGGGGCTTGGGGCGGAGCGCGATGGGGCTTGGGGCGGAGCGCGATGGGAGTGGCGGGAGCAGCCAGAGCCCCTTGGGCTGGAAGCAGGGAGAGGGATGGAGGTCCGCCCGCCAGCACGGCCCGGGCAAGCGAAACCCGTGGGTTCTCGTGGACACTCCAGAACTGCACACTTATTTCTCAGTCAGGCATGAAACCAGTGAGTGCTGAGCAGACAACTAATGTTGCAATTTAAAAGAATCAAAATAAATTGCTAGTTAGGTTATGGGGAGTCAAACTCTCACAACTGGGAGTATTTAGGAGGTCAACCATCCTGAGGGATTTCCTCAGCACACAGGAACATTAAGTGTGCACTCTCCAAGCACCAAGCCCTCTGTCGTTCAGAGGCAGGAAAGATGCAGGAGGCGTCCTCACTGTAGGAGGGAGCTGGTATCAGTAGCAACCTGGCTGCTCGGCACAAGGGCGTTTATAAGGAAAGTGTGGTTGACGCAATGCTGACCAGTTGGAAGTCACGGAAGAGGCTCACAGGCACACATGGATAAAATTAAATGTATGAGTTTAAATCTCAGAAAAAATAAAAAACCGATGAGGCCTAAAGGGGGAAAATAATTTAATGCAAAAATGCAAACACACTCTATGAATTCTTTAAGTATCTGTAGAGATTATTTGGAAGAGTGGTCCACATTATTTACACTTGGGTTGGTGACTCAGGGATGGACGGAAACATGATCTGAAATAGTTATAAAGGAAAAAAATAGATAAAAGAGAGGCTGATGAGAGTGTGGTGTGAGTAAACTCTGTGCCTAACACAAAGGTTTTAATATACTTAATATATAATAAGTCTCTAAAAACAGGGAAGAAAAGAGTACCAACAAGCCCATGTAAGCATGTCAGAGACATAAACAGTTCAAAGAGAAACAAAGGAACAAATGGCTTTTAATCTCATTCAAAATGTGAAAAAGTTCACATTAAAACTGTACTGAGAAACCACTTCAAGACAAAATTTCAGAAGTTTCACATGTAACTACGTTAGTGTGGTTGTGCCCACATTGTTGTGAAGAAAGCTGACTCAGCACCTGTGGAGAGGAGTTTGGCAACATCTAGCAAAGCTGCATAAGCACTAACACTTTGACCCATCGTCCAACATCTCAAAATCTATCCCAAAGTAGACTTGCAAAATATGAAGACTCATGCACAGGAGCGTTGGCTGCAATATGAGAAAATGTAGAGCATAGTTTTAAACTCAAATCTCTGTAAGAATCACAATGAAATTAGATAATACTTACTAATAAATAATAAAAATTGCGCAAATTGAAAATTGGGAGATGCAGCAAACAGCATTATGTGAAAGCGATCTGTGAGATTAGTTATTGAAATTAGGAACTTGACACTTTTGGAGGCCAAGGTGGGAGGATCACTTGAGGTCAGTAGTTTGAGACCAGCCTGGCCCACATAGTGAAACCCTGTCTCTGTGTCTTTACTAAAAGTACAAAAATTAGCCAGATGTGGTGGTGCATGCCTGTAGTCCCAGCTACTGGGGATGATGAGGCAGGAGAATCTCTTGAACCCGGGAGGCAGAGTTCACAGGAAACACCGACAGAGAGGAAATAGCACACATGCCCTGCTGGTACAGCTGGAAAGCAGGTGGCTGCGGCTCCTTTCAGGGAGGGACCACCCCTCCACTGACAGCACCCTTGTTTACAGTTCCCAGATGCCCTGGCCCCTCTCTCACACCATGAACAGCTTTAGAAAACTGCGGGCCTCACACTGAGATGCCCAGGTGTGTCAGGGAGGCAGGAAGGCTTTGGGGTCTGAGGGCAATGGGGGACAGTGGGGACACTCCTGAGATGGCCCCTCCCAGCTGGGAAACCCCTCAGGGCCTCCAGGGGAGTTCAGCCATCAGGGTGCCCACTGGATAGGTTTGGCTTGCAACGCTGACAGCAAGGACCCCCCTCCACCCACTGGGTCAGCTGTGAGAACCCAGGAGAGGGAGGCCCAGGGACAGACAGGTAACAGCTCTTATTTGCATGCAGTGGCTGTGCCCCCATGAAGGTTTTAGGATCTGTAAGGCGGCTTTGAAGGAGCCCAAGCTCCAAAGCAGTGTCAGGAAGTGGGAGTTGTGTCTGCACCACTCCCTGGGCTCCTGTCCTCATCCTGCTCACCCCCTGCATAGGGGAGGGGGAACCTCACCCCACTCTGCTTCACACACCTCTCTCCTCAGGGGGGCTGTGATTCTGACCTACAGTCCTTCCTCTCTGTTTAGGGTAGCTGTGGCCCAGGCAGGGCTGGCTCAGCCATAAACATACACACACACACACGCGCGCGCACACACACACACACACACACACTGAATAGGCAACTCACTGAAATAGAACTAGTTGATTAATTAAAGCACCTATGGGATTTTTCACAAACCAAATTAGTATTTTTATTAAAAAACTTTTAGTGCTATTGAGCCTACATAGGA